>NC_000002.12:191732042-192035072 GCF_000001405.40 Homo sapiens
CTCCAGTAATATTTAGTTGTTTAGTGGAGGTTTGACATAGGCACAGAGTTGGATTTTAACCAGAATTTCAGTTTTCCAAGTAAGTACAATAAATCCAAAGAAGACAAATGAGGCAAAGGCATATATGGGAGTAATCATAAAGATTGGCCATGGAATTTAAGCTTGATAAGTAGGGGAATGATAACATCAAGAAGTGAGGGACAGTGGAATGATGGTAGATCAATGGATTGGGGGTCCCAGGGACTTTGAAAGATAACTGGGGATAGGATAGCAGAGAGAGTAGAAAGAAAAGACTGGAAATGGTGGCCAGAGGGTACAATGCATGAAATTAACATTAATAAATGTTGCCTTTATTGCTAATGCATTTTTGCATTTATTGCTGGGCTATGACCATGGGATTTGAGGCTGTGGTAGAATGGTTGACATGATCAATGGAGAACAGAAATTCATGGATTTGAGAGGCCTGGGTGTGGGCATGACGGTTTACCTGTGTGTCCATAGCCCTAGGAATTAAGACAGAATAGTATTGGTGAGTATGACCATTAAGCAGAAGCCAGAATCTAGAGAAATGAGGAGAATGGCAGAGGCATCACTGGTTCATGATATAATCTGATGATGTGAGATTCAAAGCTGGTATTTTGGGGGATGAGGGAGAAGGAAGGGAAGCAATGAGATGCAAGAATGACACCTAGCTATCTTCAGGCTCAAAGATCTGAGGGCTACAAAAGGAAAGGCACTCTCCAGTTTGGGAGGCTGATAATGTGTTCTCAGGGAAAAGTCAAGTTTTGATGAGAGCAAAAAGGTGAAGGGAATGTTCAGATCATGGTTTGTGAAAATAGAGGTGTGGCAGCCAGCCACTGAGATGATACCCAATGACTGTCCTCTCCTGGTATTTAAGCCTCTTTTGGTTCCCTCCCTTATGGAATCAGAGCTGACCGTGTGACCAATAGAATACTACAGAAGTGATGGCATGTAGTTTCTGAGACAAGGTCATATTAAGCTCTATAGCTTCCATCTTACTCTCTTAGATCACAGGCTCTTGGGGAATCCAGCTAGCAGGTCATGAAGACACTCCCTCAGCCCTATAGAGAGGTCCCAGTGGAGAGGGAGAGTTGCCTCCCCCAAAGCAATCAGCACCAATTTCCAGCATGGGAGTGAACTATGTTGGATGTGGAGCCTTCATTCCCAGTCAAGCCTTCAGATGAATCCAGCTCCCTCAGACATCTGACTGCTGTCTCGTGAGGGACTCCATGCCCAAATTGTCTAGCCAAGCTTTACCTAATTTTCAATTGTGAAAACTATGTTATATAATACATGATTGTTTTTGTTTTAGGCCACTAATCTTTGGAGTAAATTTCTATGCAGCAAATCTATTGATGATACAAGGGGGCTTCGCAAATAATGGTTATGGACTTCAGAAGGCCCAATGGGTCAGCTTCAGAACCAGTGGAAGGAGGGTGGAGCTGACAGAACAGGGTATGTATAGAGCTTTAAGGGGACAGAGTGTGTGAGAAGAGAGAAAGTCAGGGGTTTTTGTGGTGCCTGACATAAATAGGGATACATAAAAACATGAGGCAGTTATCAAGACAGATAATAGTGGTGAAGGAGTGTGTTTGTTGGTGAAGAGGAGGAGGTTTCTTCACTTTTGATGCTGGGAGTAGAAAGCCTAGAAAGTGTGGTCTTAGTCACAGGGTCAGTTCAATCTTGGCCACTGGTCTTACGTGTGAGCTCTATGTGGATCCCTGTTGATTGTATATATTGTTTATTTCTCATTTAAACCTTTGATTTTCATATTATTATCCTCATTTTACAAATGAGAAGACTAAGACCTAAAGAGGAGATTAAGTAACTGGTTTGAGGTCACACGGTTAGTAAGACAGGGTCAGAATTTGAATTCAGGTCCCCTGACTTAAGATTCTACCCTAACTCCACATTTTGCCCGTAACAGAGACATTTGAAACCAAAGTTCTTCAATTTTTTAAGGGTGGAATGGAAGTTAGTCATCTCAGGCATATATCCGTGGAATGCAATTATAGATACTCTTTTAAAAAACCTCAGCATGATACATATGCATGAAGACATGGAAAAAACCCAGTATGAGAGACATTGACATCTGATCAGAGTAATACCAAGTACCTAGAAGTTGGCAGCAAACAGAAGAAAAGAAATAATCAGCAGAGGCACAAAGCCGATGCAAAATTTATTGTGAATTTATTGTCTTTCTCTCCACTTAGAATGTAAATTCTATGAGAGGACAACTTTGCCTAATGTTTGATACTCAATATCAGGTATCCAACACACATAAGTATTGAATGAATGAGGAAATGACGTTCAACCAAAGGAAAAGTGTTTGGATGAAAATATCCTAAGTGAAATGTTCAGTTTAGGGAGGGGCCACAAGTTGAGGGTGTAGATATGAGATTGAAGAAATTTGCCTTCACGATTTCCTCCTCTACCCTGCTCTACTGATCCAAGTTCCAGGGCCCGTTCATATTTACAGGCTTTCCCCACATTCTCCTTGTTACCTTTCTCCTCCTTTAAGTCCTTTAGAGACTTTGAGAAACAAGACGTTCTCACTCAGAAACCCATTAGATCATCTGGAAACTTAAAGACAAAACAAAGCAGTACAAAAAAACAGTGTGTGGGTTCCCATTTTCCATAGGATCTAATTTAATTGGCTTGGGTTGGGACTCAGACACTGCTAGTCTTTTCAAAGTTTCCCAGGTAATTTTATTGTGTAGCTACAATTGAGAAACAACTAACAACTTACTATTACCTTTGTCAGGGAAATTGGAACGTTGAGAAATCTAAACTTTATAGCAAAGGAATGTGGTTCTGACTAGTGCAATTTCAGACATCAGTAGGTAGAGAAGTCCCCAGAAATCACCTCCACCTAGTCCTAGCTTGGCACTTCAAGGTGCTTGAAGTGTTTGCTAAAGAGATGAATGAAAGCTCCTGAAACTATTCCATCTGCCCAGGCGATGCCCTTCACTCTGTGTGTCCTAAAGTTTGGCCTCTATACCTAGAGAAGGGCTGTGAAGACTGCTCAGAAAATGGAATAGTCTGAGAAGCAAAATATCTAGATCAGTTATTTCCAACTTGTGAGTCAAGGGAGGAAGGAGATATGGGTGGGAGGATGGTTGTGAATCCATATGTAGACGAAACATAAATATGTCTTGCATAATATACTACCTACTTTTTTTCTCAAAAGTGTGTTGATAATATCATGGTGAATAAGACACAAAATTGTCTTTTTAAACACTGTATTGAATTCACAGAAGCCTTTTGTTATTCTGTATTTTCTTGTTGAACAGATATAAAAATTCCAAAAATTACAATTATTTTCATGTGGGAGCCTAGCCCCCCCTCCTTTTCTTAATTGGAAAGAAGTCTTTGTATTAAAAAACATACCCTGTCATCTAGTCTGGAGGAAAGATGCTTTGGAGGAATGAGGACATGCATGAAAGTGAGGGGGTTAATAGAGAACTGTTCAGCGTTTAGTCAATATATTTCATTTCATTTTGTACTGGAAGAAGCTGGAGTTAATATGAGCCCTGAGTGCCCAAGTCTGATGTAAAATGAAGTATCCTCATCCTAGCCTTCTCAAAGGGTGGCCCCAAATCAGTCGTCTTAAATACACATAAAAGGAGATAGTCTTAGGGACCTGTTCGGACTTTCTGGAGTAGGTACTTTATTCACAGCCCTTGCGACATACAGCTCTGATTCCTATAAAGAGGACAATATCTTCCTCTTTCATGATAATTAAGCCCAAGGAGTCATCTCTTTATCAGCTCCAAAGAAGAGGAGTAAATGATAAACTACCATCCTTGCCTAAAATGAATGAATATAATGGCTAAATGCTTATCTTTACAGTGACTTGCTGCTTCAAGCTGACCTCTGAAGCGAGTATACACAGGCCACTTGTACATTCTTCATCAAATCATTAAGAAGTCAAATGAAAATGACCAACCACTGTCTCTGACATTTATTATATATATGAAAGGCATTTAGGAGATGTAAAGACCAGGCAATTGTGAAACAACTATAAAGATGCAAGACTGAAAGCCTCAAGAGTGACATTCAGCTGCTCAGTTATGCCAGCAAAATGGTGAGTGCCCTTTAGTTTGAGACTTCAATTCTAATGTAGGCTCAAGACAGGAAAAGGCCACGGTGATACATGGTGGAATGAATATTAGACTTGGAGTCATATGTCCTGGTTCTGAATCCCTGCTCTGACATTTAACAATTGTTGATCCTGAGCAAGTCATCTAACCTTGTAGGGCCTCAATTTCTCCCACCTGTAAATAGAAATTAATACAAATTTGTGTTCCACTACCTTAGTAAGTTGCGTAGCTCAAGAGACACAAGTATCGTAAAAGTATTTCATAAGATATAAAACGTCATGCAGATATTATTATTGTAATTGCACTAATCATCAATAACCTTATTCAGTTCAAAATAGTGCTGTCCGGATCATGACTTTACAACCTCTGAGTTCTGGGCTTGGAGCATCCCATATCCTAATCGACAGTAAATATTTACTGTAGGGCCCAATAGTAGTCATGAGATTTTAGGTTAAAGGTGATTGTAAACACAGCTCTATAGATGTCCATAAACATGAACAGTTGGGAGGAAAATAGCCGAAAACTTACCTAGAGAGAGTCAAGTCTACTATTGATGTGAAAATATTGACTATTTGGTAAGGCTGATAATAAAGAGTTTTGAAAAATTACATTAAAAAATGAGAGCTTTTGGAACACCAGGAAGGTTGTCGCTGGGAGAGACAAACTGTTGAAATAGTACGTGAGCAAGGACCAGCAGGGGCTCAATGTGTCAGGGCCACTAGGAGCTGCCAGGTGCTGCAAGTTGCCAACTTCATGCACAAAAGTTGTCAACAGTGTGGATGAAAGTTCTCTTTGCTTCCTGGTACAGCATGGCATAGATGATAAAAAAAAATCCCATGAAAGGTAGCAGAAAATTAGTAAGTGTCTCAAAATGGAGGACTTTCCACCTTAGCATCATTAATTTCTTCCAGCATACTCACAGTAGAGGTTGCATTCTTGAGGATTCACAGCTCTTGTACCAGCTTTGCACTGCTCCATACATAAAGTCTTTTTGGTTCCATGTTTATTAGTATTTGCATTTTGGTTTCTTAATACTTAGATCACAAACCCCATACAATACTTCCTTTGCCCTTTGGCTTCCTGAATTGCAATCATGAGCATGAAGTTTCATATCCCTGTGCTCAGTGCCAATCCATGTGCCAATCCCATGGCAATTTTCTCCAACCACCACTGCCATGCATCTTGTATACCTGGGAACAGAGTTCACACAGAGGTATTTATGGTAATAAACAATAAACGCATAATATTCGGCTTCCTAACAACCAAAGCAAGAGAAAATTTAATGGGTTATATCATACTCGCCTGGCTTTGGAGCATTGCATGGTCACTGTGCACCTAAAACTTGTTTGTCTTTAAACTCCATTTCATCTTTAACGCCTTCCTCTTGCCCCCAATATACCTGGTCTGGGGCTGTTCCCTTGGTGAGGCTCTAGTTTTATCTTTTCTTGTTTCCTGCACTAACTCCAATCTCTTACCCCATACAATTGCTTTCATGATGAAGGATCCTGGAAAGTAAGTGGCTGAGTAGGTAAAACTTGCAGGAAGCTCAGATTTTATCTTTGTTTTCCAAGGCTTAACAGGGCACATAAAAAGAAAAAAAAATACAATCACGGTTTCTGCCACCTGTGCAAAATAGAATGAAAATAGAATTACTTCATCAAAATTTTTTTTCCAGTAAAGAAACATATGGCATGACCATATTTCTCTATTTCCTAGGATTAGTAGAAGATTCTAAGTTATGGTGACTGAGTGAAGGAGATGATTGCTGGAAGAATTAAAGCTGGCTGTCTGGAAGGAATTTAGGAAGACGTAGTGGTTATATAATACTGAAATCCTAGGAAACTGGAGAGTATGTATTCTTGGCTTATCATTTATTTCTGTTTGGAAATGATGGGGCATTATGAAGCTTTCCTAGAAGTTCCTAAAGGAGAAGTCAAGCAGCAGACACATCTTCATAATGATTCAGAAGACCTTCAGCTTACGGAGTGAAGCTTTACTGTGAACGGAGAGTATTATGCAGACATAGCCTGCAGAGGAACTGCTGGGCAGATTGGTGTCCATATGAATTCCTTTGGCAAGATGTACTAAAAGTTCTGGACTTGTGAAGTTAAAATCTGGTAACAAATGAGCTTAATGAATCAGAGAGATGCAAACTTCAGCTGCATGTGTATGGGACGTGTCCTGTTAACATTGAGAATTACTCTTGGTTTATGATACTGCAAAAGTGCAGCTAAGCCAGACCATAACTCTAGTGCCTCTGATCAGGGCAAAATTAGGGTTAAATAGAACAAGGTTCTATGGTGAGTAAGATGAACCAAAAGACTCATGGTATCAGTTTTTAAAATGATTTCTCTCTTTCTTGCTCTTGGGCTTATTTGCATTTCCATAATTCCTTAATCCCAGAATAAATTTATTTTTTAAAATATAATATTTTTAATATACAACATTAATTTTTAGAATTTAGATTTATGGCCTATTAACAGATTTACTTTTTCCAAACAGATAATACAGAGAAATATAATGAACTTGATTATATAGGAGTTTACTTAGGATAGAATGAGTCATTCTCATCAGTGAAACAGTTCCTGATGCCCTTTTAGTCTCTATTGAAATGAAAAAAGAATTTGTGCTAATATTTATTCAGTCATTTAATATTTTATAATGAACCTTGACAGCTTTTAAAGGACCTAGATACAGCAGCATGCACATTTCTGTTTGTTTCGTCATGGGCTTGGGATTTTTGTGCAGATTTTTCACGGTTCTCTGCTTCTCTGGTTTTTAAATAGATTAGTGTGACACTGTAGAACATTTCTTGTTAGTGGGGAAAAATTGGAAGCCATAAGCGTCTAGCAAAAATAGGGGTATATCTCCCAAATAAAGAGTATTTTTAAAGCTTTGGCAACTGAAAGACTAGATTCTGTTTGGCCATACTGGTGCCATGAGTTTGCTGTTTTTCCTTCTTTTTTGCCTACTCTCACTTGTCACATTCCTCACTAACCCTGACATCTCACACGTACTGAAACCTAAATAGATCTCGATCTTCTTGCTTCTGTCAAATTTAAAAGAAACACAACTACATTATAAAATGTCTTTAAAATTCCTTTATGTTTTTACTGCAGACTTTAAGAGAAGGCAAAGGGAATTATGTTGCAGGGAGACATGACGTTCCCATTATTCACATGGCTACAATACTGCCCCTCCTCTCAACTTTCTATTCTCTTTCCAAGGCAGTCCATCCAAACCACACCTTCTCCCAGATTTGCCTGCCCTCCCCTGCTCCTCCTCCAGCCTTCCTGTTCTATTCCATTCCTTGGTCTGCAGCTCTCTGCCCTCTTGGCTCTTTTCTCTTTACCAAGTGCCCTGCGTGAGCATAAGGAAGGGCCTAGAAGGGAGCAGCCATCAAGCCATCTCTTGAAATTGGCAGAGAAGAAAGATGATGAATATACAATATTTTTAGCTCTGTCAAATAGACTCAAACCCAATCTAATACACATTTAGAACTCGGACTCTGCCTACAAAGAATTGGTTGCTATCAACCTTTACTCCTTTCTTACCACCTTTCCCTCAACACTTCTTGTTCTATCTGCTTTGCTGTATGCCATTTCCTTGGGGAAAGTAATCAGAAGAGCTGGAGGCTACTGCAGGAGATGGGGTCCTGAATGGCTCTTCAGAAGGAGGGGGCTTAGCTTGATTCTGGGGTGGTGCATTGGCACAGAGAGAAACTGTTGGCTGTCCCACTAAGTAGACACCTAAATTTGGGAGGGCAGTTGCAAGCCAGGTGGGGGAGGAGTAAAACAATGGAGCAGTGAAGATGTATATTGAGTTTGAGAGCAGACAAAGATAAATTTGTCAATATGAAAGAAGGAAGAGAGCAAAACATAACTAGAGCAGGTGTCACAATTGAGGTCATGAGTCAGCAAAGACTAGACTGAAGGTACAAGAGATGAGGAAGACATTCAAGGGGGAAGGGTGGGGCAATGGAATCAAACACACAGGAAGAAGGCCTTCAAATTTTATACCACCATGGTTTAGTCCTTTTAAGAAACTTTCTTATGTGGTATTTATGGTGGATTGTGAACATGGCTTGTCTTTTCTAAGCTCCTTGAGGCTGTGTTCTGAGTTTGGTTTGCCCTTGTTGTGGAAAATGTGGTGAGTCTCACATACTCCCAGCTGTCTGCTGGTTGTCATGCAGCATACATCCAGAAGGGCATTGGGTAGTATTGAGTGAGTAGGAGGAGACAAGGAAGCCTGGCTGTTGGGTGAGCAGAGGGTGAAATACTTAATCAGGTCTTGAAAATTTTTATGAAAAGTCTAACTCCAGTATTTTTTGGAAATTTCGATGATATTGGTATCATCCAATTTGTATAATCCAAGTCTAACAGGTCTTGCTGCTCTCTGCTTATTTAAGAATAATGTATTTAAATACGATCAAGTGTGATAATCTTAACTATCACCTTCTTTATCTCTTATCACCCTGACTAAGGCTATGGTATATCACATAAGTCATATACCATAAATTAAATGAATAAAAAATAAAGAAATACTATAATAGGAAGTTGTGTTTACTGTGGAAAAATTAGATAACACAGATGAACAAAAAGGAAAGAAAATGTGAATAAACTATAATTCCTTTGAGACATATTGATAGCTATAGCTATAGGTATGTATTTGCACATTTTAGCACCATGTAGCTTTTTGATAAATTGTTATTTTATTTAATAGCATAACACAAATGTCTTTCCACATCATTAGATTTCAGTGAGATGTCAGCAAATGTGGTTTGAGAACAAGTTATGTTGGAATAAATCCATACTGTGAATCATTTATTCTGTAACTTGGAAATCAGATGTTTGGAACAAATGGTATAATTAGTGAGAAAAAGACCAAATTCTTCCTAGGAACTTGATTGAAAATAAATTATATCCTCCCTCTCCCGTCTCCCTCTCCCTCTCCCGTCTCCCTCTCCCTCTCCCGTCTCCCTCTCCCTCTCCCTCTCCCGTCTCCCTCTCCCTCTCCCTGTCTCCCTCTCCCTCTCCCGTCTCCCTCTCCCTCTCCCGTCTCCCTCTCCCTCTCCTTTCCACGGTCTCCCTCTCAAGCCGGGCCAAAGCTGGACTGTACTGCTGCCATCTTGGCTCGCTGCAGCCTCCCTGCCTGATTCTCCTGCCTCAGCCTGCCGAGTGCCTGCGATTGCAGGCGCGCGCCGCCACGCCTGACTGGTTTTCGTGTTTTTTTGGTGGGGACGGGGTTTCGCTGTGTTGGCCGGACTGGTCTCCAGCTCCTAGCCGCGAGTGATCCGCCAGCCTCGGCCTCCCGAGGTGCCGGGATTGCAGACGGAGTCTCATTCACTCAGTGCTCAATGGTGCCCAGGCTGGAGTGCAGTGGCGTGATCTCGGCTCGCTATGGCCTCCACCTCCCAGCCGCCTGCCTTGGCCCCCCCAAAGTGCGGAGATTGCAGCCTCTGCCCGGCCGCCACCCCGTCTGGGAAGTGAGGAGTGTCTCTGCCTGGCTGCCCATCGTCTGGGATGTGAGGAGCCCCTCTGCCTGGCTGCCCAGTCTGGAAAGTGAGGAGCGTCTCTGCCCGGCCGCCATCCCACCTGGGAAGTGAGGAGCGCCTCGTCCCGGCCGCCATCCCATCTAGGAAGTGAGGAGCGTCTCTGCCCAGCAGCCCATCGTCTGAGATGTGGGGAGCGCCTCTGCCCCGCCGCCCCGTCTGGGAGGTGAGGAGCGTCTCTGCCGGGCCGCCCCGTCTGAGAAGTGAGGAGACCCTCCGCCTGGCAACCGCCCCGTCTGAGAAGTGAGGAGCCCCTCCGCCTGGCTGCCACCCCGTCTGGGAAGTGAGGAGCGTCTCCGCCCGGCAGCCACCCCGGCCGGGAGGGAGGTGGGGGTCAGCCCCCCGCCCGGCCAGCCGCTCCGTCCGGGAGGGAGGTGGGGGGGTCAGCCCCCCTGCCCAGCCAGCCGCCCCGTCCGGGAGGGAGGTGGGGGGCTCAGCCCCCCGCCAGCCGCCCCGTCCGGGAGGGAGGTGGGGGGGTCAGCCCCCCACCCGGCCAGCCGCTCCGTCCGGGAGGGAGGTGGGGGGGTCAGCCCCCCTGCCCAGCCAGCCGCCCCGTCCGGGAGGGAGGTGGGGGGCTCAGCCCCCCGCCCGGCCAGCCGCCCCGTCCGGGAGGTGAGGGGCGCCTCTGCCTGGCCGCCCCTACTGGGAAGTGAGGAGCCCCTCTGCCCGGCCAGCCGCCCCGTCCGGGAGGGAGGTGGGGGAGTCAGCCCCCCACCCGGCCAGCAGCCCCGTCCGGGAGGGAGGTGGGGG
Organism: Homo sapiens; assembly: GCF_000001405.40. Classification (NCBI taxonomy): domain Eukaryota; kingdom Metazoa; phylum Chordata; class Mammalia; order Primates; family Hominidae; genus Homo; species Homo sapiens. Next base: position 191,742,468 of record NC_000002.12, read on the forward strand.
GGTCAGCCCCCCGCCCGGCCAGCCGCCCCGTCCGGGAGGTGAGGGGTGCCTCTGCCCGGCCGCCCTACTGGGAAGTGAGGAGCCCCTCTGCCCGGCCAGCCGCCCCGTCCGGGAGGGAGGTGGGGGGCTCAGCCCCCCGCTGGGCCAGCCGCTCCGTCCGGGAGGGAGGTGGGGGGGGTCAGCGCCCCCTCCCGGCCAGCCGCCCCGTCCGGGAGGGAGGTGGGGGGGTCAGCCCCACGCCCGGCCAGCCGCCCCGTCCGGGAGGGAGGTGGGGGGGTCAGCCCCCCGCCAGGCCAGCCACCCCGTCCGGGAGGGAGGTGGGGGGGTCAGCCCCCCGCCTGGCCAGCCACCCGGTCCGGGAGCTGAGGGGCGCCTCTGCCCGGCCGCCCCTACTGGGAAGTGAGGAGCCCCTCTGCCCGGCCACCACCCTGTCTGGGAGGTGTACCCAACAGCTCATTGAGAATGGGCCATGATGACGATGGCGGTTTTCTGGAATAGAAAAGGGGGCAAGGTGGGGAAAAGATTGAGAAATCGGATGGTTGCCGTGTCTGTGTAGAAAGAAGTAGACATGGGAGACTTTTCATTTTGTTCTGTACTAAGAAAAATTCTTCTGCCTTGGGATCCTGTTGATCTATGACCTTACCCCCAACCCTGTGCTCTCTGAAATATGTGCTGTGTCCACTCAGGGGTAAATGGATTAAGGGCGGTGCAAGATGTGCTTTGTTAAACAGATGCTTGAAGGCAGCATGCTTGTTAAGAGTCATTACCACTCCCTAATCTCAAGTACCCAGGGACACAAACACTCTGCCTAGGAAAACCAGAGACCTTTGTTCACTTGTTTGTCTGCTGACCTTCCCTCCACTAGTGTCCTATGACCCTGCCAAATCCCCCTCGTGAGAAACACCCAAGAATGATCAATAAAACAAAAACAAAACAAAACAAACAAACAAACAAAAACAAAACAAAACAAAACAAACAAACAAACAAAAAAAAAGCGAAAATTGTGGGCATTTGCAGTCTTTGCTGCCATTAAGTCTTCTGGATTTTTCTACAGGTTGACTCTAAAAGTTGAAATCCAGTCAAAGATATTTACATTATTATGGCCACATGAACGTTGTTTACCCTCAGGCCAAACAATGGGCTGGAATTACACTTGCTTCTCCACACACTCCATCCCATAATCCATGTGTCACTCAAAGGACAATGTGGCAAGCAAGCACTAAGGCCCTAAATTGATACTGTATCAATTAAATACAATTATGTTGTGTTATTAAAAAAAAAAAAAAAGAAAATAAATTATAAAGCTCTTTGCTGTAGGTGAAGCCTACAGTAGGAATGTAGGAAAAGCCATTTGGAAGGCAGGACAAGGGTATGGCTTCTTTTAATAGCATTTTTGCTATTTTTCACAGTGGAATTTAGTAATGATTAATAAATTAATATTTGTAAAGCAATGAAAAACATTCAGTTTTAAAATTATATACTATATTATACATAAGTATCAGTTTAGGGCATGATTTTGCCTTTTATTTTTTCAACAAAGAAGAAAAGTGTCCTTCAGTGTAGAAAAATATCTAATGTATTTTCTAGTTCTTAGTTTTGAACTCATATTCTACTAAAAATCTAAGATATTCTAGAAAATGATTTAAATGTGAGAATTACAATATCTGATTTATTATTCACAGCATAATTTTTTATTAAATAAACTTTCAATCCCATTATCATTTTTAAACTACTTAGCTCCAATCAAAATGAAAAGGCCCATTTCTTCATCTTTATTGATGTCTTTCACGTTTCAGTGCCCTGGAAAGAGACTTTCTCTACTTTTAAATGAAGAATTCTGGGTTGCTCATTATATCTGAAAGATGGATGTAATGGAAATGAGTGATGGAACAGCTCTACAACAGCAACTCTGTGCTTCACTGTGGTTTGCTGCCCTGGAATAATATCTGCTACTTTTGTCTTCACCAAAATCATGTGGTTCCCTCACCAGTGTCATTTACTCGCCCAAACTTTATCTTAGTGGTGGAGGTGGATTAGTCCCCTGAACCTTGAGAACATGTTTTTTTCTTATGCATCATAATTGGGAAGTTTTTCTTCAAAATATCACTAGGCTGAAAATGAAGTTCTTTAAAAGACTTATAGAAAGGTAGCGAAAAGATGTTTTCTTTTTAATGGATGTCAATGGAAATGCAGTATATATAGTAGGTCCTGAGAAGACTTAACAGATATGTGACATGAAAATATGTTTCCTCTCAAATCCATGCTTGCCAGAACTTTATTTTTAAATAGCAGAAGCCTTGCAAGGAAATGTGAAAGGCTGGTACTATTAAAAAGGTCTGAGTTATTAAAAAAAATACATATGCATTCCTACATGAGACATATACCTTAAAGAAGGACTGCCTTCTAACGCAGATTTTGTTTTTGTTTTTTTACTTGGCATAACAGAGAAGTCAACGCGCTAATCAATAAGTGCCATCTATTTTTGATTGACCTTAATTTTCTGAATGACTGCTTTTCTTCAAATATTTTAAGTCATGACTAAATTTCATTTAATAAGAAATGTTTAGGTTAGTTTGTAAACAAGAAATCAGATATTATGAATCCAAACCTGGAATTACATTTCAATAATGCTTAATTTATTTCATATTTTAGCCAACTGATTTGTAATTGTATTAAGGCTCCCAGGATAAACTCCATGGTTAATTTGGCCCTTTAAAGGTCAACAACATATAAGGGCATATGTACTTTAATTCTACTTTATTCTGATATTTCATAAAACAATAATGTATTAGTCTGTTCTCATGCTGCTGATAAAGATATACCCAAGACTGAGTAATTTATAAAGGAAAGAGATTAATTGACTCACAGTTCCACATGGCTGGGGAGGCCTCACAATCATGGAGGAAGGCAACGAGGAGCAAAGTGATGTCTTACATGTAGGCAGGCAAGAGAGCTCATGTGCTGGGGAACTCCGCTTTATAAAGCCATCAGAAATTGTGAGACTTATTCACTATTATGAGAACAGCACTGAAACGACCACACCCATGATTCAGTTACCTCCCACTGGGTACCTCCAACGACGTGTGGGAATTATGGGAGATACAATTCAAGATTTGGGTGAGGACACAGCCAAATCATATCAAATGGCATGAGATTTATTGTAAAGGTAAGTTCTGCCTCATTAATAATGAAAAATTGATTACACGTTTAAAAAATATAACTTAAAAAAACCAGAATTTATGGTAGATTTGCATTTCAATTGATAGAGTTTACTTCATTTGTGACAAAATTAGTATATTCCAAATTGGTCTGATTATAAACATTACTGGAATACTTGTTAAAAATATGGATTCTCAGCCCTTCTATTCTAATATAGTGGCGCTAGAGCTCAGGTTTAATAATATCCTCACGTGATTCTTAGGACCTAGCAGGGATAGGAAACACTAGACCAGAGCTGGTTCTCAACTCCTGGGATGCATTCAGTTAGTTATCTGGGGAAGTTTTCAGGTAATGTCAATGCCCAAGCCTCCTCAAAGACCAATTAACAAAGGCTCTCTGGGACCTGGGCATTGAAATATTAAAGTAAAAATTCCAGGCCGGGTGTGGTGGCTCACGCCTGTAATCCCAACATTTTGGGAGGCCGAGGCAGGCGGATCACCTGAGGTCAGGGGTTCGAGACCAGCCTGGCTAACATGGTGAAACCCCATCTCTACTAAAAATACAAAAATCAGCTGGGTGTAGTGGCAGGTGTCTGTAATCTTAGCTACTTGGGAGGCTGAGACAGGAGAATTGCTTGAACCTGGGAGGCGGAGGTTGCAGTGAGCTGAGATGGTGCCTCTGTACTCCAGCCTGGGCAACAAAGAGCGAAGTTCTGTCTCAAAGAAAAAAAAAATTCCACCTCTGTAGACTATGTTATTTCACATTACACACTGATGAGAAATAGATTAAATCATTATGTGAAAGATCCTGTGAATGATAGCTGGAATTCCAAGATAGCTAGAATTCTGGCTCCATGAGAGCAGGAAACATCTGTGTCTGGTCACCTCTGTTCCTTTAGCCCTGGGCACAGTGCCTTCCACACGTATTATGGATGTGCAGTTACTATGTATTGAGAAACTAGTTTCTGTTGGCTAAAATTTTAATTGGCTTCAAATGTTGAGCTCTTGCACAAACGAACTTTAACAACTGTACATGAAATACAGTCCAACAATGGTTAAAATTAATACATATGTGATGATAGAGATGAACGATAGCTGATGAAGCCAGGGGGGACTTATTCCAAGTTAGTTCAGGTGAGTCAGAGGGGGCTTTCCTCAAGAAGCCCAGAATAAGTGTCCATCTGAACAACCACTACTGAGTACCTTTGATCAGCAGCACATGTAGTAATCACCTTGAGGAGCGACCATCTCCACTCCCCAGGAATTGTATGGGATTGCAGCCAGGCTTAGAGGAACAGGACAGCAGAATCCTCTACCTCCACCTCCCACGCATCCATTCTGCACCTGGTCCTTGTCAAAGCTCACACTTATTTGAGTTAATTTTGGCTCAACTCCTCCCGCCCACATGTAATTCCTCTCCTGTTTGTCAGCCGTAGCCAGTATGAGTTTGGCACTCTGAGACTGTCCTTTTATTGTGTGACCACAGTAGCACCTAATATGGTGCCAACCACACAGTCATGGCCAACTAATACTTGGCAATGATGAACATAATAGACAAAGAAGATGACCGGAAAAATATCCTTCGATAAATAGCAAAGGAAAAGGTAGTGATAGAGGACAGAGAAATGGCAGAAACTTTTTATGTAGTTTTCATTTCTCCCTTTTATAGAAATGGTCAGATGTGAACACTTGGCTAGAACAAGTCTCAGCTGTGAGAGGAGATGGGAAGGCCAACTAGGACAGGCAAAGAGGTAATTAAAGAGTACCTGGAACGTCTGTGTACAGTGGAACTAGCAGAGCCAGATGACTAGCAGTGTAATGCAGTGGAAAGAGAATTGGATGAATCTTCAGAACACTCAGGCTCCATCTCAACTCACCTTACTTACTAATTGAGTGACCTTGGGACAGAAAGGCCTCTGAACCTTGCCCTCCATTCTTGCAGAACAGGGATAATATTACCGTCTTCATGGGACTGTTCTACAGAGAAAATGAAATAAATCATGAAATACTATTTGGACCTAGGGAATATTTAACAGTTGCAGATGTCACTGCACAGCTGCCAGTCTTCGATTTTGAGAAGTCATGGAGGACAATTCTCTGCAAGATAGCAAGTGGAGTATCAGCTTACACTGATACCTGGGAAGCTAGCGGAAAAAATCATTAAGCAATTAATTAGCAACGATTTAAAAGAACCAAGAAGTTGGAAAGCAACCCATATGGCTTTAAGATCAAATGGTACCTTTCCAATTTTGTTGCCCTCTCTAATTGAGGAACAGCCCAAAAGGTAAGAAATCATGCAGGTGGAGTCCTGCATGATTGTCAAACCATCAGTGCAAGCTAAGTTGTTCAAAACTCTAAGTATCATCTATTTATTTTTGGCATGATATATGTGATTATATTCATTAACAGGTAATATACTGTATTGTGTGCCCTGTGTTAGAGACTGGTAATGGGATAAGCAATGAGTTCAGGGATTTCGTAAAAGGTTGATCAATTTGCCAAGATTTCATAAGAGTTGATATGACTACACCACAGACTCTGAAATGGTGTTTTTAAATAACACTATCAAGAGCAAAGGAAATCAAGCTATTCGTAATTAGTTTTCTATGACAAAGTTGGAATGGCTGTGTCATTGTTTTACAAAATGTCAAAGTGCAGCAGAAGGAGAAGAAATCTTTCGTGTCTGGTGATTATTCATAGATCTGGGTGCCCTGAGAGCAGTATTTCTCCAAAGGGTTGCCTGCACCAATAGCTGACTCATCTGTGGAACTTGTTCAAAATGCAAGCCCCTAAGCCCCTTGGCAGGCTTATTGAATGAAAGCTCTGAATGTGAATTTTATCACAGTGGAGACTCTAATACTCATGGAAATTTGAGATCTGCAGAGAAAAATGGCATTATTCGATATGTAATAAGCATTCTTAATATGAATATGGCACAAATAATTGAGAATATCAATACTCAGATGAGTCTAAATATGAGTGGATTAGTCTAGAAAACTTTAGTCCAGAAAACCGAAATACATATCAGTGATTTTGAAACATCTGGAAGTGAGCCATTCAAAAACAGAATAAATTTCAGTGGTGAAAGCAAGAGATATGTGGTCTGTGTGTCATAATTAGCTATTCCCTTTGATGGGGACTTTCCAGGTTACCTCCTCAGAGGATCTTCACTCCTTCTAGTTTTGTTTTGTTTTGTTTTATTTTGTTTGCTCCAGGTAAAGAATGACATTTTAAAAATACTGATTCCCAGGCCCATCCCAGACTAGTTTAAACAGAATTTCTGCAGGTAGAGTTTAGACAGTGGGATTTTTTAAGGATTGAGAACCACCATGTAGATAAGCAGAGGTCAGGTATGGGAGGTGGCAAGGAGAGAGAGATAAACATGCTTTCTTACTCAAGTATGCTTGGTTACAAAAATGGAACTGGAAAATAAGTTTAAACAAGTAAACCTGGGTTAGCAATGTTACTAACCACTTCCAGGGGGGCCAAACTGATTTTCTGTTTGCACTATGCTTGCATACATCTGAACCCTTCCTATTCAGCTTAATTAACCTTGCCAAATTTAAGGTTTTCATCTTGAATTGTTACAATTTGAGAAGTCCTGACGCTGGCTTTCCTATTTTTATATTGATTATTTGATCTGCCTGAAGCCTAAGATGTGAGGATGTTTCCTGAGTGTCAACTCATTCTCTGTCGACCTGTCAGGAGGGTTCTATGCATAGTGCAATGCATGAGTCACTAAAGCCATCAGGTCTGTTTTATGATCAAGGTTGGGACGAGCTACCTGAAGGAGTTGGCAGTTCATGTTGGAAAGTTTTGTGATCCCCAGTTTGGTCATAACTATGTCTACAGTAACGTTGGTTTTGTTTTCTTATTATTGATTGATTGATTATTTCATCATTCAGCAAATTTACACTAAACATCTGAAATATTCCAGGCGTTTTACTTTATACTGAGTACAGTATATCAAGATATCATATCTAGCCCTTTGTTACTTTTTTTTCTCCCTCATTCTTCTTCCTACCTCTTTTTTCCCTCCTTCTACACAAACCTGCTTCTAACATTTGTGGGGCCTCGGGCAAGAATACAATGGAGCCCTGTCTAGTTTATGTCTAAGTATTTATAAGTCATAAGACAAGCTTGCAAAGTGTTAAATAAAATATGTTCCATCTCCTACATTGACAAATACACCCTTATAATAAGCCAGAGCTAGGTTCAAATTTAGCATTCTCAGATTCCTCAGAATTTTGAACTAGAATATGGTGGTTCTGGGGGAGTCCACATCCGGTACCCCAGATTCAGTTCCTTCCTTCTTCTTTCCTTACTACTGGCTCCTCCAATTCTTAGAGGGGCCTCACATACACTCACGGGAGGTTCCAGGCCCGGGATCTGTGTCCATGGCCATTCCCGGGCTCCTGCTAAACAGCTGCTGCCTGGCAACCCCTGGAAGAGTGTGTACCAGTTTGGCTAGCCTTTGGGAAGGGAAACCCTGGGAGAAGGACTACATAGGGCCTGAAAGTGGCTCGGGTCATTCAGGCAGGGAATTTATTTTACTTTATTTTTTGAGACTGAGTCTTGCTCTATCACCCAGGCTGGAATGCAGTGGCACGATCTCAGCTCACTGCAACCTCCACCTCCTGAGTTCAAGTGATTCTCCTGTCTCAGCCTCCTGAGTAGCTGGGATTACAGGTGCGTGCCACTACGCCCAGCACATTTTTGTATTTTTAGTAGAGACGGGGTTTCACCATGTTGGCCAGGCTGGTCTTGAATTCCTGACCTCAAGTGATTCACCCACCTCGGCCTCCCAAAATGCTGGGGTTACAGGCATGAGCCACCGTGCCTGGCCTGGGCAAGGAATTCTAAGGTCCTATACTCCCAGAACATGGACAGAGTGTGGGATGGATATAGGTTCCTGGTAGACATGTACCCTTGGCCCTAAGGGGAGGGGTGCAGCTATAGCAGAGGGGGACTCATCTTAAACATGGCACCCTATAAAGCTAGGGTTCCTCTCACCTAGGTCTAGGGGTGGTTCTTTTACTTGCTAATTTTACTAATTCAACATTTATTGAGTGTCTGTTAAGTACAAGGCATAGTGGATACTATGTGGGTTTGTGCGGGAAAATGTAGAACGAGGGGAAGAGGAGGAAAATTCTTCTCTCCTTCTTCTAGACTCATTTGTTTCTCCATTGGTATCCTCGGAGACTCTGCACATCTCTTGGGCCCTGCCCCTTTGAAGGTGTGTATCTATGTCCAATCTTTGTCATGAAGATGACAGGAAAGTGGGGACAACTGCATTTCCTGTCTAGGACTTTGTGGTGCTTGAGGACATTATTGGCCAGATCCTGTCCGTGTCAGGGTGGGGGCAGAACAGGCTGAGTGAGAGTTAAGCTGTGGCACATTGCATATATTACCTGTAAATAGGAGTTAGGCTTTATGCTTAATTTTGGGATTCTTTTGCATCCATTCACATTATTCTGTAATACATATGAATAAATTCATCTGCGTCAAAATCCAATTTTATTTCACTTTTTCCTTGATGGTGAGTAAATGGGATTCAGAGGCAGTTAAAACTATTGACTTCTAGGCCCAATAATAAATATGTAAATTTATGCTAAGATGAAATCCAATTTAAAATAATTCCAGTGAAATTACATAGAGAAGTTAGCTTAAATGGGCATACTTTCTACCTCTCTCTTTGTATTTGGTGCTGTGTGGAAAGTGGAGCATCAAAGCCAAGGATTGTAACTGAAATTACACTGAACACACACAGGCACCTTCCAAACAACTTGGGCTTTTGCTAGGCTCTTAGGGGAACTGTTAAGATTATGTTGTGCTTGTCGAAGAAGAAGGATACGTGGTAGTAAACCCCTCTAGGTCAACCTGAAATAGGGAAAGATAACTGAGGAAAAATACTGGTAAGTACTCCATGAAGAAGTGTACTTTAAGAATAAGGAAAGGCAGTTGGCAGGGAAAATCCTTGAAAAATTTGCTATGGGCTTTTGAGAGAGAAAAAGCATGAAGAAAGTGGCCTTTCAGAGAGCAAATCTTGGTGTAAATTGGATAGGAGATCTCTGGGGCTCTGTGCCTTAATTGCTTAACCTGGGTAATTGTACAGAAGGAAAACTTTCTGGGTATTTGTTGTTGAATAATGTAGTTTATCCTGCCGATTGAAAAATATCCAAACCAACACAAAATTGAATTTAAATTGTTTCCATATTAAGATCAATGGGACCATTTTTTAAGTTCACTGTGGTTTCCTTTAAATGCATTTCAGCTCTTTCCATAAAAATGGCTCATTTGGCAATTGAAGGAAGGTAATTTGATTAAAATGACTAACATTCAAATAATCAAGATAGTAAAAAAAAAATTCATGTGTTTCATAAAAAGCCTCATGGTACAGTCCAATTCTTGGAAATCATTAGCTAATGTTCTGATGATCAAATAATAAATACATAAGTGGATTAAAGAAACATAAATGCAAACTCATCTAAATTTAATTTACTTTAGCTAAAATCTACATACACGTTTGAATATTGAATATTAATGATGTAAATATTTTAGGGAGAAAGCAGGAGTTTGAGAATAAACATAATACATTAATTATAAGTTTCTAAGAAGTTGTCCCCAGGTATCTTTTATTCTTTACTCTTGGCTTTTGGTGGTACATTGCATACAAAATGACACTGTAAAACTCTCTCTCTCTCTCTCACTTTGTTTCCCCTAATCATTTTTTTTTTCCTCTGAGCAGATAAAATCAGTTTAGAATGTGTACTCATACTTGCTGAACCCTCTTCTCCTGGGTCTTGGGGAGAGAGTGTTTTGAAGGATACCCATGGATGGTTCTAGAAGCACAAATTATGAAGAAGGAAGAGAACTTTCCATGTTCCCTTTTATTCTCCATCTAGAAGACTAAGCCTTTCTAATTATTTTTCAATTTACAATTTATACCATACCTACTATAAAGTATAATTTAAACTTACAATAGAGGGCATATATACCCTAAGACCATGAACATAGAACTAGAAAATCAATGTGTGAAGGAGAGAAAAAGCCTACTAATAACTTGGGTTAATACCATTGCAGTGCGAATATTGAAGCATGAACTCTATATGTTATTTTCCAATTAGGTGAATTTGTGGATCTGGGCCTGCATCTAGATTAGGTCAACAAAATGAATGTTTTATTAAAGTTTTTTGGGGGGATACAAGTAAATGAAAATAACATTTAAGGGCAAATGAATTGTTTTGTGTTTTATTTTCATTGCCTATATTCACACAAAATTATTTGTACCTGGAAGAAAATTTATGTCTTTAATGAAAGGGCTACACTTGGCCTGGGAGTGGGAATAGTTATTTTCACAGGGTACTTTCTGTCTGGTGGTAAGATTCACTTAAAAATTCAATTGACTTGAGAAGTTCCTTGATATTTAATTAGATCAGCAAGGAGTAGCTATAATGCAGTCCTTCTCAAATTCACCTAGTGAAGTGCTAGAATAGCTAATGAAAGTGAATACTCATCTCCTGCCCTCCTCACCTCTGATCTCTACATCCTGTACCAGGTGTAGGGGCAGAGATCAAACGGGCTTACTTTATGTACAGTTAAATTTTTATCATTAACATTCACTCAAAACTTACATTCTATCTCATAAGATATCTGCCATTCTCTTGATGTTGATAATATCTTTTAATTTGACATCTAGTAATATTTTAAAAGTGTACCATGTTTACTCTGGTGCTTCTCATATCTTCAGAATCACCTTCAGTTCCCCCGAGGATACTCATACCACAATTGGAGGATCATTGTCTTGAAGGATAGTTCCATCAAGCTGTGATGATTTTGTAAAATGCTCTTTTTAACCCCAGGGATGGTGCTATCCTGGGAAATAATTTTCTGGAAGTACTTGGCTATGTTGGAGACACAAGGAACCATTTATCTCCGGAATCATCCTTTTCAACACTTGTCACTGCAGTTCTTCTGATTACATCATTTTTTTCTGTTCTAGTCTCAAAACTTTACAGTTACTCTACTACAGGTTTATGATTGCTTCAGGGATACAGAACTCTAGAAATTGACCTTGCTTTACTGTCTTAATCATTTTTTTCCCTTCAACAACAATAACAAAAAATTATTGAGTTTCTTTTATTTCTAGGGCACACTCCTAGGGAAACAAAGAAGTACAAGGCATAATTCCCGCTCTTAACCTACCTTCTATAGTAGAGAAGACAGATTATACGCCTGGAAAAATAAATAATTATAATAGGTAGCAAAGCATAAATGTTATATCATTTAATTTATTGTTTAATTCAACAAATGTATTCTAAATGCCTACTCTTGGCCAGGCATTGGGCAAAGCCATGGGGGAGATCCAAAGGAGAATAAGATATTCTTACATATGAACATAATCTAGTGTGACATAATTAACATAGTAATTAATGTAGTATGACCTACTATGGAAGCACAAGAGGGAGTGGCTAGCTCCTTTGGAGAATCTGTGGAAGTGAGAAGGTTGTCACTGTTTCTCTGGGTGCATCCATTGTATTTTGGCACCACTTTCTTTCTTTTCCACAGTCCATCACAGGAATAATTCTCTCCCCACTTTCTTGGGACTTTGCCCTCTCTTTGGACAGGTTCGCCTCTTTGCTTTCTTAGCTATCAGGCTTGGGCTACTGAATGGGAATTTCGCCAGTGCAAATACATGAAACCGGAACTCTGTTCTCCAATTGTCAGTGCTGCCAGAAGTCCTTGAGACATCTCATATATGTTCCCTCTTCTATGCTCAACAGCAGCTAGTACAAAGTTTCACAGTTTCCCTCAATTAAGCCTCAGCTCCTCCATCAGCAGATAATGTCTCCTTTGCTTCACAAAGAAAATGTTGGAGCCATTAGCATGCAATACCATCAATTTCTTGTCTTCCTTCTAAATGTTCATGCTCCCAGCTCAGAGTCTTTGACCCAGTTGTTCTCTTTACCTGGATCTCTCTTTTCCCTGATACCTGCATGGCTAACTCACCTTTCTTTTTATGTCTTTGGTTACTTGTCATCTTTTCAATGAGGCCCATCCTATTTAAAATCCTATTCTACTCTCTCCACACACACAGTCTAGCCCCCTTATCCTGTGGCAAACTCCACTTTCTAATGTACTCTATAATTTGCTTATATCCTATGTCTGTTCTTTGCTGGAATATAAATGTCATTGGGGTAGAGAACTTTGCTTCATTTACCATTGTAACCTAAGAACATAGATAAGTATTAGGCTTATTGTATGTGTTCAATAAATATTTGTTAAATGAAAGTTGCATCTCTACACATTTTAACATTCTTTTCTCCTATCTAATAAAAGAAAGATCCCTTTTTCTGTTAAGAATAATTCCTCTTACCTCTGTTCCACTTCCTATTCTCTCTAGATTTTTAGGGATGTAGGCCCACCAGTTACCCAACCTCTTCATCTTTCTTGCTCTTCTCCAACAATACATACATATTTTTTCAGTCTCTCATTAAAAAAATCATCCTCTCCAGTCTACATCCTTTTTCTAGACACCCTACAATTAAACCTCTTAAAAGGAGGATCCTCACTTATTGTGGCCACAGCTTCACTTCCCGTTCACCCTTTGGCCAATTTCAATTTGACTTTACTATCTGATGGTCAGAAGAATTGTTTCCTTGAGACGTATCAGTGACCTTCTGTTAAATCAGGTCCCCTCGTGGGGGTCCTACATCACACACAGCTTCCTCCATACCGCATTCTATTGGAATCAAGGGCTTTTTTGTCTTACCAACTGGACTTTTATTTTTTCACACATTCTTTTTTTTATGTATTCCATCAGTAACTCTTTTGAATGTTAACATGTACAGACATGAAAAGAGATCCTGAGGACCTACTGGCAAACTCATACAAAGGTTATGCTGCATGCAGTTTATAGTCTTATGGAAGAAGCAGGCATTAAACAAATAAGCCAATAAACACTTGGAAAAATCAGAACTTTCATCACTGTTTTGAAGAAAACTTACATGGGTGCTGTAAGAGTGCTTAATCAGAGGATTGGACTTTGACAAAAGACTTGAAAGAGATTTCCCTGGGAATGGAGTATGAGGGCTGAGAAGGAAGGCAGATCAGGAGTCTGTTAATCAAAGATGCATGCATGATGGGAGGAAAAGCACAGTAAAGAAGTCCTGAAGTTGGAGGGAGCATGGAAGCCTTGAGAACAAGAGAAAGCTAGTGTGGCAGGAGCCCAGAGGAGTAGGGGAGCAGAGGCACAGGTGAGGCTAGTGACGTAGCTAGAAGGCCACATGACACCATGATTTTTAGAACAGGTTAAGGATTTGGGTCTTTAATACTAAGAATATGTGGATGTCTTTATGATGGTGGCTATATCTTTTCCATATCTTTACCTCAAGCCATTAGTTCAGGGCAAGCATCAGCATAGAATCTCACTATATGTTTATCAAATGGAGGACATTTGAACTTTCCTTCCTTCTTTCTTTCTTTGTCTCTCTCTCTGTCTCTCTCTTTCTTTCTTTCTTTCTCTCTCTCTTTCTTTCTCTCTCTCTATCTCTTTTTTTTTTCTGGAGACAAGGTCTCACTCTGTCACCCAGGCTGGAGTGCGGTGGCATGATCATAACTCACTGCAGTTATCTCCTGGGCTCAGAGGATCTTCCTGCCTCAGCCTGCGGAGTAGCTGTGACTACAGGCACATGACACCAAACTCTGCTATAATATTAATATGTTCCCCTATAGACACACACACACGCACACAAACAGAGAGAGAGTGTGTGTGTGTGTGTGTGAGAGAGAGAGAGAGAGAGAGAGAGAGAGAGAGAGAGAGAGAGATTGGGGTCTTGTTATGTTGCCCAGGTTGGTCTGGAACTCCTGGCTTCAAGTGATCATCCTGCTAAAGCTTTGGAATTATGGGTGTGAGCCACTGATCCCTGGCCCTGAAGTAAGTCTTAAATTGTGAATATGATTGGCCATGAAGAACAGGTGAAGGAGATTTCTTTGCCAAGGAATCAGTGGTTAAAGAAACACAGAGGTATGAAAAAATATATTTTGCATTGGACGTAGAGCAAGAGGTTCAACATGATTAAATAGGTGGTGGGAGCCATGCAGAAAGAGATTAGACATGAGGGGACACAAGGGGAAAGAGATCAAGAGTACCGAAAGAAATGTTACAGAATTCAAGGGAGGCTGAGATCACTGGGGGCCAGAGCAGTCAGGAAAATCATTTCAGAATTGTAGCATTTTCGAGGTTTGATGACGATCTAAATTTGTTTGAAAGGATAGCTAGACCTTAGACAGGCAGAGAGATATGGGAAAGCATTCTCAACACGGGAAATGAAATGAATTATGGCTCAGAGGCCAGAATATACTGGAATTCTTCCTTTTCTAGTAAAAGCTGTGTCCCTCTTTAACCTTTATGCATGTTTCATCATTTTTTCCTCCTTCTGGTCCATTTCCCATAATGAATTGTGTGGGAAAAAAAGTCTTTACCAAAAATTTGCCTAAATCTTAAAAAAAAAAAAAAAAAGAAAAAAACCTAAAGAGAGCATTTTACTTTTGCTAGGTATTTAGTTTGACTGAAGGTGACTTAGAAAAAAAATGGGAGAAGTGACCATTTTTGTTCATAAATGTAGACTAGCTAATATATTTCGAGCTGCATGGTATTTTGTTTATTAAGCTCACTGTCAGCCTTTTGTGTTGCCAGCTGAAGTACAGTAATATGATTTTGTTCCAAATTTTACACTTTGCCAAAGGTCTGTTTCTCAGCTGCATTTTGGGAACAGCTGTCAGCCCCAAGCAATCTGATTGCTTTTCATGAATGATAAATCACTTCCCTGTATGCTGATTTGTTTAGGTACAATAGGAGGAGACATCTTTCTGCCTAGTTTGTTAACAGAGGAAATGGTAGGATGAGGATGGAGTGGGAGAAGTGAGAAAGAACTAGTGGGCATTTCCTTAGTACTTAATGTCCAATTAATGTTCATTTCATTTTGATTGAACACTGGGAAGAAATAGTCTTTATTAGCTGTTCTGAAGGCAGCAGAAAAAACCAATGATCCTTTCTTTATTAGGAGCTGTTATTAATTTACCACTGGACTTTCTGTTTGAAAAAAAAATTGATTTTCTTGGATCAAACATTCTTCTGTTTAAAAAATTGCCCATACAAGTTGTAAGGGTTAAAAGTGTGTTAGAAGTTAGGAAGAGATACCTCAAGTTTCATTAAAGTATCCAATTAGTGAGATTCAGCAGTCCATGAAAATATTTATCACATTCCCAGCTCAGCTAAGACCCTATCTGCTCCAATTTTCCTTGCACAGAAATCACAGAAATCTACATTTGCTGCTTCACATTCTAGAGAAACAGGTGAAAATGGAGGGGGAGGGAGCATCTCATTTTTCAAATGTTATGTTTGCTGCTTGAATTTTAGTTTTGGAAACGGATTTTGAGGTGAGAAGAAAGGGAATTCAAGTCTTTCCTTTGCCTTGAAGTTTGTTCATAATGGTGTTGTCTCTGTTTCTGGTGAGCTACTGTCAACTCCTATCTGGGAGAGATCCTGCCAGGTCTTTTCCTTGAATATAAGAAAATATATTTTCTTATATTCCTTGAATATAAGAAATATATTTTCTTATATTCCTTGAATATAAGAAAATATATTTCTTATATTCCTTGAATATAAGAAAATATATTACGTTTTCTTATATTCCTTGAATATAAGAAAATATATTACGTTTTCTTATATTCCTTGAATATAAGAAAATATATTATGTTTTCTTATATTCCTTGAATATAAGAAAGGAAATTTGCAAATTAAAGATTTTTGCTAAGAACAGAAAGTGGCCCACAATGGCGTCATATTATGTTTTTGGCCCTCAAATTGTAAAAGTGTTCCTCTTCATTGGAAGCAGGCCTTACTGTGTACCCTGTGCTCTCAATTTCTGTGTGTCCCTGGCCTCTATAGGGCCGCTTGGGGGCTGGCAGCCAGGCTGGCTCGATGCAATCAGATGACACTGAAAGCCGATTGGAATCATTCCTCAGCTCGATGTCAGCAGGCCGGGCACTTAATGCAGGATGCACTTTTATTTTAATAAGTAATTTATTTAATGAGCCGACAATGGCAAAATGTCAAATGTAGAGACTTCGAGGATGAATAACACAATTGCAAGGAGCAGGAAGTCTACTAGGCTTGCAATATTCGGTGCCTTCAGAAAGGACATTCCTTGAGCTGGTTTCAAAATCAGTTGGCAACTGATCTGAAAAAGGATCTTTGCCATTAGTCTTGATAAAAGTAATGCTGCCCACATCAAGTTTTTAGAGTTAGTAATATGAGAATGGCAGGTGCCAGGTGTAGAGTGTGGGGTAGCATGGGGGGTGGTCCTATTTTGAGAGGAGAGTGAGGCAGGAGGCATACAGCTGGCTCCACGGAACATGCTTCCACCTGCCCATCTAGTCAGTGTGAGGAAGGGCGAGAGGAGCAGACCCCTCCACTAGGTGGCAGTGACTCGGTTTCGCTATCAATTAGGGAAGTGTCCTGGGGTGACTCACTTTAGACTCAGATATTAGTTTTCTCATGTTAAACAGACGGACCTGAATTGGAAGAGGTTTACCTTCCTTTTCAGATACTGAGATAGGATTTTTCCTAACATAATATCCTCTCCAGTGTACAAGTTGTGCTCATTAATTCCTCACTGCTGGCTCTGATTGGCTATGAGTTCAAATCCTATGAAAGTGAGGTCAATTAACCTAAAGATAGACTACCAAGGTTTATAGTAATTCTATTGATCCAACCTTAATTTAATAATTATCTATTGAGTACCCACTAGGCAACAGACACTATTTAAGTCAACAGACATATAGCAATGACACCACAGGGTTTTAAAAAAGTCCCTGTTATCCTAAAGCTAACTTTCCATTAGCTTATTGAAAATGATATTTTTCAATGTGAAGGAGCTAACTCACATTTGGAATGGGTGTTCCTTCTAGGAGTCCGTATCAAAATTATCATTTGTATTTTTTGCCCGATGGGAAGTTGTATTGTGAACTGTGCTATGGCTGATGTGTTTATCTGGCGTATTCTTCAGTTATTCCAACTAGTTTCTATGTCCTATTTTAGAATTTAATTAAAATTCATGTGGTTTCATTCTTCCCTTCTGACTCTGGAGGGCTCTGCAATATGCTTGTAATCCTTTCTAGGCCCACAGCAAGGAGGAAAACCTGTTTCTACTTGAAGTTGGGGTTCTGTGCTGAACTTGTTCTGTGTTGTCTCCCTCCTGGCAACGGTACGTAACTGTGAGATACTGATTTGCGCACAGTGCTGTCTGGCTTTGCTTCTAAAAGGAATAATGTGCATGGCTGGTCTCTGATTGATGTGTGGGAGCTGCCATTTGGGGGCATAAAACACTTTATTTTCCATCCTGCTTAGAATTCTAAGGCTCAATGGCCAACATCTGCCATCC
This sequence comes from Homo sapiens, assembly GCF_000001405.40. NCBI lineage: Eukaryota > Metazoa > Chordata > Mammalia > Primates > Hominidae > Homo > Homo sapiens. Next base: position 191,760,073 of record NC_000002.12, read on the forward strand.
TTCACTTTGAAATTTTTAAATTACCTTTTAAAAAATGATTATAACAGTAATATTATTTATTATTAAAAATTTAGCAAATATAAAAAGTGTAATGAAGAAAATAAAAATAACTCATAATCCAATGGCTCTGAGTTAACCATCATTAGCCTTCTATTTGCATATATTTTATAATACATGCAGTTTTAGACCCTGTTTATATTTTGTCCTCAGCAGTCTATTGTGAGAATAGTCTCAATATTATTAAAAATCTTTAAAGATCAAATTTTAATGGCTGCATAGTATTCAATCATATAGTTTTATCACAGTTTATTTAGCCAATACCTTGTTGTTGGATGTAGTTTCTAATTTATTTCTCTTTAAAAATACTGTGGGTAATAGTCATATGATATATTTTGAATCTCTAAGTAATTCCTTAGGAAAAATTTTGAGTAATAAAATTATGGGATTAAATGACATGAACTTTCTAAGGCTTTTGACACATGTCACCTAATGGTTTGGAAACTGTACTCTTGCATTCACATTTCAGAAAATGCATTCACATTTTAGAAAAATCTTCGGCAATTTATCAGGCAAAAGAAGTATCTCACTCTTGTTTTCTTTTCTAGTTGTTAGAATTCTAGTGAGATTGAACATGTATTTCATGGGTTTATTGGGCATTTATTTGTTTTTTTATTCTATGTGTTGTCTCTTTTTTTTCTATTGATGTGTGCCAGAAAGAATATGGGCTCTCAAAGATGTCCATAATCTTGTCCCTGAACATGTGAATATATTTGCTTACATGGCAAAATGGACTTTGCAGATGTGATTAAATTAAGGACCTTGAGATGAGGATATTATTCTGAATTATTTATGTGGAGTCGTTATTGGAGGGAGACAGGAGAGTTAGAGTCAGAGCAGGAGAGTTGACAAAGGAAGCTGAGGTCACAGGAGGGTGATCTGAAATATTACATTGCTGGCTTTGAAGATGGAAGAAGAGGCTGTAAGGCAGGAAAGGCAGGTGGCCCGCAGAAACTGGGAAAGGGAGGGAAAGGATTTTCTCCGAGAGCATGGAACAAGCTAGCCCTGTTGAAATCTTGACTTTAGCTCAGTGAGAATGCTTTCAGACTTCTGACGGCCAGGAATGTAAGAGAATAAATTTGTGTGGTGTAAGCCACTAAATTGGTGATAATTTGTTACAGCAGCAGTAGGAAAGAAAACACAGAATGTTCTTATTTTTTATTGATATGTGAATATTTTTATATGCAGTAGTCATTAACTTGTCATATATATTGCAAAATTTTTTTCAAGGTTGCCATTTGCTTTTAAATAATTTTATGGTGTTTTCTGATACAGAGTTTTGTTGTTAACTTTTAAAATATCCTTGATGTTATATTAGATAAGCTTTATTTCAGTGATATACAAATTTTAAATATTATGCAGTTAAATCTATGTATCTTTTCCTTGGTGACATATTCTATTGCTTTTAAATCAGTTTTATATTCACCAGTGTTACTTCCAACATTTTTATGGTATGTGATTTTTCATTTATCATTCTTCATTAAGTTTTTATATATTTTTAGTCCTATTTCAGGACTATCTAGTCTTTCCTATTAATCTGTCAAGGCCTGTGCTATTACCACATCATCTAAATTATTGTAGTTTCATAAAAGTTTTTATGTCTAGTAGCTAAATCCTTATTCATTACTCTTTTCTTTAATTTTTTAAAAGCTGGTCTCAATGTTTTATTTTTCTAGATGAATCTTAGAATCACTTAGACAAGTTGAAAAATTTTATTTGAGGGGGAGGAGCCAAGATGGCCGAATAGGAACAACTCCGGTCTACAGCTCCCAGCCTGAGCGACGCAGAAGACGGTGATTTCTGCATTTCCATCTGAGGTACAGGGTTCATCTCACTAGGGAGTGCCAGACAGTGGGCGCAGGCCAGTGAGTGCGCGCACCGTGCGCGAGCCGAAGCAGGGCGAGGCATTGCCTCACTTGGGAAGCGCGAGGGGTCAGGGAGTTCCCTTTCCGAGTCAAAGAAAGGGGTGACGGACGCACCTGGAAAATCGGGTCACTCCCACCCGAATACAGCGCTTTTCCGACGGGCTTAAAAAACGGCGCGCCACGAGATTATATCCCACACCTGGCTTGGAGGGTCCTATGCCCACGGAGTCTCGCTGATTGCTAGCACTGCAGTCTGAGATCAAACTGCAAGGTGGCAGCGAGGCTGGGGGAGGGGCACCCGCCATTGCCCAGGCTTGCTTAGGTAAACAAAGCAGCCAGGAAGCTCCAACTGGGCGCAGCCCACCACAGCTCAAGGAGGCCTGCCTGCCTCTGTAGGCTCCACCTCTGGGGGCAGGGCACAGACAAACAAAAAGACAGCAGTAACCTCTGCAGACTTAAATGTCCCTGTCTGACAGCTTTGAAGAGAGCAGTGGTTCTCCCAGCACGCAACTGGAGATCTGAGAACGGGCAGACTGCCTCCTCAAGTGGGTCCCTGACCCCTGACCCCCGAGCAGCCTAACTGGGAGGCACCCCCCAGCAGGGGCACACTGACACCTCACACTGCAGGGTATTCCAACAGACCTGCAGCTGAGGGTCCTGTCTGTTAGAAGGAAAACTAACAAACAGAAAGGACATCCACACCAAAAACCCATCTGTACATCACCATCATCAAAGACCAAAAGTAGATAAAACCACAAAGATGGGGAAAAAACAGAACAGAAAAACTGGAAACTCTAAAAACCAGAGCGCCTCTCCTCCTCCAAAGGAACGCAGTTCCTCACCAGCAACGGAACAAAGCTGGATGGAGAATGACTTTGAGGAGCTGAGAGAAGAAGGCTTCAGACGATCAAATTACTCTGAGCTACGGGAGGACATTCAAACCAAAGGCAAAGAAGTTGAAAACTTTGAAAAAAATTTAGAAGAATGTATAACTAGAATAACCAATACAGAGAAGTGCTTAAAGGAGCTGATGGAGCTGAAAACCAAGGCTCGAGAACTATGTGAAGAATGCAGAAGGCTCAGGAGCCGATGCGATCAACTGGAAGAAAGGGTATCGGCGATGGAAGATGAAATGAATGAAATGAAGCGAGAAGGGAAGTTTAGAGGAAAAAGAATAAAAAGAAATGAGCAAAGCCTCCAAGAAATATGGGACTATGTGAAAAGACCAAATCTACATCTGATTGGTGTACCTGAAAGTGATGGGGAGAATGGAACCAAGTTGGAAAACACTCTGCAGGATATTATCCAGGAGAACTTCCCCAATCTAGCAAGGCAGGCCAACGTTCAGATTCAGGAAATACAGAGAACGCCACAAAGATACTCCTCGAGAAGAGCAACTCCAAGACACATAATTGTCAGATTCACCGAAGTTGAAATGAAGGAAAAAATGTTAAGGGCAGCCAGAGAGAAAGGTCAGGTTACCCTCAAAGGGAAGCCCATCAGACTAACAGCGGATCTCTCGGCAGAAACCCTACAAGCCAGAAGAGAGTGGGGGCCAATATTCAACATTCTTAAAGAAAAGAATTTTCAACCCAGAATTTCATATCCAGCCAAACTAAGCTTCATAAGCGAAGGAGAAATAAAATACTTTACAGACAAGCAAATGCTGAGAGATTTTGTCACCACCAGGCCTGCCCTAAAAGAGCTCCTGAAGGAAGCACTAAACATGGAAAGGAACAACCGGTACCAGCCGCTGCAAAATCATGCCAAAATGTAAAGACCATCAAGACTAGGAAGAAACTGCATCAACTAAAGAGCAAAATAACCAGCTAACATCATAATGACAGGATCAAATTCACACATAACAATTTTAACTTTAAATGTAAATGGACTAAATGCTCCAATTAAAAGACACAGACTGGCAAATTGGATAAAGAGTCAAGACCCATCAGTGTGCTGTATTCAGGAAACCCATCTCATGTGCAGAGACACACATAGGCTCAAAATAAAAGGATGGAGGAAGATCTACCAAGCAAATGGAAAACAAAAAAAGGCAGGGGTTTCAATCCTAGTCTCTGATAAAACAGACTTTAAACCAACAAAGATCAAAAGAGACAAAGAAGGCCATTACATAATGGTAAAGGGATCAATTCAACAAGAAGAGCTAACTATCCTAAATATATATGCACCCAATACAGGAGCACCAAGATTCATAAAGCAAGTCCTGAGTGACCTACAAAGAGACTTAGACTCCCACACATTAATAATGGGAGACTTTAACACCCCACTGTCAACATTAGACAGATCAACGAGACAGAAAGTCAACAAGGATACCCAGGAATTGAACTCAGCTCTGCACCAAGTGGACCTAATAGACATCTACAGAACTCTCCACCCCAAATCAACAGAATATACATTTTTTCAGCACCGCACCACACCTATTCCAAAATTGACCACATACTTGGAAGTAAAGCTCTCCTCAGCAAATGTAAAAGAACAGAAATTATAACAAACTGTCTCTCAGACCACAGTGCAATCAAACTAGAACTCAGGATTAAGAATCTCACTCAAAACCGCTCAACTACATGGAAACTGAACAACCTGCTCCTGAATGACTACTGGGTACATAACAAAATGAAGGCAGAAATAAAGATGTTCTTTGAAACCAACGAGAACAAAGACACCACATACCAGAATCTCTGGGATGCATTCAAAGCAGTGTGTAGAGGGAAATTTATAGCACTAAATGCCCACAAGAGAAAGCAGGAAAGATCCAAAATTGACACCCTAACATCACAATTAAAAGAACTAGAAAAGCAAGAGCAAACACATTCAAAAGCTAGCAGAAGGCAAGAAATAACTAAAATCAGAGCAGAACTGAAGGAAATAGAGACACAAAAAACCCTTCAAAAAATTAATGAATCCAGGAGCTGGTTTTTTGAAAGGATCAACAAGATTGATAGACCGCTAGCAAGACTAATAAAGAAAAAAAGAGAGAAGAATTGAATAGACGCTATAAAAAATGATAAAGGGGATATCACCACCGATCCCACAGAAATACAAACTACCATCAGAGAATACTACAAACGCCTCTACGCAAATAAACTAGAAAATCTAGAAGAAATGGATAAATTCCTCAACACATACACTCTCCCAAGACTAAACCAGGAAGAAGTTGAATCTCTGAATAGACCAATAACAAGATCTGAAATTGTGGCAATAATCAATAGCTTACCAACCAAAAAGAGTCCAGGACCAGATGTATTCACAGCTGAATTCTACCAGAGGTACAAGGAGGAACTGGTACCATTCCTTCTGAAACTATTCCAATCAATAGAAAAAGAGGGAATCCTCCCTAACTCATTTTATGAGGCCAGCATCATTCTGATACCAAAGCCAGGCAGAGACACAACAAAAAAAGAGAATTTTAGACCAATATCCTTGATGAACATTGATGCAAAAATCCTCAATAAAATACTGGCAAACCGAATCCAGCAGCACATCAAAAAGCTTATCCACCATGATCAAGTGGGCTTCATCCCTGGGATGCAAGGCTGGTTCAATATACACAAATCAATAAATGTAATCCAGCATATAAACAGAGCCAAAGACAAAAACCACATGATTATCTCAATAGATGCAGAAAAAGCCTTTGACAAAATTCAACAACCCTTCATGATAAAAACTCTCAATAAATTAGGTATTGATGGGACATATCTCAAAATAATAAGAGCTATCTATGACAAACCCACAGCCAATATCATACTGAATGGGCAAAAACTGGAAACATTCCCTTTGAAAACTGGCACAAGACAGGGATGCCCTCTCTCACCACTCCTATTCAACATAGTGTTGGAAATGCTGGCCAGGGCAATTAGGCAGGAGAAGGAAATAAAGGGTATTCAATTAGGAAAAGAGGAAGTCAAATTGTCCCTGTTTGCAGACGACATGATTGTATATCTAGAAAACCCCATTGTCTCAGCCCAAAATCTCCTTAAGCTGATAAGCAACTTCAGCAAAATCTCAGGACACAAAATCAATGTACAAAAATCACAAGCATTCTTATACACCAACAACAGACAAACAGAGAGCCAAATCATGAGTGAACCCCCATTCACAATTGCTTCAAAGAGAATAAAATACCTAGGAATCCAACTTACAAGGGATGTGAAGGACCTCTGCAAGGAGAACTACAAACCACTGCTCAAGGAAATAAAAGAGGATACAAACAAATGGAAGAACATTCCATGCTCATAGGTAGGAAGAATCAATATCGTGAAAACGGCCATACTGCCCAAGGTAATTTACAGATTCAATGCTATCCCCATCAAGCTACCAATGCCTTTCTTCACAGAATTGGAAAAAACTACTTTAAAGTTCATATGGAACCAAAAAAGAGCCCGCATCGCCAAGTCAATCCTAAGCCAAAAGAACAAAGCTGGAGGCATCACACTACCTGACTTCAAACTATACTACAAGGCTACAGTAACCAAAACAGCATGGTACTGGTACCAAAACAGAGATATAGATCAATGGAACAGAACAGAGCCCTCAGAAATAATGCTGCATATCTACAACAATCTGATCTTTGACAAACCTGAGAAAAACAAGCAATGGGGAAAGGATTCCCTATTTAATAAATGGTGCTGGGAAAACTGGCTAGCCATATGTAGAAAGCTGAAACTGGATCCCTTCCTTACACCTTATACAAAAACCAATTCAAGATGGATTAAAGACTTAAATGTTAGACCTAAAACCATAAAAACCCTAGAAGAAAACCTAGGCATTACCTTTCAGGACATAGGCATGGGAAAGGACTTCATGTCTAAAACACCAAAAGCAATGGCAACAAGCCAAAATTGACAAATGGGATCTAATTAAACTAAAGAGCTTCTGCACAGCAAAAGAAACTACCATCAGAGTGAACAGGCAACCTACAAAATGGGAGAAAATTTTTGCAACCTACTCATCTGACAAAGGGCTAATATCCAGAATCTACAATGAACTCAAACAAATTTACAAGAAAAAAACAAACAACCCCATCAAAAAGTGGGCGAAGGACATGAACAGACACTTCTCAAAAGAAGACATTTATGCAGCCAAAAAACACATGAAAAAATGCTCATCTTCACTGGCCATCAGAAAAATGCAAATCAAAACCACAATGAGATACCATCTCACACCAGTTAGAATGGCAATCATTAAAAAGTCAGGAAACAACAGGTGCTGGAGAGGATGTGGAGAAATAGGAACACTTTTACACTGTTGGTGGGACTGTAAACTAGTTCAACCATTGTGGAAGTCAGTGTGGTGATTCCTCAGGGATCTAGAACTAGAAATACCATTTGACCTAGGGATCCCATTACTGGGTATATACCCAAAGGACTATAAATCATTCTGCTATAAAGACACATGCACACGTATGTTTATTGTGGCATTATTCACAATAGCAAAGACTTGGAACCAACCCAAATGTCCAACAATGATAGACTGGATTAAGAAAATGTGGCACATATACACCATGGAATACTATGCAGCCATAAAAAATGATGAGTTCATGTCCTTTGTAGGGACATGGATGAAGTTGGAAATCATCATTCTCAGTAAACTATTGCAAGAACAAAAAACCAAACACCGCATATTCTCGCTCATAGGTGGGGATTGAACAATGAGATCACATGGACACAGGAAGGGGAATATCACACTCTGGGGACTGTTGTGGGGTGGGGGGAGGGGGGAGGGATAGCACTGGGAGATATACCTAATGCTAGATGACGAGTTAGTGGGTGCAGTGCACCAGCATGGCACATGTATACATATGTAACTAACCCGCACATTGTGCACATGTACCCTAAAATTTAAAGTATAATTAAAAAAAAAAATGTGAAAAGAAAAGGCAAAAAAAAAAAAAGAAAAATTTTATTTGAATTTTAAATTTGCAATAAATCTATAAATTAATTTGCAATGAATCTATAAATTAATATCAGCTCTTACCAGGGAAGAACATGGTGTTTTTCCATTTATAAAAATTAAAGAAATATATTTCTATAAAGTTTGATCATTTCATTGATGTAATCTCAGATGTTATTCAATAAGATCAGTTTTGGGCATTTTAGATGTTGTGTTGCTATTGGGATTAGAATGTTTTCTTCATAGTACTTATTAACTAATTTTGGCTAATATATTGGAAGGCTTTCGACTTTTGTAAACATGTCTTGTGCTTTACTGAACTTTGCTATTTATGTTTTCAGTATTTTTTTGATATATAAGTATATCACATGCAAATGGTGGTGGTTTCATTTTCTACATCCTAAAGTTTACCCTTTCTTTTGATTTCAAAATTTTAAAGTACTGACTAGACCTTCCAGAACCATGTTGAATGTTAACAGTAAAACAATGTGTCTTCATCGTATTTATCAGTATAGTGCTGGCTATTGTAAGATTGGCCTTATTTTTCATTTTAAGGAATTATTCTCTTCCTAGTTTAAAGCATGGATTGAAATTATTTGAGTCTTCATTTTTTTTTTCCAGTTGGATCTGTGGAACTAATATATGAATTATTTTCTGAATGATAAACTCAATTTATATTTCTATGATAAACTTAACTTTGATTATTGGACATTCTTTGCAATACAGTATAGAATCTAGTAGGTTTGTTTTTTTAAAAAAATTAGGATTATTGAATCTATATTTACAAATAAAACAAAACTATAGTTTTAATATTTTTTTCCATCAGATTTTCTTATGGAACAGTGTTTAGCTACTTAAAATATACTGGGTGCTTTACAGTTTTTTTCTGTTTCCTGGAGCTTACATTGGATGAGGATTTGAAAGAACTCACCCATAAAACTAGCTGCTTTGGACCATTTTCAGAAGTTACGTTTTTTTGAAGTTATTCAATTTTTTAATGATTTCTTCTAAATAGATTTCCTTTAAGTCATTTGTTTATTTATTTATTTATTTTACAATATTATCATTTCATTGAGATCTAGATAAATGAGGCTTCCAAAGAAAGATTATAGTGGTTATGTTTTCAATTTTCCTAAGATGGAACATAACTGCTACAATTCTAGAGGCAGAGGAGAGAAGTTGAACTGGTTGAAAAGGGCTGGTATTGAGGTAAACATAACACTTTCTTTTCTTTTCTTTTTTTTTTTTTAACTTTTAAGTTCAGGGGTACATGCGCAGGATGTGCAGATTTGTTACATAGGTAAACGTGTCATGAGGGTTTGTTGTACAGATTATTTCATCACCCAGGTATTAAGCTTAGTATTTATTAGTTGCTTTTCCTAATCCTCTGCATCTTCCCACCCTCCACCCTCTGGTAGGCCCCAGTACATGTTGTTCCCCTCTATGTGTCCCTGTGTTCTCGTTATTTAGCTTCCACTTATAAGTGAGAATATGCGGTATTTGGTTTCTGTTCTCGCATTGGTTTGCTAAGAATAATGGCCTCTAGCTCCATCCATGTTCCTGCAAAGGACATGAGCTCATTCTTTTTTATGGCTGCATAGTATTCCATGGTGTATATGTACCACACTTTCTTTATCCAGTGTACCATTAGTAGGCATTTAGGTTGCCTAAATGGTATGCCTAATAAGCATGCATGTGTCTTTATTATAGAATGATGTATATTCCTTTGGGTATATACCCAGTAATGGGACTGCTGGGTCAAATGGTAATTTTGTCCTTAGGCCTTTGAGGAATTGTCACACTAATTTATACTCCCACCAACAGTGTATAAGCTTTCCTTTTTCTCTGCAACCTCGCCAGACTCTGTTAGTTTTTGACTTTTTAATAATAGCTATTCTGACTGGTGTGGGATGATATCTCATTGTGGTTTTGATTTGCATTTCTCTAATGATCAGTGATGCTGAACTTTTTTTTATATGATTTTTGGCCACATAAATAATACTTTCAAATAATTGTAAGACTCACCTTATCAATTTTTATATTCTCTATGCTTTTTACATTTACTTACATGTGGTCTAAATTTCTAAAATTATGTTTGTTACATTTTTTTCCCCAATGAATCAGCTCTTGGATTTAATTTATAATTTTAATATGATTCTGTTTACTAATTTGGTTATATTTGCTTTTATTATTTCCTTTATACTAGATGAGTTTTTTTGTTGCATACTTTCTAATGGCTTGATTTTAGTATTTAACTAATTTCAAACAATAATAGGAGCACTCTGAGTTGAGTTGAATGCTTAAGGTAAAGGATGGGGGCAGGGGTAGATAAAGATACCAGCTTGGAAGGCTGGTATATATAGGACCAAGGAGGGCCATGCATGCAAAAACAGAAGCTTTATTTTGAAAAGCCTCTGTTTTTGTAGGAATCGCTGAATGTTAGTGGTTGTACAGCTAGAATAAGTTATATACTGTATGAACAATTTTACCCTAGAGGGTGCCCAGAGTCCACTTGCTTGTAAAGACAATCTGTGCTGATTAACCCAGTCTTTGATCATAAAGTATTTGTAGAAGAGTTGCTTCAAGTGTTATGAATGGGGCATCATCCTAGGGGCAACCCAGAACATGCAAGAGGAGCTGAGAAACTTTGAGCATTTGGTGACAAAAGCCAACTAAGTATGTAGTAGCCATTCAAAGAATAAATATAGTAGAATTTGGGATAAGCAGAAAAAGCTTTCTGGAGGCAGAATTTGAGATGAGTCTGAAAGGAGGTAGAAGAGCTCAGTAATACATGCAAAAGATTTGGAGGGCAGTGTAGAGACAGTCTAAGAGATGGGAGTGTACATTGCGGATGATTAGAGAATGAGTTGAGCATAGCCGAAGCATATTAAGTTTATGGAGAACCTAAAAGTCAGTAGAGTTGGCACTGTAGTGGTAGTGCAGTCAATGGTAGGGAACCATTGAAGGTTCTTGAATGGGGAGTGACCCAATGAAAGATTCTTTTCACATGCTTTGTATTCAGGCTGGACTGGAGTGGGGAGACCTGACCTTGAAAATCAGTTCATGCGTAAAGTAGTAAGGGTATGACCCTAGTGACCATTGGGATACAAATGAAAGGGTGATTCTGAGAGGTGGCAGATGGAAAATCAGAGAACCATGGGGGAAGATTAGGCATCTCTCAATTTTGATTCTTAAATACTTAAAATCAAATGGTTGTAAAAGGGTTCTATTTAAGATGAAATACAGTGTATTGAATTTTTAGCCTCTTGAGTTTGAGGTTGTGGCTGGACATCCACTTGGGATGCCTGGAGCTGGCTGGAAATGTGAAACTAATGTGCATAGGAATAGGGGCGAAAGAGTTGGGTTTGACTGGAACCAGGACTTGGATGAGTCCATCAAAAGGATAAATGCAAATGAAGAAGAACAGAGGACACGGTCTTATGGAGATAAAACACACTTTTGGAGATGCTGGAGATTAAATTTAATATGTATAAGCTACAATGAGGGTGGGAGATATTACATGGGAATTGAGTCCAGTAGATGTAAAATAACACGTTGGGTTAGTTGTACAGCAAAAGGAGAGACGTGCTGCTTGAAAGAAAGTAAAAAGGATTAAGTAAACAATAAAAACATTAATGATAACAATCATAATGATAGAAAAGGTTTTATTTAGTACAAACATCAGGTTGTATTTGAAGATATGCAAAGAAAGGCAGAAAGAAGTTATACAGAGAAAGAGATTGAAGTGCAGGAGTAAATTTTAGTCTTTCTCTGAAATATATGATCCATACTAAACTGAATACATTAATCAAATTGAACAAACTGAACTTGGTAGAAGTTAGGATAAAAAACTGGAATTAGTCTCATCTCAGAATATAGTATGTTCAAGGTGGTTATAAAGGCCTATTCAATATTAGTTAGCATGTAATATCCAAAAGCAAAGGAGTTGGCTACTGATGACAAATATGGACCAAGATGACTTTAAGAAGTTGTAGGATGGTTAAAATCCAGGGTTAATCTCTTCTAAAGAATAAGGACAGTTTTGTCAATATTACTGACTGGTTGGCCCTTCAATAAATGAAATCTGCGTGTCTTTGAAGTTTTTAAATCAAAGTGACTTTGATATAAGTTTCTTTGGAATAATTGAAAAAATAATGGCTTTTTAAATTTTTTTTCTCTTGAGTTGTTACTTGGAATTTGCGTACTTCTTTCAGAGCAATAAAATTTAATCTAAAGTTCAAGGTAGCTATTTATATTTTATTAAACCCTTAAGTTTAAGATAATATTTCTTGGAGTGGTGATTTATATATAGCTGAAAATTTTATAGGGAAGAATCAGTTACATAGGCCGTTTTTTCTTTTTTAGTGTGGTGGTGGGGGTGGGGGGAGGTTAGAAAGCCCTGGGAGAAACAAAGTAGAAAGACATTTTTGTTTCTAATCAGAGAAAAGAATAATAAAAATATAGGTGTCAAGGTGTGATTTCAAAAACCTTGCCCTTGCTTATGCTAAGGAGGAGGGTGAGGAGCTGGAGGACTGAAATTAGACATAGGGTGAGGGTGCTTGGAAATCAGGTTACCTAGGAGGACACCAGTGTGAAGATCAGCGTGTGAAGATGCCTAAATGAGAACAAAGAAAGACTGACAAGGAAGACAGAGAAGGACCCAAGAAGAGTCTGTAGGAATCCCCTGAACTGGTCTAATAGGGTTCTTTTGTGCAGAGCCATCTCTGAAGGCCCAAGGCCTTCACAGTTACTCTCTACATCAGGGGTTACCAACCCCCAGGTCACAGACTGGTACTGGTCTGTGGCCTGTTAGGAACCAGGCCACACAGCAGGAGGTGAGCAGCCTGCAAGCAAGAGCATTACCACCTGAGCTCCGCCCCTGTCAGATCAGCAGCTACATAGGAGCGTAAACTCTATTGTGAATAGTGCATGTGAGGGATCTAAGTTGCCCACTTTTTATGAGAATCTAATGCCTGATGTTCTGAGGTGGAGCAGTTTCATCTGGAAACCATCCTCCCCAATAGCTGCTTCCTCCATGTCCCCCACTCCTCTGTGGAAAAATTGTCTTCCACAAAACTGGTCCCTGGTGCCAAAAAGGTTGGGGACCATTACTCTGCAGTGTTAAAGACCTACCATATGGAAGCCATCATCTGAGTAGCATAATATACTCCCTATAGTTGCCAAAGGAACAGTCTTTCTTCAAGTAGAAATGTAGTTTCTCTTAAACACAGCATAATATTCTTTCTCTAGAAATCTTTCTTATTAGGCTCAATTTTGCTCTCTGATATGGTTTGGCTGTGTCCACACCCAAATCTCATCTTGAATTTCCACGTGTTGTGGAAGGGACCCGGTGGGTTGTAACTGAATCATGGGGCAGGTCTTTCCTGTGCTGTTCTTGTGATAGTGAGTAAGTCTCACAATATTTGGTGGTTATAATAAGGGGAAGTTTTCCTGCACAAGCTCTCTTTGCCTGCTGAAATCCACGTAAGATGTGACTTGTTCCTCCTTGCCTTCTGCCACGATTGCAAGGCCTCCTCAGTCATATGGAACTGTAAGTCCAATTAAACCTTTTTCTTTTGTAAATTGCACAGTCTTGGGTATGTCTTTATCAGGAGCATGAAAATGGACTAATACAGTAAATTGGCATGAGTAGAGTGGTGTGCTGCTGAAAAGACACCTGAAAATGTGGAAGCGATTTTGGAACTGGGTAACAGGCAGGGGTTGGAAGAGTTTGGAAGGCTTAGAAGAAGAGAGAAAAATGTGGGAAAGTTTGGAACTTCCTAGAGACTTGTTAAATGTCTTTGACCAAAAGCCTGATAGCAATATGGACAATAAAGTCCAGGCTGAGGTTGTCTCAGATGGAGATGAGGAACTTGTTGGGAACTGGAGCAAAGGTGACTCTTGTTATGTTTTAGCAAAGACACTGGCAGCATTTTGCCCCTGCCCTAGAGATTTGTGGAACTTTGAACTTGAGAGAGATAATTTAGGGTATCTGGCAGAAGAAATTTCTAAGCAGCAAAGCATTCAAGAGGTGACCTGGGTGCTCTTAAAGGCATTCAGTTTTATAAGGGAATCAGAGCATAAAAGTTCAGAAAATTTGTAGCCTGACAATATGATAGAAAAGAAAAACCCATTTTCTCAGGAGAAATTCAAGCTGGCTGCAGAAATTTGCATAAGTAACAAGAAGCCAAATGTTAATTGCCAAGACAATGGAGAAAATGTTTCCAGGGCATGTCAGAGGTCTTCATGGCAGCCTCTCCCATCACAGGTCCAGGGGCCTAGGAGAAAATGGTTTCATGGGCCCTGCCTAGGGTCCCCGTGCTGTGTGCAGTCTAGGGACTTGGTACTGTGTGTCTTAGCCACTCCAGCCATGACTAAAAGGGGCCAAGGTACAGCTTGGGCTGTTACTTCAGAGGTAGAAGCCCTAAACCTTGGCAGCTTCCATGTGGTGTTGAGCCTGCTGGTGCACAGAAGCCAAGAATGGAGGTTTGGGAACCTCCGCCTAGATTTCAGAAGATGTACGGAAATGCCTGGATTCCCAGGCAAAAGTTTGCTGCAGGGGTGGGGCCCTTATGGAGAACCTCTGCTAGGGCAGTGCAGAAGGGAAATGTGGGGTTGGAGCCCCCATGCAGGGTTCCTACTGAGGTGCTGCCTAATGGAACTGTGAGAAGAGGGCCACTGTCCTCCAGACCCCAGAATGGTAGATCCACTGACAGGTTGCACCATGTGCCTGAAAAGCTGCAGACACTCAATGCCAGCCCATGAAAGCAGCTGGGAGGGAGGATGTGCCCTGCAAACCCCCAGGGATGGAGCTGCCCAAGACCATGGGAACCAACCTCTAGGATCAGTGTGACCTGGATGTGAGACATGGAGTCAAAGATCATTTTGGAGCTTTAAGATTTGACAGCCCCGGTGGATTTTGGACTTGCATGGGGTCTGTAACCTCTTTGTTTTGGCCAGTGTTTCCCATTTGGAATGGCTGTATTTTATGCAATGCCTGTACCCCCATTATATCTAGAAAGTAACTAACTTGCTTTTGATGTTACAGGCTTATAGGCGGAAGGTACTTGCCTTGTCTCAGATGAGACTTTGGACTGTGGACTTCTGAGTTAATGCTGAAATGAGTTAAGACTTTGGGGGATTGTTGGGAAGGCATAACTGGTTTTGAAATGTGAGGACATGAGATTTGGGAGGGGCCAGGTGTGGAACGATATGGTTTGGCTCTGTCCCCACCCAAATCTCATCCTGAATTCCCATGTCTTGTGAGAGAGGCCTGGTGGGAGGTAATGGAATCATGGGGGCAGGTCTTTCCCATGATGTTCTCATGATAGTGAGTAAGTCGCATGAGATCTGATGGTTATTATAAGGAGGAGTTTTCCTGCACAAGCTCTCTTTGCCTGCTGCCATCCACAGAAGATGTGACTTGCTCCTCCTTGCCTTCTGCCATGATTGTGAGGCTTCTCCAGCCACGTGGAACTGTGAGTTCTCCATTAAACCTTTTTCTTTTGTAAGTTGCCCAGTCTCAGTATGTCTTTATCAGTAATGAGAAAATGGACTAATACACTCTCCAATCTGGAAATAGTCCTTACAGAAAAGAGTGATTTCATTGCACCTGTCCAGATTCATTTTTTTTCTTTTTCTCAAAGGAGCCCAAATTAAAACACAAGAGCCTGTCTCGATGCAGACTGATTCTCTCTGTGCTGCTGGAAGTCATTTAGAATAAGACTATGAGGAAACTTGGGGGCATATATGCTATGCTGCTGCTCCGTTTGTGGGATGTTCTCAAGTGAGCCAAGGTTCACGGTTCACTGCCGATGTAGTTCCCAAGGGTCATGTAGCAGAAGAGAAAGATGTTTTCTGTCATCTTTGAAATTTTGCAGGAACTTTCTTCTATGGGTTTAGCAAATCCATTATCTTGATTGTGAAAAGACCTAGGCTTGCTTTAGGTAAATTAGATATTTTGGAAAAATTATAGAACAAACTGGAGAAGAAGGACAGTGAAATGGTTAGGGTGTGGAATCTGGAGTCAGACTAACTGGATTCACCTCCCAGAGCTACCACTAACCAGTTGGGTGACCTTGGACAAGGGCTGAACCTTTCTGTACCTCATTTCCTCATCCATTAAGTGGAGATGATGATAATGTGATAGTATCTATCCCATAATGTAATACATGATATTACTAAAATAATAATAAAATAGTAATAATATTTATAATTTTTTGGCTGATTAAATGAATTGGTATATGTTCAAAAATCAACTCAAGATGGATCAAAGACTTAAATGTAAAACCTAAAACTATAAAAACTCCAGAAGACAACCTAGGCAATACCATTCTGGACATAGGAATGGGCAAAGATTTCATGTCAAAGACACTAAAAGCAATTGTAACTAAAGCAAAAATTGGCAAATGAGATCCAATTAAAGGGCTTCTTCACAGCAAAATAAACTATCAACAGAGCAAACAGACAACCTACAGAATGGGAGAAAATTTTTGCAAACTATGCATCTGACAAAGGTCTAATATCCAGCATCTATAAGGAACTTAAATCTACAAGAAAACCTCAAACAACCCCATTAAAAAGTGGACAAAGGAAATGCACAGACAATTTTCAAAAGAAGAGATAAAAGAAGAGATATGTGGCCAACAAGTGTATAAAAAAAAGCTCAACATAATTGATCATTAGAGAAATGAAAATCAAAACCACAATGAGATACCATCTTACACTGGTCAGAATGGCTATTATTAAAAAGTCAAAAAACAACAGATGCTGGCAAGGTTGCAGAGAAAAAGGAATGCGTATACACTGTTAGTGGAATGTAAATGGGTTCAACATTGTGGAAGACAGTGCGGCAATTCCTCAAAGTCCTAAAGACAGAATTACCCAAGGGAATATAAATCATTCTATTATAAAGACACATGCATATGCATGTTCATTGCAGCACTATTCACAATAGCAAAGACATGGAATCAACATAAATGCCCATTAATGGTAGACTGGATAAAGAAAGTGTGATACATATACACCACGGAATACTATGCAGCTATAAAAAAATTGAACTCATGTCCTTTGCAGGAATATTGATGGAGTTAGAGGCCATTATCCCTAGCAAACTAATGCAGTAAACAGAAAACCAAATACTGCATGTTCTCACTTACAAGTGGGAGCTAAATAATGAGAATACATGAACACAGAAGATGGAGGATGGGAGGAGGGAGAGAATTAGGAAGAATGAATAGGGGGTACTAGTCTTAATACCTGGGTGACAACAAACTCCCATGACATGAATTTACCTATAAAACAAACCTGCACATGCTGAACTTAAAATAAAAGTTAAAAAATAAGTGAATTGGTATATATAAAGAAGAACTTTGAACTGTGCCCGATGCATACAGAGCACTTTATAATTTAGTTGTTGTTATTATTAAATATTAAATTCAAAAGCATCAGAGACTGATTCCATACTTGCTGTTTTCTGTAACTTGTGGTTTACATGAGGTCAACATTGTCTTATAAAGTATTCCTCATTCCCCTAATATTTCCCATGTTTCTGTAGAAACCTAATTTTACTTTTTCTATTTGAAAATGACAACAATGTTGTTTACTTGCCATCTGGATATTGTGTTCCACATTTTTGTTCTTGTGCCAAGATAGAAATGAAGATCTTTGACTAACTACTTCAATATAGCTCAATTGATTTAGTCAGTAAGTTGCTCCTGGCAACATTCACGCAGGCGACTCTGCAAGTTGTTGTTGTTGTTGTTTATTGGCATTTCTGAGAGTCACTTCCTAATTTTTTAAAAAAGAATTTCCTTATTGGAGTTGGGACACAAAACTCATTGGCTTCTAAGGCACTAAAAATTATGAATAAGGTTACTAAAGTCAGTGATAGAAAAATCTGAAGGAAATTGTTTATTTTCTCTGCCTTTCAAAAAACTGGTGATGCTTGAACATCATGACCATGAGTTTAGGTACCTTTTTCATTTCTCATAGGCTTATGTCTCTAGGAGTAGAATTTATCCATCCGTTCAATGTATTTATTATGAAATCTTTACTGAACGTCTACTCTGAGTAAGGCAAACCACTGTCCTAGATGCTAGCAATACAAAGATAAATGAGACAAATGGTTAAACATTTTGAGGTGGGAATAAAATGCTATATGCATAATTAAAATGTATGACATAATTTACCAAATGGTACATCAAAAAGATAAGAGGAGTGCCATAAAGGTTTAGAGGAGGGAGGCAGTGAGACTAGTTTAAAGAGTTAGCAAAATTTTCATGAATTAAATGATATTTAAGTTAAGTCTTGAAGGACTGGAAGAATTTAGACAATGAGAGAAATTGGCAAAGGGAAGTTTTGGCTAACAGAGTAGCATGAGTAAATAAACATAGAGAGATGGGAAATAGTAGGGAAATTTTTAGGGAAAAAACCTATTATTCAGTTTGGTGAACAAGGTGTAGGGTGCAAACTTTAAACAATGAGCATCTATTATATGCCTGGGGCTGCTCTAGGCTCTGGAGATACAGAGCCGAACAAGCAGACTAGGCACCCAAGCCTAGCATGCATTTTAGAGAGTGGACACAGGAAATACGTAAGTACACAAATAAGGTAACGGTGAGAGGTGCTATAAAATAAAAATGAAATAATGAATGAAATAAGAAGTGACAGGATTGGGAGAAGTTACCTTAAAATGGATAGGTCAGGGAAGACTTCTCTGAAGTGAAATTTGATGTGAAACCAGAAGGAGAAGGATCTAGCCGTGTGATGGCCTAGGGAGAGGGAGCTGCAAGGCCATTGATAAAACAGGCTTGCTGGATGGCCAGGAAGGCTAGTGTGGCAGAATAGTCATGGTCAGCGGTGAGAATGATAATAATTGAGGGCAGAGACAGATGGAAGTGAGATCACATGGGTTCTTGAAGATTATGGCTACATTTTGGATTTTATTCTAAATGCAATGGGACACCATTGGGGGGTTTTATGCAGAGGAGTGATGTTATCTACATTACATTTCAGAAAGAACACCTAGGCTGCTGTGTGGAGAAGGAACTGTTGAGTGTGGAGGGAAAATACACAAATTAGGGAGATCTCTTGGAATTTACTGCAGCTAATCAGGACTAGGGTGGTAGCAGCAGAGATGGAAGTTAATTCTCGAGTGACAGCAAGTCACAGGTGAAGGGCTTTGCATTCCCTCAGTCTGAGGATTTGAAATTTATTCTGGAGGCTGAAAAGAAAGTAAAAAGTATTTACTGATTTAGATTTTTCTATACTAGGAGAGGGGGTCACTAACAATAAAGTTTTATTTGTCTCACAGATGCTCTAGTCTGAGGAATCAAAAAAGCATATATCCATCTAAAGGTGAGCTGTCGATTTTCTTGTTGGAATGTGGATATTCTAATAAAAAAAGAAGCTGAATATTTCCTGATTTTTAAAGATGGCAACTAATTTAAAACAGTAACACACTGTGTAGGCCAACACAAAATGTATTAGTAGGCCGGTTTCAACCCTGGGGCCACCACCTTGCAACGTCTGAAATGAAGTATTCACCAGCAACCCACAGGAAGGCTTGCTTTGGCTAATCTATGGTCAAGACAGAAACAAATTTCAACACCGTGAAAACTGGGACTCATTGGAGATGGCATAGAGGCAGAAAAGACTGAGCGAGTTGTGGAAAAGGCTGAGCAGGAAGAGGAAGCAGAAGAATGGTAGAAGGATGTTCAGTGAGGTATGTGGTATAGGCTGATGATGATGGGCTGAAAAAATTAGAGAAACATTCTACACACTTATCAGGACTCCATGAGTGTTTGTGGTGATCTGACAGTAAGGCCATTTTCTTTGTGGTAACAAATTGTACCTGCATCTTTCCAAACACTACAGGTAAATCTAAGGGGTTGTACAATCTGGAAGTGATATAGACATAAGTTAACTTTGAAACTAAAAAAAAAAAAATTCAGTTTCCCAATTGAAATCTCTTCCTCATTTAAACTGGACTTCCCATTGGTCTGCTGGCCCATACTGCTGGACACATCAATTTATAGTGGTGCTCCCATCAGCTGAGTATACAGTTTTGATTATGGATAATATTTAGAAATCAATCTGTTAGGTGCTCTTTTGTGACATCTTTGCATTATAATATTTGACAACGATGAATTAACTTCAGTTTTTTGTATATTTATTTTGTCTTCCTAAATACTGAGTAATCTTGAAGGCTGAAGGCCTTAGCATATTCTCCTTGTATCCAGCAGGGTTTGGCATGAAACCCTGTAGCTACCCCTAAAATGTTTCCTATCTACAAGATAACAAAACACGAAGTTGAAAAGGAAAGAGTCAAAGGTAGCCAACTGCATTGTCGAGTCCAAAAACCTATTTGATTTTTTTCCCCTACTGGATTGAGAATTGATTTTTTTTTCAAAAACTTAATTGATGGCTATTTTGTCATTGCCCAGACACAGCTTCTGTGTTATGGAAACCAAGAATACCTCTATCCAAAACAGAAGATGGTAGTAATTCTCAATCCTGAAATTAACCCATGCCACTTAATTAGCAAGTATTTAATGAAAACTTTTTTTTTTTTCGCCAACCAATCTCTATAATTGTGGCTGTTTCGTGGCTCTGTGTCTACTATAGATACAGCATCACCATTTGGATCAAGGATCATCAGAGAGAGACATAGCCAAGGAAATATGCAGTTGCAGAGCACAGAGAAAAGAGACATTGTCTTTCTTTTTCTTCCCCACAGTACGTTACTAGCTAAAAGAGAACTGCCTTGCAGTCTAGTCAGAGAAATGATTAAAAAAACCTCTAGCAGGTATTTGAAACTAAATCTTAGTATGACATAGAAAACAATGATGTAGACTTTTTAAATCTTTTAATCTTTATTAATTTAATCTAAATTAAATAAGTATAAATTAATCTATTATAAAGTTCTAGGGTACATGTGCACAACGTGCAGGTTTGTTACATATGTAAACATCTGCCATGTTGGTTTGCTGCACCCGTCAACTTGACATTTACATTAGGTATTTCTCCTAATGCTATCCCTCCCCCAGACCCCCACCCCACAACAGGCCCTGGTGTGTGATGTTCCCTGCCCTGTGTCCATGTGCTTTCATTGTTCAACTCCCACCTATGAGTGAGAACATGTGGTGTTTGGTTTTTCTGTCCTTGTGATAGTTTGCTGAGAATGATGGTTTCCAGCTTCATCCATGTCCCTGCAAAGGACATGAACTCATCCTTTTTTATGGCTGCGTAGTATTCCATGGTGTATATGTGCCACATTTTCTTTATCCAGTCTACCATTGATGGACATTTGGGTTAGTTCCAAGTCTTTGCTATTGTGAATAGTGCTTCAATAAACATACGTGTGCATGTGTCTTTATAGCAGAATGATTTATAGTCCTTTGGGTATATACCCAGTAATGGGATCACTAGGTCAAATGGTATTTCTAGTTCTAGATCCTTGAGGAATTGCCACACTGCTTTCCACAATGGTGGAACTAATTTACACTCCCAACAGTGTAAAAGCCTTCCTATTTCTTCACAACAATGATGTAGAGTTTCAACAAGAATAGGCAACATACCAGGTACTACTCTGTCAAGGTCCTATTGGAAAGCATTCACTGTATATCATAAATATGTCTTGGGAATTATTTAGTCATAAGCCTCTTGGAACCATGGGAAACATAAGGAAAAAACCATGTAATCCCTACTCTTGAGGTCTTCAAAATTTAGTGGGGGAAAAAGACTCCCTAAGTAATAGAAGTAATATAAGTAATAGTATTATAAGATGTTATGTAATATAAGTAATGTAAGTAATAGTAATATAAGATGTTATGTAATATAATTAATGTAAGTAATAGTAATATAAGATGTTATGATTTCAATGACACTAAATACACAGTGAAGAAATGAAGGGGAGGATTAATCTAGTTGGGAAAATCTGAGAATCTAATAGAGAATTTAGGATTTGATCAGAGCTGGAAGAGTGAGTGCTCACAGGAAGGAGGTGAAGGGAAAAATTTCCAGATAAGAGGACTAGATGAACAAAGGCGCAGAGTAGGAAAGTGCTGTGTACCCTTAAGGATTGCAGATTGGCCCAGATGGCTTGAGGGGAGCATTTCTGTCTGTGGTGTGTTGGGGACAAGAGGGTGGAATGTAAGTGGGCATTAAGGCCAAGAGTAGAAGCAGCCTCTTCTTCGTGCTACTCCATGGTGCTCTACAGAGTTTGTTATGTGTCTTCACTGAATTGTAGCATGGTGTTTGTTGATGTGTCTGCCTCCCAGCTAGATGAGAACTTTTTCTGGGACAATCATATTTTATTCTTTTTCCCCCTTAATACCAATAAACGCTTAATATTCTTGGTACTTTTCATTTTCATAGCCTTGGTGTTTACATGAATGCCTAGAAAATGAGGCCCTTTATAAATGTTAAATCTGATAAGCAGGGAACCCAGCTACGTACGGTTTTGTAAGCCAGGCAAGGGAGTTTGGGTTTGGTCCTGTATGCAGTGAGGAGCCTCCGAAACTTTTTAAGACGGGAAATTCTATGATCAGAGCCGTGCTTTGTGAAGATAACATAAATAACAGCATGGAGGAGAACAACTCAGAGAAGAAAAGCCCAAGGCAAGGACACCTGTCAGCAGTTGTCACGAGCATCTCAGTGAGGGGTGCAGAGCCTGGACAAAGGGGGCAGAGGCTGTGGGAGTAGAAAGAGGAATAAACTCATTTAGATCTGGCAACATTTGGATGCAGACAATGTAGAAAATGAAAGCGAGGGCTTGGGGTTGCAGTTATCTATCAAACTCGGGTTACTTGAAAACCTTTCAGCCAGTTTGCCACTTCTATGTAATTAAATAGGCTGTCTTGATTCTCTAATATCTCTCTCATTAATGAAGTCTGGCATGAAACGTGAGCCTTCAGAAAAAAAGGTAGACAAAACCAACAGCTTGATACTATCCCCAAATTATTGTGATTAATAAAAACATTTTTTTAAACAGAGACAGGGTCTCTCTACATTGCCCAGTTTGAGGCTAGATTAAAACTCCTGGCTGAAGCAATCCTCTACCTCAGCCTTCCTTCCAGGTATCTGGGAATGCAGGCACGCGCCGCCACACCCAGCTGATGAAAACTTATGAGGAGTCTTGAATACTGGAGCCAGTCGTATGAACCATGAAGGTCCCCAAAGAGAGGATTAGGGGTTAGTAAACACAGTGGCTCCCGTCAAATTTTTCAGATAAGAAATTAAAGTATCAATTACGTCTAGAAATTCTGCTTACTGGTTTGGGGTTTGTCTTCAAAATAACAAGTTCACACACCTAGATTCAATAATGTCTTTAAAGTATTTGCCTATTTGAGGTTTGTGATGATGAGGAGGCATATGCTGACTGCTTTAAAGGAATTCTATTTTTTTCTCAACTTGAAAAGTTTTGCATGAAATCAGTGAACTGTACTTCACGATAAATTGTTTTCCTCTAGTAAGGAAATATTTTGGCTGCTGTCATCAGCATCATGCTTACATGAACTGAAAGGGAGCATTCATAGCACATGTATACAGTAACTTGTCAAATTTCTTGTCCATATATTGAATGAACCATTATCTTTCTCAACACCAGCACCAAATAGATCCATTATTAGACATCACCCTAATGCTACCACAGGAATGTACCATTGTAATATCTGTGAAGGGTGAGAAATACCTCTTTTTTAAAAAGTGGCTGGAGAAATATCACAAAAGGAGAAGTGAGAACCTGACACTGGGTCAACATGTTGACTGTACTTGCTCTTGGCCAGATGAATTTTTTTTCCTTTTTTAATTTTTATTTTAGGAAAGGGAACAAATGAAAAACTGAGATCTTGGAAAGTCTTTTCTCATTCCTAGTTTATGTATACTTAATATATTAGTCTTCTCATGAGTACATTTACATATTAGGTGAAGATAGTTAGGGAAATGTGGTTAATTTAAATACATTAACTCTTGAAGGTAATAACTTGTGGATGGAGTGTTCTCCCCACCAGAATCTCTCAGATCCTACGTCATGGGCACATAGACAACTGCAAATTTCACCTATATTTTTTAAAACTTGCCTGATTGGTATTTGAAAAAGGTTTCATGAATTAATTAAAGTAAATTTACAAATCAAAGATATAAACTATGGGTGCTACTTAATAGAAATGTAGTGCAAATTACACATGTAATTTAAAATGTTCTGGTAACCACACTGAAAAGGTAAAAAGAAAAAAGGTGAAATTAATTTTAATGATATAGTTTATTTAACTCAATAAATCACAATATTGTTTCAACATGTTATCAATATAGAAATCGTTAATGATGTCTTTTATAGTCTTATTTTTGTATTATGCCTTTGAAACCCAGTATGTATTTTATACTTATAGCAAGTCTCAATTCATACTAGTTAGATTTCAAGTGCTCAGTAGCCATCTGTGCTTAGTGGCTACTGTGTTGGGCAGCATAGCTATGGATGATTGGAAATTCAACTTTGTGTATTCTCTAATAATGTGTGGCAGAAGTAAAACTAATTCTTTGTCAGTAGAGTGAGACACGTGACCATTAATTTGCATTTGACTAAATGACATTCTTTACTCCTCCTCCTACTCACACTCTGTATGAAATCTGGCACTTTACTGAAGTTCTAACTAGCTACTGATTTTTGCAGTGTTCATCACTATTTGGTAAATGTGTCATGGTATAGTATTTATCATACTCTTAAATTACATTTGAAGTAGAATAATCAAGTCTATTTTTCATTAACACTGATTTTCTCCAGCACTTTATTAGTTCTATTAGCTCCCTATAATCTGCAAAACTCAGTAATTTTTTAGATGTTCCTCAAGCAACATTCTCAGATTGAGTTAAGATCTGCTTCTAGTTCCCATTACCATGATAATTTTGGCTCCCTCGCTCCTATTTCTCTTTCTACTCTTGCTCCTCTTCTTTTTGTTTCATGGCCAGTCCTCACTGCTGCTCTCCTCCCTTTATGGCCATCGAAAGCCCAATTTTAACTTAGGCAATAATGTGCCCAGTTCCACTGGGATGAATAATGATTGGTCCAAGCCAGTTATTATGATATGATTCTACTTTGTCAGAGATTGGGACAGAGGCTCTCAAAACTTAGTGTGCATCAGAATCACCTGGAGAACTTGTTGCAGTCCAGAATTCTAGGCCCTAACTCTGGAGTCTCTAATTCAGTGTGTTTGGGTCAGATCTGATAATTTGCATTTTAATCAAATTTCCAGGTGAGGATGATGCTGGTCTGGGAACTGCACTTTAACAACCATTGGTGTAGGATATAGACATGTGGTTCATTTTGGTCAATGAGTTGTGAGAGATACTTGGCAAAGTTTGTCCTTCCTGATAAGAAGGCAACTAGGTAATAAAGACATTATTTCCTTCTCTCTCTCTCCTTGCTTCCTGCTTTAGATGTTGCCATGCAAGGGCAAGGTTATTAGAGCTGCTGCAGCCATCTTGTGACAATAAAAGAGAACCAAGAGGATTTCAGAAATACCATCCCACATCCTGACATTATGTAGCTTCTGAACCATCTATCTCCATGGATCTTGCTATGTGAGGTAATTTGAAAAATCTTTTTTTTAAAATTATTATACTTTAGTTCTGGGGTACATGTGCAGAACATGAGGTTTGTTACATAGGTATACACGTGCCATGGTGGTTTGCTGCACCCATCGACCGTCATTTACATTAGGTATTTCTCCTAATGCTGGCCCTCCCCTAGCCCCTCACTCCCTGACAGGCCCCCACGTGTGATGTTCCCCTCCTGGTGTCCACGTGTTCTCATTGTTCAACTCCCACTTATGAGTGAGAACATAGTGTGTTTGGCTTTCTGTTCTTGTGTTAGTTTGCTGAGAATGATGGTTTCCAGCTTCATCCATGTCCCTGCAAAGGGCATGAACTCATCCTTTTTTATGGCTGCATAGTATTCCATGGTGTATTTGTGCCACATTTTCTTTATCCAGTCTTTCATTGATGGGCATTTGGGTTGTTTCCAAGTGTTTGCTATTGTGAATAGTGCCGCAATAAACATACATGTGCATGTGTCTTTATAGTAGAATGATTTGTAATCCTTTGGGTAGCCACCATGTCTTACTATTTTCTGTTGTTTGCAGCCAAAGTGTTCACTACAGATACAGTGACCAACTGTCTGAAACCGCCATGCCACCCTCTTGCATGATTGAAATGGTGACATAGACTTAATGTCTTCACAGAATTGTGGTACTCAAATCATAATGCCTTTCCTTAAAATAATGCGAAGTATTTTTCTGATATACATGCCATATCTGTGTATGGTATACCAAGGCTAAGAAGTTACAGAAAGCTGTGTAAACAGAATGCTTCTGCGAGTAGGCTGAATCTCAGCAAGCTGACATAGTGTACCTAGATTGCTGTTTCATGGGCTAGAGTTAAACTATGGAGGACATGCTAATCACGTGTGCTGATGACACATAACTGGAAAGACTGGAGAATGTGTGAGGTATCCAGGATTCTCTAGTGGGAAGGAAATATTGCTTATTCCAGGTACTTCAGAGAAAAGAACTGGTACTAATGGGCAGAATTTATAAAGAGGCACATTTTTGCTTTCTATAAGGAGACACATTTTCCAGCAACTAGAGCATGTGCATAAGCTTTCACCATGAAATGGTAAGCTCTGCATTACTTTACTGTTCATTGGGAAATTGAGAGCACACTTGCAGCTCTTGTGGTTTTATCTTTCAGCAAAAAGCATCACAACAAACTAAAAATTTCCCATAACATATATTAGGTTTAAGCATATGAAAATGCTGCTACTCAATCATTTTTGACTTACAAAAATGGCAATTTCATGTGATTCAATCTAATGGAAATAGAATAATACCCTGGAGTAGAATATGAAATCTATTTTAGATCACTGATTGGAAGGGCAACCCTTAAGCTGTTGCCATCCATCTTTATGTAGGCAGTGTGGGTTGCATAAACCACAAAGTTGTATTTTGTTCCTGGAAACTGCTAAGAAGACTTGATAAGAGAAGAGCTGCTATTCTAAGAATGAGCTTTTCTTCCAACTCGATCAGTTTATTTTTTTTTCTTTTTGGGGTTGGGGGAGGTGGCACCTCCTTCAAAAGTAAGGATATATCTCCAGAATATCTTAGTTTTTGTTTTTGTTTCTGTGTGGCTTTTTTTTTTTCCCAGGAAGCCGCTGTTTATTTTGAATCTGTGTTACTTTGTTGGGAAATTAGCTTCCTACTTTTACAATCAGGGAAGTGGCTGCACTTTCTTCTATTGGCTCTATTTACTCTTTCAAGTATCTTGGGGATCTTCTAAATTTTAGCATTTTGGGATATTTTTCTGTTTTATCCATGATGTTTATAGTTTTCTACACTATTAATATGTATATTCTTGACCTCTAGCTTTCTGGAATTTGAAAGTCTCAATCTCTTTAATTTGGTCCCTACTGTTGTCCTGATATTTTTAGTTGTCTTTCATGGGCATTTTAAGTTCTAGCTATACAGACACCACTCTATTCTCTTTACTTTCACTCTGTAGTGGCTACTCTTGCTCCTTCAGATCTAAAGAGCATCCTTGACTTCTCCTACACTAGGTTAGGCACACTTGCAATGAACTCCCAGAGCAAAATATACTTCCCAGATCATAATGCTTTCCTACTATCTGTTTTTTTTTTTAATTTTACAAATACTTGATAGCACTTTTTTATGTGCTGGACACTTCTTTAAGGGCATTACAGTATTAAGTTATTTGACCTTCACAACAAATATCTGAGGTAGAACCATTACTGTCTCGATCTTATCAATGAGGCTAATGAGGTACAGTGAGGTTAATCAACTTTCCTAAGATTTCAGCTAATCAATGAGGGGGCAGGATTTGAACCAGGGTGTCTGGCTCCTGACGTCCTCTTTCCCAGCCTGTTTGCCACCACATCCAGCTGGCTCTTACTTTATGCTGATTGCCTGTTTAATGGTAATGTCATAGGCCCCCTTTCTCTCTAGCCATCATGTCTATCTCAACCACTGTCTGCCTCCATGAGATGGAGACTTTGTTCCCTGTTGAATTCTAGTACCTTCTAAGACAATGTTTAACACTTAGTTGGTGATCAAAAACCATTTTTTTTAATAAATGAACACACATATGTTTCTGTAAACAGTCAAGGATGGTAATATTTCTAAGAAGAATGAAATAACTGCAACATCTTTTAAGTGCAAGTCAAATGTGAACCAGCTATACTGGAGGAAAAGGGAACTTACCCTGACAAGCAGTATTTTGAAAATTTCAAATGTCTAAAAAAGATTAAAGCTAAAGGGGATTTCATGGTCGGTATCAGACAGTTCAATTTGAAGCAAAGCTGTTGCTATTCAAACTCTCACCACTTCCAGCCACAGGAAAAAGCAGACGGTTGTGAAAGCTTGCAGGCTAGAAGGAAATTCTAATTTTTTGGAATGCCCTGAAGAAGGAGGTAGAGTTGTAGACTCTGACTACTTTACTATAAGACTGATAACCCTGAAAAAATATAAAAAACACATAAAAGAGGGCACGAGCCTGATTAGAGGACCAAGTTGGAGCTGTGTTATCACAGGTCCTCAAGAAATCAGCAGGGCCAGAAATGAGGCAGGCTGCAGGCAATTACAGATTGTCATTAAAGTTAAAAACATGACCCACAGCACTGTTGCTGTATCGCTTTAGGCTACTAAAGCTCCATGCTGTCAGTTATGACACAAAGCACGGGAAAGGACAGTCAGAATTCTATGCTATTTCTGCATTTTTTAACAAAAGTAAAAATTTGTACAATTCTCTACAATTAAAATAAGTAAGCATGGACTGATTTTTAGAGAAAGACAGGAAACAGAGCAGAGGTATTATATCTACTTGAAAAATCGCATTCAAAGGCTACTTCCTCATTGTTTGGGTTTGGGTAGTAATATAATCAGCAACAAGGATGATTTCGTCCAACTGGTTCTTCTTTGACAGTTTTCTAAGTCAAGAATTGCAGAAAATAGACAATGTTGGTATTGTGTCTGATGAATTAAAAAAATGAGTGAGGATTATAACCAAGTAAATAACACTTCAAGTAGGTGTTTAAAGTAATGTGTGGAAAAAAATCACAACAATAGAAAGGCTTAGATGAAAGAAGATTGAATTCTGAATGAGGGCAGAAGGATTAAGTGAATGTCAAGAAGAACATCCCAGTATGGATCCATTCCTTGCACAACAATTGAACCCCTTACTTCACAATGTGGTAGAGCTTAATTTAACTTAAGAGGGGTAAACGTGCTAAATGGAAATGATTTGGTAAAGAAGGAAGGATTTTTAATGCCAAGGACAAAGCAATTTGTAATTTGATTTTTAATCTGCAGACGGTAGGTAGTATCAAGTCATCAAACAGTGCAAAGAATAGGCCACTAATTGAAACAGAACGTGGAGATGTTAATGAAATTGATTAGAAGTGACAAAGCAGCTGGATTTGTCAGCATTTCAGCAGATGGAATAGCTCTGATTGATGAAATGACAAGGCTCTGAAACAAAACTGAAAATTAAATGTACAGCCAGATAGTCCTGGCACCAAAAATGTACAATTGCATAAAATTTCAGGAGCAAACTATAAAGAGATCTGGAGAAATGCTCCCAAATGATTTACAGAATACAATTATTTATCACTTGGCTCAAATCTGCAACTTCAGATGACTGGTAGAAGTTTGAGAGTTGGTGTAGCAAAGTACTTGATGCCATTGCTTGGGTTAGATGGCAGTATCACACGTAACAGGACTGCTTTAGAATGACTGTCACTTCATTCTAATTTTGCAACCACTACTCCATAGTCTTTCTTATATTACATGAATGCCACGTTTTCCTAACTGTGTTCCTTAAAGCACTAGGGACCCCATGAGACGCTAAAAGACTCCGTGAAAAGAGTTTTTGGTCAAATAAGTATATTGTAAGTATGAGTCACTCTTAGAGAGTCTCAACACACATTAGCATAGCAAAGGCAAAGTCTGTGGTAAAGTGGGAATTTCCTAAGCTCCCATGCCTACTTAAATGAATTTTTAAGAAGTATCTATAGTATTTCGGAAGGACTATTGCTCTTTGGAGTGAAGTTTGGAAAATATTACCTTGGTAGCTCAAAAGCACTTATTGGCCAAGCACTTTACTTACTGCATTCTGGAAGAATGACTTCAGCCCTGAAAAGAATCCACCTTTCCATGAAGCAGTTTGCATTACAGTTGAGACTTCAAATATGTTTGAATGTATTTGGAAAGACGTTGCCTTGCTCTTTCTGCTTATGTTTGTGCAGATCACAGACTCATTTTCTGTCGATGATCATAGACAGGCTGCAGTTCTGTTATGCTGAGAGTATTTGTCTAGTGCCTAGTTTCTATTTCAGGTGGAAATTCTGGGTAAGGAAAATGACTCTAGTCACAAGTGCAAGTTGTGTGGTACATAGGAGCATCTCTTTAAGTTCTCTTTTAAAAAAACGAGACATCTGATTACATCGAATGTTATTTCCTTCTCTTTACACTATTATTTTTAAAGTTAAAGCACTGGTCTGAAAGGAAGCTGGGAATATTTCCCTATATTCATAGAATAAAGCCAATTTTGAATTACTTTAATTTAGAAAGTAACAACGTATGTGCCACAGGACATTTTTGGAGGGTGGGTCTCGAGGGATGAAATTAAGCAATGATTGTTTCAGACATATTTTTAAACGTTGGGAATTCAGTGAGCACTGAAACAGTTCTCAAGAGAACCATTTCAGAATTTAAAGGAATGTTCTACAACTCAGTTAAAACCACTGCATCTTCTGTCTCCTTAACTCTCTGTGATCCATTTACACAAGGCAACCCTGAAAATCATGATTTTGTGAAATATTTAGCTAAGGGTGCATCTTTTACAACTCTTTATTTGGGCATTTTAACCATGACTGTTTACAGACCTGTGACACAGTCTCATAGAAGACCGCACTGTTTGGATTCCTAGGATCTCTCTATTCTGTCTGCATCAGCCTGATTGCAGCATATCTTCTCCTATTTCATAGCAAACTCACTCACTGTCCTAGTTTTAGACATTTTATCTATAAGTGAACACTCTGTTTTTGAAGTGATTACTTCTGCTGTCCTGATTTTTCCCAAGGCTTTAATCTCAACAATTAAAGTTGAGATTGAGAGTAAAGCAATCAGAAGTATACTCTTAAGAAAGAATATCTCAGGAATGGGATTTAGTTAATGAAATATTTTCTTTGGTTTCAATTTTCTTATAAAAGAGAGTTTTTCCTGTATTTCTTATAATTAGGATAGATCTTATCTTTCCGATATGACTGGATATAGTTTATACAATGTCAGCAGTATCTTTCATTGGTGGTTTTATTTATTTATGAAGTTTTACTGGCAGAACCAGGAAGAATGCTTCACCTTGGGCTTGTTGGGACTAATTCATGGATAGCCATTTGGAGGGAATAAGAACACTGAAATTTTGGATACTTATACTACTTAAATTTGTGCTCATTTCAACTCTGTCTTCTGGGCAGGAGTGAGACAAACACAGTTTGATCAAGTTGTTCATTTGTTTCACATTCCTTTTTCGTATAAGAGAGCAAGAAGGAAAGTGGGAGGGAGATGAAAGGCAGACATTTGAACGCTAATTTACATGCGTTTCCAAGATCTTTAAATTTCTAAAGCTGAGCTATGATTTACGTATACATCAAAGTTCAAGACATTGCTTGGCTTTAAGAAGTACAGATTGTCATTGGCTAAAATGGCAAGAAAAGCGGACCCAATTTAGGATAGAATCTGTCTTATGCTCTGGTGGGCAAGTCTTCACCAGACTCTCCCCTGAGGCTTGGGGAGCAGAATAGTGGCACACTATTGGTTACTGCCTCCAGAGACTGTGAGATCCTCATTGAGACTCCAGTAACTGTAGCATGTCATTGGTTACTGCCACCAAGAAATGTCGGATGTCCATCTCAGTGATCCTGTTGGGGACTGACCCTTTGGGGATGGTCAGTTGTTTTCGTTTGTCTTGGGAAATTACACACTCTGGATGGCTTAATAAAAAACAACCCAAATATAAAGATCACAATAGAATATATGTCTCTACAAATACAGTTTTCCAAAACCCAGAACTGAATGACTTTAGAGTTGTAGGGCATGTCAGGACAGAGTCAGTGTCTGGTGTCCTGAGACTGCCTAAGCAGGGACATTTCTCTTGGTATGTGACAAGCTGTCACTAGAAAGTGAACCGTTCCCCTTTATTGGTTTCTAAGAGTTTGGCCCTTTAGAGAGTTTCCTTATCTAATTGAGCTTTTGGTGACATATTTTATTCTCTCAACAACTTTCACAGGATGAAATATTATCTTAACTAGGTCAGCCAGACCTTCCATGAACTAACTCTTTCTTGCTGGATACTTTTATCTTAGGGAATGACTGGAATCCTGAAACCTGATTCTGCTCTGCTGTGGAAAGAATGAGCACCTCATATATACCATCCTCACATCTTGGGCAGCGGGTTGCTAAAAACCATAGCTGTGTGCCATGTAAAAACTCGAGGCATGGTGAAGTAGAACTAGCAGTTTTGGAGTATTTTGGAAAGACTGGTTCACTTGATTTCTGTACAAGTCTTCCTCACTTTCTTTAACCATAGGAACTGCATATTTTCAGGTTTGAAAGATCCTTAAATCAGCTTATATGATGAAGACTCACTGCCTGTCGGAAAATCCCTTCCCTCTTTCCTGAAGATGTACTTGAGGGTGTCTCCCCATTCTCTTTTCTTTCAGCATTTCTTTGTTCATTATTTTTTCCCCATGCCAGCCACCTTAAATTCTTTTAGAATTAATTCTTTATAGAATTAGAATTCTTTTCTGGATTATGACAATGGGAGTAGAAAACAGTGTTATTCAGTGGACCTTTATCCAGAGAACAGGCAAGAGAGGAGATAGATTGGGGAGCAGGGAGAAGGATATGGAAGAATCACAGGCATCTAGCCTCGACCTGGAAGAAAGGCAGGGTAACAGACCATGTAGGATAGTCTGGGAGAGGAATCATAGTTGGGAAGAGGATGACGAGCTTAGTATTGGATGTGTTGCATTGGGATTGTCAGGGGTAAACTGAAATAGAGACACAAACAGCCTAATGTCAGAAGCTCAGGTTCACAAGGCAAAATTTGTGAGTGTATTAGTTTCCTACAGCTGCTGTAAAAAAAATTATCAAAAATGCAGTGGCTTGAAACAATACACATTATCCTCTTATAGCTTTGGAGATCAGAAATCTCAAATGAGTCTCACTGAAATTAAGTTGTCAGCTGGGCTGCATTCCTTCTGGAGCCTCCAGGGAAATAATTTGTCTCTGTGTCTTTTCCAGCTTCTCTATGCCACCTGAATTCCTTGGCTTGCAGCCCCTTCTTCCATCTTCAAAGCGAGTAGTTGAGTGTCTTCAAGTATTTCTGATTGTTACTCTCCTGCCTCCTTCTTTTACGTATAAGGATCTTTGTGATTACATTGGTCCCACCAGGAAAATCTACACACCTGCAAAGTCCCTTTTGCCACGTAAGACAACTTATTCTCAGGTTCCAGGAGTTAGGACATACACACCTTTGTGGGGGTGGGGAGCAGTATTCTGTCTACCACAGGAAGCATTTATATAGAGGTAATAATTAAATTTAACTTTTTATTATTCTCTATGCCCAAGAGAATGTGGGTAAAAAGAGAAGTCCAGAGTGCTAAAGAACAAGACTTTCTCATCGTGTTTTCCCATATCCTCTTCCTGTTTCTCTTTTCAGTATCAGGGTTAATTCTTGTCACCCACTGTATTTCCCTCCCCACTCTTTTAACTGCTCTCCAGTGTCTTATCAACAAAGGCTTCAACTCTGGTGCTAAAAGAGAGTGATTTCATTTTTTTAAGTTAATTTTTACCTGTATACTTGCAAAGCACTAGAATTTTCTTTTAAATGCAAAGGGAGTCCTTATTTTTATTTTTCTAGTCTTAGTGTTATCTTCAGTCATATCTGCTTAGGTTGAATTTCATACAATAACATTGTAGTTGCACTACTGCTAAGTCACTCACATATAGTTCATCCTTTTCCTCCACTTAAATAATGAGAAACTAATTATGTTTTCAATAGTAGGACTAAACTGCTGTGCTATTGACAAAGTCTTGATTGATTTGAAATATGAGAAAGCTGATGCCCTTCACTGAAATAATTGGCTTAGACTCTGGGGAGTCCACCTGAATTTAACTGTTGAAAATGCTTATTGAGTGCTGGCTTCCCAGTGGGTCCTGTGCTTGGTGCTGCTACACACTTGATCTAAGAGGCGGTGTGCTGTAGGCTGAGATACCACTTAACCTGTGGCAGCAGGGTGTGTGAGCTTTGGAGTCTGCATCCACTCATTTGACCATTGATTTTTTTCTTCAGTAAACATTGGAGTCCCTCTGATGTGCTAGGCATCATATTAAACCTGAGGGAATAGAATATTGAATAGACCATAGTCCCTAGTAATCAAGATACTTCAGTGATTGGGGTGAGTGGAAGAGACCCACAAGGAAATAGGCAACTATATTACACCATGATAAGTGCAGTGCTGTGACAGAGGGTGGTATACCTAGAGTATCATGGGGACAGATACAAGAAGAATCCAATCCAGATGTGGGGTTCCAGGGAAGGCTTCCTATAGAAGGTAATATCTAAGTTAGTCCTCCAAGGCCAGTAAGAGTTATTCAAGCAAATACAAAGATGTGGAGAGGGCATTATGATCCTTCCTGAGAGAAGTGCTTTCAGGTGGAAAAGATGAGGCAAGATAGCAGGTTTGAAATTCCTACTCAACTATTCTGGATATCCTTAAGAAATTACTTAAGCTGTCCAAGATTGAGTTCCTTCATTCTGTAAAATGTAAAATGTAAAATGAGCCTAACAGTGTCTCAAGGACTTGTCAAGGACATTGTGGAGTTGGGATTTAAAATATTATCTAAGGATAATGTGTTTCTTTTTTTATTTAATTTTTTCATCTTTATAAAACATTTGTTATATAGTAATACACCAGTGATCCTTACTGTGTTAGTCCATTCTCATACTATTGTAAAGAACTGCCGGAGACTGAATAATTTATAAAAGACAGAGATTTAACTGACTGACAGTTCCGCATGGCTGGGAGGCCTCAGGAAACTTACAATCATGGCGGAAGGGGAAGCAAACACATCCTTCTCCCCATGGTGGCAAGGAGAATTGCCAAGCAAAGATGGAAAAGCCTCTTATGAAATCATTAGATCTCATGAGACCTCACCCACTAGCATGAGAACAGCAGTATGGGGGTAACTGCCCCCATGATTCAATTACCTCCCACTGGGTCCCTCCCGCGACACACGGGGATTATGGGAACTACAATTCAAGATGAGATTTGGATGGGGACACAGCAAAACCGTATCACTTATCACTTCACAAAAGAACTAAAACACAAAATAACAAAAATAAAATCCCAACCTGAATACATTCTCAACCTAGCATGAATCAGGGTTACCTGTTCTGATAGCATCAATGTAATTTAGATTATTAAATAATTAACAATAATTTTATTTTGCCAATCACAGTTGAAGAACTTTTATCCTTAGTCCAATACATATGTATACACACACACACACACACACACACACACACACACACATATACACATATATATGTGTGTGTGTATACATATGTATATACATATATACACACATATATGTGTGTGTGTGCTAAATAAAGCTTGTTGATAAAGACTTATCATTTATTTTTTGAGACATTTTGACAAATCAGATGAATACACACCCACATGGCTTAAAATAGACCAATCATGGGCCTAAAATATAGCATGTGTTTTCTTTGATTTTTGTAATGTTTTTTCATAGGAAGTTTTCTTCCAGGGAAACCGTGAGTTTATTAAACTGGAGGTTCTCTTTCTGTTGTTGGTAGCAGCTGGGGACAGTGGTCATGACTAAGAGGGAATGAGAAGCATTATTTTAAGTGAGGACAGTTTAATCATGCTGACTGATGAACGCATCCTGCAATTTAGAACAATTTGTCCTTTCTATGCAAGTCTGCATCATCATTTGCTGTTGCTCTTGTTATAAATATATTAAGGACATAAGGATGCTGGGAACTACTTATTCTGGGGGAGCAGTCTTATAAAAATTATTTATTGTTTGGCATCATGAATTCATGGAAAATTGAAAAGTGGACATGGCATTGTGAGTCATAGAGTGTCAATGACAAGGTTAAGAATAACAGCTTTAATGTCAGAGAGACCTTGCTTTGAATTTAGGCCGCACTAGATAGGTCTGAAAAATTATCATTACCTTCACGCATCAGTTTTCTCATCTGTAAAATAGAGATATCAATAGTACTTTCCTCAAAAGGTACTTAAAGAAATTAAATGAAATAATCCACTAGAAGTAATTATGTTTGCTACAGTATTCCATGACAGATCAATACTATTAGATATCATTATCAAAGAACGTTTCTTGTTTTTTAAGAGATGAGCTCTTTTCATGATTGAATGGCCTTTTGAAAGTATAAGAGGAAGTAAAAAAAATACCTATTAGGTATGTGGAAGTAATCTCTGTACTGAATGTAGAGTCAAGAGATAGGAGGGAATACCTAATTCTAGAAATCTTTTCCAATGAGACCATCAAAGGAAAGCAGTCGTATATGGGCCAGAGTGGGAAAGGACATGAAACCTGAGATCTCAGGTGTGAATTTTTGTAGGCTGGCTTCGTACCATGCATGCATAGGTCCTGCATAAGTTGTTTGAATAATTATAAAGGTAATGAGATGTCAGTAAAACGAGTCAAGAAAGGTTCAAGTTAAAGTGATATGATCTTGAAAGCAGGCCCCTAAAGATTTTTTAAATTGTTGCCTTCTGAATATGATTTTATTCTAATAAGCTAATTAAAAGTGTAAAAATGAGCCTGAACATAGACTTATGTTTGACTCTTGTCTTATTTTTAAAAAATAAGTGCAGTGCTTTCTATTCCTCCCTCTTAAGATATAATTCCCAGCTAGGACACTTCAGGATAGATTGGTCAGGCTACTTCCATTAGCACGGCTATTCTTCCCATTGCAGGTGTGGGCCTGATCTATACACCTCTGAATTAATGGAGCCTCACTCCCTGTCACACAGGCAACTTGCCAAGTGGACTTCTTCTCTCCCTCAGCTCTGCAGAGGGCACTGCTGAATGCCTGTGAGTAGGCATGCTTAATTAAGTAGGGGTCCTTACTTTTAATAATGTTCTATTTTTAATTCTGAAATATTCTTAATTCTAAGGACAAGTCCACTCTTAAAAGGATCTGGACTGCAGGCTAAAAATGGTTTTTGGTGAATTTATTAGCCATTATTTAGGCTGAAAATAATCTGTTTTGTAAATCAGGAGAACTTGAACAATTACCCAGAGGTACCCTGAGCAAGTATCACATTGGGTCTGAACAGATTGCTGCTTTTTCTTTTTCTCCCCAGTGCTTCATATTACCTTTATGCCTCTAAGAGTGTGCTTAACTATAAAAGAGGCGATATAAACACGAATCTATGCGACAATATGCCGCATGACCCAGATCAAAGGCACTCTGGCTTTCCCTGAATAAAGGCTTCATGACAAGCCATTGCAAGAAATACTTCAGGGCTTTATAAGCCTAATTAGAATTTCATTAACTTAATCATAAATTACCCCTGGCTCAGGTCGGCTTGTTACCTTTTCCCTCTCAGTTCAGATTTTGACCCATGGGTTTCCTGTTTAATGTGGCAGCTGCTGAGATTCTATGTGAAGGATAGGCTTGAAATGCACGCAGTCAAGGGGCTATCTTTCTCAGTCTGTTTGAAGTACACCTGGAAATTGCAGGCTTAGCAGGAAGAGAAAAAGCTCAAATGCCCACAGATACTGCAGCTTGAAGTGGTAAATGGACTGCACTCTAAGGGAACATGGAGATATGCTGCCGCTGCACCAAGGCCGCTTTGGTCTTAGACAAATTCAGATCTCATTTAAAAAGACTTAATGTTCCTGATCTAAGTTTTAAGATTCACTTAGAATTTAAATCAGGCAACAGATAAAAATCAAAAGTTTGAAATGTCACACATAAACTTATCAGCTTATGGAAATGGAAGAATACTGAGGAAGCTGCAGCTGGACTGTTGTCCAGTAGCTGTGAGAGTTATGTGCTGCTCAAAGGCATGAATCCTGTATCACTTAAGACAATCTGCTGGCTGCTATAAGTTTGACAGTTCATGGCACATTGTAAATTCACCTGAATCTGATTTATGTGCGTGCAAACACTATAATGAGAAAAATTACTACAACTGTTAGTGGGAGATGCTATCTGAATGGGTGCCAAGATGCTGGCTGATTGTTGGTGCAATGCCAAGCTTTTTTTAAATATATATATATATGTATTCTTTCAAATCACAAAATTGCTTTGCCTGAGGGTCAATTTATAAATGCCTATGGAGTGTTTTTTATTTAATGTAGATAAATCATTCTGCATTTTAAATTGTTCAGGGTTTTAATTGGCAATATGTATGACATCTTATCTTGTTTAGTTTGATCTGGTTTTCTTTGCAGCCAAGGGCACAAGAGTTGACTGTCTCTGATAACAGTTATAAAAATGCCTTGATACTTATCTATACATTGCCTTAAAAAATACAACAGTATTTTTTTAAGTTGTTGGTGCAAGTGACTGAAATTCTTGAAAGATTTTTATTTCCTTTAGTGTTCATATCTTGAGGACTTCAGTTGGAATTCTAATTGCACTTAATTTCTGCCTCTTCACCCATCTGGAACATATCATGGCCCTAGACCAAGAGTTCTTAAACTATTTAATTTCTCTAGCTCTTGAAGGAAAAGCCCATTTACTTTTACAATTCTCTTATGAGGTTATGGGAATGGGTTCTTTAAAAATAAAGATTTTCGAGAAAATCTTTAAACTTTTTTGAAAAAAAAATACAGTTTATTTTAACTTTGGAAAACCTGAGGGAAATCTTGTTGAACTCTAGATGCATAACTCAATCCAGGATGGTGAGAACTACCTGGCCATCTCTGGAGTGTTTTCTGTTTAGAGCCAAATAAGTGATTGCTCAAGGTAGGGGAGAGAGTCTATCACTTCTGGTTTCACGAGTCCTGAGATTACTTTTTGTAATTATCTCAAACTAGCATTATAGTTCAGCATCAGGCCATTTCTCTCTGTCCTACAATATCACCCTGATAGGTCCAGCTAAACCCAGAGGCCCGAAATGTTCCTCTTCTTCTAATGTAAGCATGGCTGGGAAGAAGGGCAAACAACTGGGGCCTCAGACAAAGAAAAAGAATCGTAAGGTAACTGGCATTCCAAACCCGTTTAATGTAATCAGGCCAGAATTGATCTTTCAATCCAACATTCAAACCCCAAATTTATACTGAGTGCATACTACATTCAAGATACTCTATGAGGTATTGTGTTGTCAGGAAAAATTCTGAGAGACTGAATGGGCCCAAAAAGTGGGGGAGGGTTGGGTGGGAGAGGGAGAAAGAGAATTTGCTGTGTCTAGCATGACCTTCTGGGATATCTCTGATTTTCATTGTCTTTCTGCTATTTTATGATGCCGTAAGTTGTATAAAAAAAGGATAATAATGCAAATGATTCTTGTCCATGGAAAGGTAAATTAATTGTGTCTGGTGGGAAGAAATTGATTATAGCTCAGTGAATAGATCTGTTAGGCATCTACTTGTAAATTTATTTCGGAATTCCTTAACTGATTATATGGTTGGTACTTTAAATTATCCTCCGAATGGGTTATAACATCTTACTAGTCCCCTCACTCATTATTGTACTAAATAAAATATTTGACATGTGTTCATTTTGCATTTGTATAAAGGTCATGATTATCCCTCTTTTAAACATTGTCTTTGACAATTAAAAAATGACTCATACTTGCTCTTAAATTATTTGGTTTTTAATTGGGAAAATAAGATATATAACTACAAACAGATACACAGTTCTGAGCTCTGTCAGTCAATGAGGTTGGTGTTACTACATTTTTTTCAGAGGGAGGGGAGATCATTCTAATCAATAACTATTGTACTTATTATTCTTTCATTTCCTTTAACTAGTTGATTACTATTTGCAAGCAAGAAAATTCATGTGAAAAGATAAAAGAATAAAATTATAGGCTACTGTAGCCCAGAGAATGTTTTAAAAACACATTTTTGACAAGATTTTTTTATTATCAAAATAATAATATTATTTGGGAAATAATAAATCATAGAAAATAATAAAATTTGGAAACCATGGAAAAGTAGAGAAAATAAAAACAGTAACCCACAGTTTTACTAAGCAATGTGACCAACGTGGTATCTTTTCATCCAGATTTTCTATGCTTAGTTTTGTTGTTACTTGTTTTTGCTTCAGCTCAGTTTGGTTGGTTGGTTTGTTTCTCTTGCACAGTACATGCAGGCTGAATAATCCCCCTTCCCCTGCTTAGATATCCACATCCTAGTCCCTAATTCATGTAATTTGTGAATATATACAATTACGTGGCAAAGTAGAATCAAGGCTGCAGATGAAATAAAGGTTGCTGATCAGCTAACTTTAAAACAGGGAGAGTATACTGGATTATTCAGGTGGGCCCAATGTAGTCATAAGAAAATGTGGCACATATACACTATGGAATACTCTGCAGCCATAAAAAAGGATGAGTTCGTGTCCTTTGCAGGGACATGGATGAAGCTGGAAACAATTATTCTCAGCAAACTATCACAAGGACAGAAAACCAAACACCACATGTTCTCATTCATAGGTGGGAAATGAACAATGAGATCACTTGGACACAGGGCAGGGAACATCACACACTGAGGCCTGTTGTGGGGTGGGGGTTGGGGGAGGGATAGCATTAGGAGAAATACCTAATGTAAACGATGAGTTGATGGGTGCAACAAACCAACATGGCACATGTATACCTATGTATCAAACCTGCACGTTGTGCACATGTACCCTAGAACTTAAAGTATAATTAAAAAAAAAAAAGTGGAAGAGAGAGGCAGAAAAGGGAGAACCAGACAGATGGCAGCACAAGAAGGACTCCATCTGTTGCTAGAGAAGAGAGCCACAAGCCAAGGAATGTAGACAGCTTCTAAAAGCTGGAAGAAGTGAGGCATTTGGGTTTTCCCCTAGAGCATGCAGGAGGAATGTAGTTTTGCTACATCTTGATTTTAGGTCACTGAGATGCATTTCAGACTTCTGACCTCCAGGGCTGTGAAATAATAGTTCATATTGTTTAAGCCTCTGAGTTTGTGGTAGTTTTTTTACAGCAGCAGTAGGAAACTAATGTAGTGCATGTATGTAGATTTTTTGTCTATAAAATTATATGCACCTATGTGTTATTTAAAACATTTTTCAAACATAATTTGTAATGATACCTAATCATTTACTTATTATTTCCATTATTAAAATGATACTCCAATTCGTATCTTTGGGCATAAAGCTTTTTCTATATTTTACATTATTTTCCTAGGATAGAATCACTGTGTCAAAAGGTAGAAGTATGTTTAGAGCAAAAGGGTTGTGAAGAAAAGGCAGATTAAATGTTATAGAATTCATATTTCTGACCCATGAAGGATATATTTTCAACTTTTACCAAACTCATTCAAAAGAACCGAGTAAATAATCCTTCCTGCCGCCTTTTCTACCCCCCTTAGTTGTCTAGTGTGTTACAATCCAAAAACAAGATGAGGCAAATTCCAGAGATCTGGAATGATCTGCGTGAACATCCTGTAGACTCAGGTATAGAAAGCTGCAGAGTGGTGTCATTAATCTTAGAAATAAGTTAAGTGGCTAGGGTCCAGAATTTAGCAGAGCGCAATGAAGAAAAAAACGTTTCCTTCAAGTACATTAAGAGTGACAGTTTTATGCAATCAGGATTCATACATGACAGTGACCATCTTCGGATGGGGCCTCAGAGGCTAATGAGTACAACCTTTAGAATGCAAGAAGGTATTTTGAGGATAAACAAGTGATGCTGTATTTGGTACCATGGTTCAAGTGTTTGCTAATTTCTTACAATGAATAATTTAAGCTAAATGTTAGAACCAACTGTATTATTTTAAATATGTTATTATAATCAGCTGCAGTGTAACCCATCTGTAATTCTTACTCCATAGGGCAGGCTCAGTGATTCCCAATAAATTCTTTTATTGTCTTCCAAGGGTTATAATAATGAACCTCTACAGGTATTTTTATAGCTAGAATCTGACAGTGTTGACACACTTGACAACTGCAGTCATAATGCCTGTATCTGGAGCATGCAAACCAAGTAAATAATGCCTTCTGCCTCTTTCTTCTCCCATGTTCGTATTAAATATTGCCTTTGTCTGGATGTACTACACAACACCCTATCACATCTTAAGCTTTGTACTTTCAGAGGCGAATTCTTGAACAAAGATAAAACGATGCAATCAGTTTGGGAGGAAAAAAGTGAAGCACTGTGTCGATTAGCTCTTTTCTGGATTCCCTAGATAACTAGCGGAAGGGAGGTTTTGAACTTTGAAGCCAAACAGTGAAATGAAGAAGCCCTGATTTTTACATATGAAGGAAAAAAATGAAACTGGGGAATAGAAATGAACTCAAAGGTCCAAGCATAGTGTTAATTATTATATTTTAATTTTTCAATTTATGTAAAGTTTCTCAGCTATCACTTTATTATCTCTTTAACTTATTTTACAGGTTCTTTAATGTAATATGCTATGAGAAGGTAGATCAGGACAAGTTGGACTGTTTATTAGTGGGGTTTATGGGCTGGGAGATGATCTCATGTGAGACATTCCCCCAGGAATGATGCTCATCGTTAAACAGCAAGAGGATAGCTGGGTGGAAAATGTGTCATTCCAGGATGGAGTTGAACCTTAACTCTGCTGTGAAATGGTATAAAATTAGAAAAGGAGAGCATTAAGTGTTGACCTAGAAGACTGAAGAAAGGTTATAACTTCATTAGAATACATTTTTTTTTGAATGGGGTAAATTTTATATGGGATTACAAGGAGGATGGGGACTATTATAGATATTTATTTAAACTATTGGGAGTAATAAGGAAGAACACTGAATAAAATGGCAACAATCGCCAGAAGTAGCTCTATTTATTTTCCCAGGGTAAAGACATTTGCTTGGAATAAAATGGATTTCTGAATAATCACCTTCATCCTAAATGAGTCTACCTGGGAAGAAAAAGCTATTAAGCCATCAATGTACCCCCTCCTCCTTCCTCACCTAGGTATTAGAACAAAATGTTTGCAAACCAATGACCTCATTTTCAGGTAAGGATTGTAAGTTAACAACCTTGCTTATGGAACCTCAATTTGCAAACATATTTCAAATATTTACCTAAATACTTAAGTCTCTAAAATGTCAATTGTTTGAAGATGAGATTTTGAGGACCATGAGGCTATATAAAGAAGTACATGATAAGGCTACTTTGGAGATGTGAATTTGCAAAAAAAAAGTGTCTGAATTTGCAGTTGTTTCAACATTCAATTGTGTGAATAAATTAAGTATTCTAATTTCTTGTTCTTGCTTTGCATATGTAAATATGGTATTTTGTACTTGTGGAATTATTTAGATAATTGGAGAGTTGGATGCTGAGCTCAAATATCAAATCTTTCAAAGGCACATTTGGTTGAAAAAAGAGTCGGACAATTTTTTTCTTCTTTAGTTTTTTGAGTTTTGAGAAAAAGAGTCCTTTTGGTCAACTTATTTTGCTACCAACCTTTCAGAGAGAAATGGCAGTTTATGTGTGGAAATTAATGAGTCAAGGAGAAAACATAATTAGTGACTTAGAAAGGGAAAGTGAGATTAATGTGGAAAAACTCAAATGCATATGTGCCACACACTCTGCCACTGGGCAGCATCAGGGAACTGTGTGCTAAGGGGAAGTCTTAGGTCAGGTGTTGATTGGCCATTGATTTATTCAATAAATATTTATTGAGCACCTAATATATAGCGGGCAGTCTGTTAAGTGCTGGTGATTCAGGAGTGAGTGAGACAGATGAAACTAGGGCCCAATGGAGAAGACCCAGAAAAATGATCATCGAAGGGTGTGGGCCCACTAGAGTGAATTGTAGTGTTGACCACGAGGTGAGTACACTTTTCATTTCTACCTCATTGGCTCCCTGTTAACTAGGGAAGTTTCTGAAAAGGTCTTATGGAACATTACATACCTCACAGTTTCCCTGGACCTTGCAAGGCAAGGGTTGGGTTGCAGATGATACTCAGAGAATGGCCCTTCTGAATACACAGCCACGTGCTGCATGATGACGTTTCTATCAATGATAGACCACATA
Source organism: Homo sapiens (assembly GCF_000001405.40). Taxonomy (NCBI): domain Eukaryota; kingdom Metazoa; phylum Chordata; class Mammalia; order Primates; family Hominidae; genus Homo; species Homo sapiens. The sequence goes on from NC_000002.12 coordinate 191,804,234, forward strand.
TATGACGGTGGTCCCATAAGATTATGATGGGGCTAAGAAATTCCTATCATCTAGTGATGTAGTCATAGTAATGTCATAGCACAATTGCTTAACTTTAAAAATAAATTTAATGTATCCTAAGTGTACAGTGTTTATAAAATCTACAGTAGCGTACAGCAGTGTCTTAGGCCTTTACATTCACTTATCACTCACTGATTGACTCACCCAGAGGGACCTCCAGTCCTGCATACTTCGTTCATGCTAAATACTGTAGACGGGCATATCATTTTTTATCTTTTACACTGTATTTTTACTGTCTCTTTTCTATGTTTAGATATGTCTAAATACATAAATAATTACTGTGTTATAATTACCTACATTTTTCAGCACAGTAATAGGCTATACAGGTTTGTAGCCTAGGAGGAATAGGCTATGCCACCATAGAGCCTAGGTGTATAGTAGCCATCCCATCTAGGTTTCTGTAAGTACACTATATGTTGTAAGAATATTTCGTTCTCACAACAACAAAATTACTAATGATGCATTCCTCAGAACGTATCCCTGTCATTAGCTGATGCATGATTACTTTGGTGATCTAGGTTTTGTGTTTCTCAAGCAGGGTCAGACCATTCATGTTGTTAACAAAGAGTTATTTAGCTTCTTCTGGGTTCCAGGAATGGTAAGGTTGCGATGGTGATGAATCATTCATAGACCCTGCTCTCATGGGTCTTCCAGGCTAGTGGGAGGGATAGATATTAATCAAATAGTCAAGGAAACAAAGATGTGATTACAAACTGCGATTCGAAGTATGAAGCTCTGCAAAAGCACAGAACGGAGTCTTTCATACCGTGCTGCGATCTGAAGGGATGGAGAGAGTTTAGTAGGGGAGTGGGAGGGAGACGCACATTCCAGAAAAAGGCCCGTTTATGACAATTCCTGGGATTGGGGAGGAATAAGGCCGTTACGGCTGGACTGCAAAGAATTTAACAAAAGAGACAAGATTATGATCAGGGAACATAGATACAAACAGATGGAATCCTGCTGATGCTAGCTGGGTGGCTGGAGATTTCTAGCAAGCACAGAGAAGCTCTCTGCTTCTAGTCAAGAAAGGGGCTATGCAGGAACATTAGATAACTTGTTTTTTCAAAGTTAGGTTAACATTAGACAAATTTACTGAATGGGAGTATTTTGTTGTAACACTTTAAATCCAAATGGAGTATGATACTATTATGAAATACCAACATGCCATTTAGGAGTTCATCTACATCTAGTCATTTTCTCTATGTCATGGGCATTAAGGTGTGATCTGATAACACATTTCTTACAATCTAGCACAGTGCCTGCCTGGAGTAGGCACTAAAACATTTTTCTGGTAGATTAAGTTTAATTTAATCACAATAATGATTACCCTGTAGTCTAAAACCTAATGAAAACCTTTATGTAAGGGGGACAGAATAAGGAAGACAAAAGGAGGCCATAACTAAATAATTTACATTTGCATCGCAAAGGCTGAGTTGCACAAGTCCTGGAGAAAGGATTTTTTTTTTTTAATTACTGAAATTTTGGGACAATTCAGAGGCATTTTCTTATGTTAAATCTTGAGACTTTATGATTGTGAGAATTTTATCTGCATAATCTACCTGCAAAAGGTGCATCTTATCTGACAAAAAGCTTCAAACTCATTAGAAGAGGGAGTCCTATATGTTTTCATGAGTGTGTTGTACTGTAAGCTCTGGTATCAAGACTTGTATTCTGATTTAATAAATCCACTTCTAGTTTTGGTTGGATAGAATATTTCTGCTTATCTTGATTGCATTTATAACGGCAATTTTCAAACAAGAGTCCATATAAACCTGGGGGTACACAGACTTTCTAGGAGCTACAAGGTCATGGATACCTTTAAGGGAACCAATGGCCAAATCCCCAGCTTGTATGTGTGCTATGGTTTAAATGTGTCCCCTCCAAAATTCAGGTGTTGCCAATGCAACAGTATGGAGGGTTGAGACCACTAAAAGGTGATGAGGTCATGAGGGCTTTTCCTTCATTAATGGGATAAAGGCCGTTGTGAAAGAGGCTTCAGGCAGTCCTCAGCTGGCTCTTCAGCTCTTCTTCTAGGTAAGCCCACAGCATTCTGCCCCTCTGGAGGATGCAGCCTTGATCTCGTACCTCCCAGATTAAAGAAGCGTGAGAAATACATGTGTCTTCTTGTTAAATGACCCAATCTACAATATTTTGTTGTGGTAGCACAGACTAAGACAATGTGTATGTTTTCCTAACACTAATCTTCTGGACAGAATGACTGTGGTGGGCCAGTTTTCCTACCCCACTTCCCCTTTTATAATCACTCTCCTCTATTCTCTATAAGAAAATTACATCTCTCACCCATCTCTAATCTTACCATGGTGTACAGTGCTGGTATTTGAGATTGCATCATTCCCATAAAAGTGAAAGCTTTGGTGAGAATTACTGAAACATGATACATCTTATTTTCATATTCTGGTAACAAACTCATGTCTTTCTGTCTCAGTCTATCTAAAAATGAATTTGAATTCATAGGTAAGGAAGTACAAGATGCAATTTAGTGGTGTTTCTTAAAAATAGACAAGGAAGCTAGACATTTTCTGTTAGTAAGTCTGACTTGGTTGATTGGTTTGACAGTGAAGACAAGGTTTGCCAATTAGTTCCGTTGACATTTTCTATAAGCTTAACGAATGAAATTTTCAGCCCCAAGATTTTTGAAAAATATACATTTGATGCATATGTTAATGTGTAAATAATCATAATCATTTAAACTTACAGTAAAAGTTTCAGAAGTCAAACTTAATGATATGAGAAGGGATACATAGTTTTTCAAAAAGTCATGGATTTGAAATATTAGCTGATAGGAAGAAGAAAAAGTATGGTGGCTCAGTGAATGAAAAGGACTATCCCAATTATCTCACTAGGAAAATGACTTCATGTTAATTAAATAATTTAAACATTAAGAAAACAGGTTTCCTGGAGAATGATTGTATATACATTTATAAATAAGTAAATACACGCACACACACACACACACACACACACACACTTCCCACAGTTGTTCTGAGGGCAAGTGTTGGATTTGTAGTTTTTTCATTGACACTCTCCTCTTCTTATAGGGGAGCATAGGTTATGATGATCAGCAAAGTAGTCTTCTAGACATTGAGAAACAAATCTGTCATTCCAATTTTTAAACACTCTGAAGTCAGGGCCAAGATAAAATAATGTTTTGACCCTCGATTTATTATCAAAAGTCTATTTTCTCATTAGAAAAGTAATATTTGTTTCAGAAAATTTTGAAAATAGCAAAAATTATAAGGAAAACAAAGTCAAAACCAGCAATATATTATTGTTTAGCTGTATACAGATACTCTTCAATTTATGATAGGGTTATTTCTGTAAGTTGAAGAGTATTTGTTTTTGGGAAATAAACTCATTGTAAGTTGAGAATATCATAAATTGAAAATGTATTTAATGCACTGAACCTACTGAACATTGCAGCTTATCCAAAGCTACCTTAAATGTGTGCAGAACACATACATTGGCCTACAGTTGGATAAAATCATCTAATGAAAACCCTATTTTATAATAAAGTGTTGAATATCCCATCTAAGAGTATTGTATTGCATACCATTAGCCTGAGAAAAGATCAAAATTCCAGTTTCAAAGTATGGTTTCTACTGAATGCATATTGATTTTGTACCAATATAATGTCAAAAAATCATAAGTCAAACTATTATAAATTGGGGACCATCTGTATCTTTCTGTTCATTTTTCTATGTATAGAAATTTATTTCTTTTTATTAGAAATAAATTTTATTTATTTCTAATTTATTATTTATTTATTTATTAATTCATTAGAAATAAATAAAACTGTTACATTAGAACCTTACTGTGACAGTTTGTAACTACTTTTAAATTTTATCAACATATTCTGATCATTTCACCATTTCATTAAATGTTTTTTATGACATCATTCCTAATGATTGAATAGTATTCCATTAGGAGGAGCAACATAATTAATTAACTCTACATTTTTCATACTTGAGCAAATGTATGGATCCTTTTCAAAAGAAAGATAAATTTTCATGCTCCCTCCAGGCTTGATTTATGTTATTTTCATTATGTTTTTCCCCCGCTATGTAGAAATATAAAATTAGAATAAATTTTTTTATGATGCTAACAACTACAAAACCAATACAAATTTATGTTTAAATTTTGACATAAAATTAATATAAGTGAAATGTCAACAGTCACTTAAAGTGATAGCTGATATTTAATAGTAGGATGATAAGTGTTTTATATTTTCTTGGTGTGCTTCATTTGATTTTGAGCCTGATGGACTATCATTTCAGTCATCTTGAATATAATAATATTTTTCTTCTACAATAAACTTATTTTAAGCCAATGATTCATTGTTTTTATGGATCAGTCAGTTTAACAGTGCACCTCAAAGTACAGTACCATCAAAAGTTTAAACAAAAATTCTTAACTACTAAACTTAATCTTGTTAGATTCAAAAATAGCTCCTCACAGTGTAAATATGACATTGACAGCTATTTTCTAAGTGATAATTCAGCTCTCCCACAACTGCTGTGGCCTCCTTGTTCTCTAGGAGGTTTGCCTTTCCTTGGCACTATTGTGACTATAAGTGCAAACACAAACTTGGCATCAAAATCATAGCAGAGCTGAGGTGGTCTACCAGATCATCCAGAATATCTTTACATTGACATTCTTTAGATTATTTTCAACATAAAGACACTAGATTAAAAAAGGAAACCTAGGCAATACCATTCAGGACACAGTCATCGGCAAAAACTTCATGAATAAAAGACCAAAAGCAATGGCAACAAAAGCCAAAATAGACAAATGGGATCTGACTAAACTAAAGAGCTTCTGCACACAGCAAAAGAAACTATCATCAGAGTGAACAGGCAACCTACAGAATGGGAGAAAATTTTTGCAATCTATCCATCTGACAAAGGGCTAATATCCAGAATCTACAAAGAACTTAAACAAATTTACAAGAAAAAAAGAACCCCATCAAAAAGTGGGCAAAGGATATGAACAGAGACTTTTGAAAAGAAGACATTTGTACAGCCAACAAACATATGAAAAAAAGCCCATCATCACCGGTCATTAGAGAAATGCAAATCAAAACCACAATGAGATACCATCTCACGCCAGTTAGAATGGCGATCATTAAAAAGTCAGGAAACAACAGATGCTGGAGAGGATATGGAGAAATAGGAATGCTTTTACACTGTTGCTGGGAGTGTAAATTAGTTCAACCATTGTGGAAGACAGTGTGTATGGTGATTCCTCAAGGATCTAGAACTAGAAATATCATTTGACCCAGCAATCCCATTACTGGGTATATACCCGAGGATTATAAATCATTCTACTATAAAGACACAGGCACATGTATGTTTATTGTGGCACTATTCACAATAGCAAAGACTTGGAACCAACCCAAATGCCCATCATTGAAAGACTGGATAAAGAAAATGTGGCACATATACACCATGGAATACTATGCAGCCATAAAAAGGATGAGTTCATGTCCTTTGCAGAGACATGGATGAAGCTGGAAACCATCATTCTCAACAAACTAACACAAGAACCGAAAACCAAACACCATATGTTCTCACTCATAAGTGGGAGCTGAACAATGAGAACACATGGACACAGGTACGGGAACATCACACACCAGGGCCTGTCAGGGGTGCCGGGTTAGGGGAGGGATAGCAGTAGGAGAAATACCTAATATAGGTGACGAGTTGATGGGTGCAGCAAACCACCATGGCACGTGTATACCTATGTAACAAACCTGCATGTTCTGCACATGTACACCAGAACTTAAAGTACAAAAAAAAAAAAGAATTAAAAACATAAAAAAATAAAAAAGACCGTCTTTTATAACTCAGACCCTTAAGAATAAGGCTTTTGGAGTCCTCAGTCGCTTGGAACAATACAAAATTTATTATCTTATAGTTCTAGAGGTCAGAAGTCCTAAAATCAGTGTGTCAGTATGGCCATGTTCCTTTTAGAGTCTCTAGGGGGAAAAGCCTGTTTCCTTTTCCAACTTCTAGAGCCTGCCTGCATTCCTTGGCACATGGGCCCTTCTTCCACCTTCAAAGAGCATCACATCAAACTCTGCTTCCATTGTCCCATCACCTTCTATGACTTGGACTCATTTGCCTTCCGCTTATAAGGACCCTTGTGATTTCACTGGGCCCACCCAGGTAGTTCAGCCTAATCCTTCCATCTCTAGATCCTTAGCTTAATCACATCTGCAAAGTACTTTCAACCAAGTAAGGTAATATATTCACAGGTTCCAGGGATAAGGACGTGGACATCTTTGGGGAGGCCATTTTTCAGCCTACCACATCCGAATGCTAAAAACTTGTTGTATATAAATTAAATAAAAAAGCTGTGATGTTGTATGTTGCATTCATTAGCCATGATTATTCTTTTAGGACAAAAGTCTAATGCTAGAATGTACCAACCACAAGATATATACATTAAAAAAAAGACTTTTAGTAAACAATGCCAAATTACCCTCTAGAAGGGTTACTTTGAATTACACTTTTGACAGTAGTGCATAGTTGCTTGACCGCATTGGTATTATTTGTTAAAAATCCTTTGCTATTTGATAGGAAAAAAATTCATTGTTATTTTACTTTTGAGTAATTTGCTGTTAGTTATTTTGATGATATTGAACATGTAAAAATATATTCACTGGTTATTACAGAAATAATTTAGATGGAAATTTTATTCAAGGCTCTACTGCTTTATAGGGTTTACTTTGTAATGTAGAAATCTCCTAACCTGTAAAATTACAGCATCAGGAGGAAAACGTAGAATGCCTTTGAACTAAAGTTCACATCTCAGAGTGTTTAGGAGAGTGAACTAATTGTTTAAACGGATGCAAGGATGATACTGTTCAGGATGAAATAACTGTTCAGTGCATTTTGTGTATATAGTTGTTACGCTCTTCTAACAGGGATAGCCTGTTCAATTATAGATGTGTGCCCAAGTTAGAGCATGTCACTTGTTTCTGCTACACTAGGCGTGGTCTTTCCGGGGAAAACATCTTATGATAAATTTACATTATTGCTAAATAAGAACTAAATATTTTATCTGAGAGCAATTATCATCTAATTCTTGTCATGAAAATATTGGCAGCAGGAAAATTTTCTTAATAGATAAAAATTGAAGGATTTTTATAAATTGTTTTATTACACAACTATTACATACTCATTCAATAAAGAATTTTCATTGCAGATCATCGGAAGAAACAAAAACAAGCTGTGGTGAAGAAGAAACGTTTTCTAAAGCCTCTTTTATCCCCAGGATGGTTGAGAAGTCAGAGGCCTGCAATGCTAGGAAGAGAGGGTCTAAAGTGGTAAGATTAAACACATAATATAAGATGGGTAGGGGTGTATAGGTGGCTATATTTTGTTTGCTTATACTCTATCTTTTCTCCCTCCAAAGCATCACTTGTTGCTGAGTTAGGGAATCCAGAAACAATGCAAGGCAAGCCTTGAGAAAAATCATGCAAAATATTGCTTTCAGAGTTTGGAGAGGCAACAATATCCTTTCTTCTTTGCTCAGTCCCGCTGGGGCTTTGCTTTCCTTGAAGAAGATGCGTCAGTGGTTTTCTTTCTTTAAGATATCTAGGAGGAGGCTGTTTTTAGCTGAGAGCTGCTGCTTTGCCTATCACTGCAGTGTCGTGTAGGATGCCTGGTAGAGAAGGCAGCTGGAGAGGAGGAAGTCGGAAAGTGAATGCCTGTAAAGAAAGAGCTCAGGAATAAAAAGAGAATATGCTAGGCTGTGCGCACCCAGCAGGTGCAGCTTTCAGGCGTGGCAGAACAGGGTGGGTGCCTTTGGCAATCTCTAGTCTCTTGGGATCTTTTATTTGTTTGGTATTCTAAGAAGATCTGACTTATTTGTACCATTTCAATGATATTGTGAGATTAATATGTTTCCTGGTGCATAGTAATTAACATCAGGCTCTGCAGAATGGAATATTCCAGGACTTAGAGAATGCTGGACATTTTATGGGCTGCAGCCAGCAGATGGTGATAGCGTACCACAAAAAAGCCAATGAAGCGGGCTTGGTGAAGCTGGGAGGTTCAGTTTTGTTTTGCTTTGTTATTTAAGCTTGACAATACCCATCTATATATCCTGTGGGTGCACAGTGTTTGAGCCCAGTCTGGTCTTAAACTTGTTTTATGATGATATCATTATTTTTTACTGCTACAAATTAACTGTCGGTTTCAATCTACCCCATGTTTCAGCTGCCTTCAGGGATCATCTTGTCAGTTATGCAGCTTTCCAATTTTATGGCTGAGATCAAGAATGATTCCTTAAAGGCACATGGGAAACACAGTGAAATGTGGGAGAGTGGATGTGAGCTCTGCTACATGGCCGATATTATAGGTGCACAGGAAAGATAGATAAGGGCAAACCACTAAGGCCCCAATTCAGTTTGAAATTTGACTGTCTTGACATTTACTTAGGTGCAATCATTTATCTAGATATTGATGGTGACCTACTATCACTGGAATAAAATGGAGCTAGAGGAGTTTCAGTATTATTTTACAGAGTTATGTTCAAACATGTGAGAATGTAAGGACTTGTGGGCACACCAATATTTTCAGGTCCACAGGAAATTCTTTCACTAGGACATAAAGTCATTCATTCATTCTTCCTTGTGTCCAGTGCTTCTTGAGTGCTTATTGGGTGCTTATCCTTGTTCCACGCGCTAGGAAGTCCTTGCAGACTTACCTCACAGGAACTCCTCGTTGCTGCCTATCTTTTCTTGAAGTGTAAGGGCGAAAGGAGGTTAGGATCCCCTTTATAGAGAGCTGGCAGAGCACCATTGATTGATGATAAACTTGAAGGAGAAAAGGGTCATATTCTAGTTTGCTCCAGTCAAAGATTTCCATCAGGAATAGACTGTTGTAAATCTGCTGCTGAATTCTGCTACTGGCCGGCATACTGTCCAAAGATGTACTGAGAGACATTGGGAAATCCCAAAAGTCAGTTAGAAAGGTCAGGCTATTCTTCAAATGTTAGATGGACAAAGTAAGCATGGGTTCAAGCCCCCTGTCAAATCATCTGCAGTCTACAAATAGCTTATTTCACCAGCTTCCTAACTAATGTGGTATCTTCTTCTAGAACTTGGCGAGTTTTATCAGGATTAAGTAACGATGGTTCCCCTATAGCCTGCCCATTATGAGCCAGGTCCTTTCCAGGTATTACTTTAATCTTTATGACACTCATTCAAGCTGGGCATTATTATACTGTTTTGATATATAAGATAACTGAAGCTTAAAGAAGTTGATTAATTTGCCAAGTATGTAGCCAAGTTGGGAATTAAACCAAGGTCTGTCCATGCCCCTCCGACTATGCCATACTCTCTCTCTTTTGAAGAATTGTTTGCTATAACATTGTTTCATTGGCCAGAACAAGTATGGAAGGGAAATAAAGGAAGCAGTCCCAGGATTTGTGCTGAGAGAGGCTGACATCTGTAAGGGGATCAGGCAGAAGATATAATATACAGGAACCCAGAAGTGTCCCATCATTTGGTCTGCAGGGCTTTGGAATATTGGGAAACAAAATCATCAGAATTTTCTGGGAGGTGGGTGGTTAGCCTGCAGAAATAGGGTGTCTTGTTCCAAACAGAGGCTTCAGAGCATCAGACAGACTGTGGAGTTAAAAGACGAGAAGCAAAGTGCAATTAGAACTGCCATACCAGGAAAACCTTTGCTTGAATGCAGGCTACAAAAGATGGATAGCGATGCATTGGTCTTTTCAGCTCCACTCTCAGGCAGGGATAACAACATGACCGGCAGCAGCATTTTGAAACACAGACAGCCACCACCACTGATATTTATTTATAGAGAGAAAGTGCGCGAGGTGCACAGAAACACTTTGAACACTAAGCGCAGTGCAAATGGGCTCACTATTGATTCTTAGTGGAAACGTTCATGTCTGCCTCATGAACAAATATTACTCCTGAGACCATCTTTAACAAAATATTTAGTCTGACCTCTCCAGACTGCATTTACAAACTCATTTCTCTTTTCGTTATGTTTTAGTCCTTTTCACCGTGATGTAAGTAGGCTCTCCAGCAGTCCCAGAAGACTTTCACAAGAAGAGTTTCAACAACAGAAAATAAGCCTAAGTGATTGTGTGGTAGGTTCCATCAAAAGGTATCGTGGAAATACTACAGAAGAAGAATGAGAAATTATAGGAAGTTAACATAAAGGGACACAAGGGCACATCAGGGTGTAACATCAGCTGGTGTGGCAGATCTTGGAATGCCAGGAAGCAAAGTTGTCAGACAGTGTCTGTGGGGTTTTCCACCCCCATCGTGGCTCCATTTCCACACGTGTGTCATTAAGTCCATTGTGACTGGACACAGCCAAGTGTGGAGAACCACTTAGGAAACTTTAAGAATCCATTAGAACCATTAGATCTCTTCTGAGCTAGCCAGAATAATTAAATCTATGTCCAATTGGAGACTAGTGTAGCTGCCGATTTTACTTACCTTTCAAAATAATCGAGAGGAAATTCTTATGTGAGATTCACTCACAGATGCCTCCTAATGCATCTTTAAAACATTCTACTCATCTCCAGTCAAAAATGGCTTCTTATTTATGTTGCTGAAGGGCATTTTTCATAATGTACTGTGACTTTATTTTAGTAGTCTGTGAACTAAGGTTACCCATAGAATGGTTGGAAATTAAGCAGTTTGTGACTATAAGTGATGTAAAAAAAATCAAACTGGATATTTATTTGATTGCTCAAAGTTCTGAGTGCATTATCTAGATAGCTTGTCCATTTTTGTCTGGGTTAATGTCAGAAGTTTTCAATTGCAAGTCCCTCCAGAGCAGGACTGATGCCATCTCCATCAGTTTAAGAGCCCCAGGTTCCTCATCCAATAAGCATGTCTTGAGTGCCTATGATGAAACACAAGTTCTTGACCGGCACAGGGTGCTCTTGTCTGGAGATGGCAGTGAAGACATTTTTCTTCCTGCATAAATATGTGCAGGAAATCAAAGCTTTTTTTCTTGCAAACTTACCTTTCCCCTCTCCTGATCCTGTAGAAAGACAGGGAAAATGAGGCCTTTTTTTGTTTATTATTATTATTTTTTAATTTTGAGTATTCAATTCAAAGCTAAAGTTGAGGTACATATAAATGATAAATGGCTCTATGCTAAGGAGCTTGCCATTGTGTATATGGCTGTGTAGCAGACATTTGGCTGTGTTTGTTTTTTTTTCCCTTTTGCTTTAATCCCCTCATAGAAAATAAACATAAACTGGGCACGGTGGCTCACGCCTATAATCCCAGCACTTTGGGAGGCCGAGGCTGGTGGATCACCTGAGGTCAAGAGTACGAGACCAGCCTGACCAACATGGTGAAGCCCTGTCTCTACTAAAAATACAAAGTTATCCGGATGTCGTGCTGCATGTCTGTAGTCCCAGCTACTTGGGAGGCTGAGGCAGGAAAATCGTTTGAACCCAGGAGGCGGAGGTTGCAGTGAGCCGAGATCGCGCCATTGCACTCCAGCCTGGGCAACAAGAGTGAAACTCTGTCTCAAAACAAACAAACAAACAAAAACAAACAAACAAACACCATAATGCAGTCTCCCAGTTACTACACTTTCTCTACCATTGCTTCCCTTTTAACCTTTTAATTCTCCCACCAACAGCTTAGAGGCACTTTTGGCCATCTAGCAGCCTGAAGCCTGCAAACCCCATAGTATTTGCAGTCTATTTAGGGATAGACAGGACAGAACCCAAGGGCATCTATCAGTCTTGGGAGCCTCATATGTTCACAGATTTTCTCCATGGAAATGTGTTTTTTTTTTTTTTTTTTTTTTTTTTTTGAGACGGAGTCTTGCTCTATCACCCAGGCTGGAGTGCAATGGCGCAATCTCGGCTCACTGCAACCTCTGCCTCCTGGCTTCAAGCGATTTTCCTGCCTCAGCCTCCTGAGTAGTTGGGACTACAGGCACGTGCCACCATGCTGGGCTAATTTTTGTATTTTTAGTGGAGACAGGGTTTCAGGAAATGTTCTTGGTTCACCTATATGGAATCTAAAGTATTCGCCTCTTGATACAAATTATTTATATTTATAGAAAATTTATTGTATTTCTATACCCTCTAATCACCTATTCTGGAAAATGTTTCCAAAAGTAGAGAATGAAGTGTAGGAAAAAGCCCAGGGGACTAGAGATAAGACGCTACTTCAAAACTTTAAGGCTGGAGCAAGTCACTTTTATAAGTCTCAGAATTCCCACCAGTTAAAGTGGGAGTAATAATGCCTTTCTTAGCTTTGCTTAATAGAAAAGAAGTACAAATCACTTAAAATTCCAAGGTACGTTGCAAGTGTATGGTTAGAAGAAAAAAAATAAAAACATTTATTAGGTTTCTTCTATATGTAACAAGCCATGCTAAGGTCATACTATTGTATAAGGAGAGAGCCTTATCTAAATATTCCTTACTGTGATTTTTGTACATAAACAGATCACCACAACCACAAGCAACAAGGCAGTATTGGTTTCACAGTTAAAACACTGGGTTTTAGGACGGGCAGACGTGGGTCCAAATTCTAGCTCTGCCATTTTGTGATCTTGTTATTTAACCTCTCTATTTTCTCATTCATAAAACAAAGCTAATAATTTCTACTTCATGGTGTTTCAATAGAGATGAAATGAGACATGGTATGATATAGTATTGGGCACAACTTGAGGATAAAATGATTATTTAGGAACATGGGTACCCATCTACCACAAAAGGTAATTTCTCTTTGCTTTAAGTGAAATATTATGCCCTCACAAAAGCTGTAAATTCATGAGTTTTTTTTTTAATTTCATAATCATACCTTAATTTCACATGAGAGAAATCTAGTTTTAGCCAAGAACCTTTCCCACCTCAAGTCTTTTCGTGGAGAATTGAGGGTCTTCCTTCCCACTGTCTTCAAATTTGTGGCACCATCAGCCCATCAGCCTTTGTAGTAGCTACTAATTCTTAGACTCATGGTCTGCCACAAGCTGTTGGCCAAAAGGAACCCATGGGTGTCTGATTGCTGTGCTGCTTCTGCCACATCAGGTAGGGCTGAGTCCAATCACATTGAGTCCTTGGGGATGTGCTTATCAGGGAGGTGTTAAGGTTTACCGCAAAAGCACATGGACTTTGAGCTAGACCACCTGCATTCAAATCTCAGCTTTGCCCATCTTTCCCTGCATGACCTTGAACAAATTACCCTTTTAAACCTCCACTTTTTCATTTAATGAGTGGATAATAGTAATAACCAACATTTATATAAGCTCTTTCCCGGTGCCAGGTTCTGTGCCGGTGTTTTACATGCACTAACTGATTTAACTTTATAGCATCTTGTGAAGTAGGGATTTAGTATTTTCAGTTTTCAAAAAAAAATTGTAGTAAAAAAATTTAAAATGAGATCTACCGCCTTAATACATTTTTAAGTGTACAACACGTTATTGTTAACAATAGGCACAACACTGGAGGGCAGGTCTCTAGAACTGATTCATTTTGCGTAACTAAAACTCTACACCCATTGAACAATAATTCCTCATTTCTCCCTCCCTGAAGGTTTGGCAACCACTGTTCTTCTCTCTGTTTCTAGTCTGAATGTGACTATTCTAGATACTTTATGTAAGTCAAATAATATAATGTTTCTCTTTCTATGACTAGTTTATTTCACTTAGGATAATGTCCTCAAGATTCATCCATGTTATCAGAAGTGGCAGGATTTCCTTCTTTTTTTTTTTAAAAGCTGAATACTATTTTTATTGTATGTATATACCACACTTTAAAAAACCATTTATCCACCTATAGATGTTTAGGTTGTTTCTACATTTTGGCTTTGTAAATAATGCTGTAATGAAGTTGAGAATGTGGATATCTGTTCACGATCTTAAATTGAAATGAGGTGAGGATTATTTCTAACACCAATTTTACAGCTGAAAAAAAAAACAACCAGAAGCATAGAGAGGTTAAATACATTTTTGCAGGGCACACAGCTAGCAATTGTTACAGCTGGGCTTCAGTCCCACTGACTAGTGTGGAGATTGTGTTCTGGAAGTGATAACACTTCACCCTAGCATTGGACTCTTAACAGTACCTGGCACCTGCAAATACAAAATAAATGTCAGCTAATTTTATTAGCAAGGAGGATGTGCCTCTGGCTTTAGTGCTTTTGCCCACCTACCTTGCATTTTTTTAAAATTATATTTCTGAAGAGCTGAAACTCTTTGTTATGAGACTGAACTTAGGCTCGTTAAAGAGGTAAGTCTGTATTAATGTTAACTTAGAAAGTCAGTTCTAACCTCAGACTTCTATAAATTCTGGCAAAATTCTAGTGGGAAGTTTTCCCCCACTTTTCATTTTCTACACCTTCTCTCTCCTTCTAACTGGCATTTCATAAATGTATTTACTGACCCCCACACCTAAATTCAAATATTAAAAGCAAAGCCTTATTCTCTTGTACCAAAAATAAAACCAAAGCTACCATTCACTCTTTCAAACTAGAATTCTAATCCTAGAGATGATGTATTAACTCTATCCAAACATGAACAAAACTGTCCTGACCCTCAGTATCCTCTCTGGAGAAGGTCAGAACGCAGTTGTGGCCACAAAAATCGCCACTGAGCCCCGATATAAATAGCAGTGAATTGGCCATGCAAAAACGGAGAGACTGAAGGGTCAATGAAGCTAATTATAACTTGAGGGTCTTGCCTGATTGTGGGAGGGCAGGGTCAGAAGCCTTGCAAAGCTGACATTTTACTCCCAGATGAGTCTACTTTTGGGAAACTATTTCTTTATGGATGTGTATACAGCCTAGGAATTAGAGGCGGATGCCAGAGGGAGCCTTGTAAGAGCTTACGGCTGTCCTGTAACCGGAAGTTAATCTGCCATTCTCCTCTTATCCTCTGGTTCCTGGTTTGTGATTTTTCACTGCAGCAAGTATTCTGCTTCTTCCCCTTCACAGAAAATGTGGCTTTTCTTATCTGTAAGGTGTCTCAATTTAGTGGAAAAAAGAATTGAGTCCACTGCCCACTCCCTGTTCCAGGACTGTTTTTTCTCAAAATAGGAAATATATAATGTGTAGGCTGGGTGGCTAGAATTAGGTTGAATCAGTACGAAACAGGGAGATTTGTTTGCTTCAGAAGAAAATCTCCCACTGCCTTGGCTGGCTGCAGAATCCAGGACAAATATCAAGACTTGGAGCTATAGAAATCAAATCATCTTGAGTGGATTATTATAATGATGACCCTCTCCATGGATTCCTACATGCCCTTTTAACAAAGCCTTTTGTGGCCAAACTGGCATTTCTAGTTAAGATTTTGAAACCATTATATTTAATGCCTTCTCATTGATTAGGTCAAAAAAGAAAGAAATCGACTTTCCTATGGAGATAGGCAAATCTTTTCTTTCTTTTTCTGTTTTTATAATGAACTGAAATATAAAGCCATCTTGTTCTCTAGATATCCAGAGGAAATTAATCACCTCAAAATAGAGAAGGAGAAAGTTGGAAGTACAAAATGACATGTCTGAGTTTTTCTGTGGCTTCAAAATACCCACCTGGGTAAAGATACCACCAGATTTATTGTTAACCAGCCTTGGGTTCTTATTTCTGATCTACCTATTGGGTAATAAAAGATTCAATTTATTTTGATTGTTTCAGAATATCACAGAGCAACAGAGAAAATGTAGATCACTCCAGTTCTAGCACAAGGTCGGGGAGGAAAAAGAATCAGAGAGTTTGGAATTTCTAAATGCTCGTGTTTGAGAAATGGGGAGCATCACAAACTAACAGCAGAGGTGGACATTTTTTACAGGGTAAAGGATTCCCATGGAACACCACTCGTCAAATGCAAATAAAAATTGTACAAAGAAGGTAACTTCTTTCTCTGTCCCCACATCTCTCCATCTGAAACTTCATTCTTCCATTAAAACAGAATTGTGCTTTGTGATGTATAAAGTCTCTTTCTTTCTCTTCAAGTTGAATGTTAACGTTCTGCTTTGTGCCCTTAACTTAATGGATATTCTCAAAACTGGCAGCTTTTTCTTCATGCGGGAAGAAGAAATAATTCTGAATTAAGAACACCAAAATAGGTTAAGGATACATTATGTCAGAGGCTGTAGATTGTTAACAAGCAAAGGAAGCACAAAGCATGGAGTATAATACAATTAAGCGCACCCGGGTAAGATTGCCAGCCATTTCATCCCAATGACTTCACCTGTTGATGCCAGAGGTGACCCTTTCCAGTCTGTCTAACATTTTACAGAGCCCAGGTGGTTTTCTAATTGCTGAGTGATCTGCAATTAGCAAGTGTAGTAGATGCTGTGGTGCCCTGCCTGGATCCCTTACCCAGCCCATCACTCCCTTCTCCAATTGCTGTGAGTGTAGACTTCTAATGACCCACAGCTGCCCCCTATTTTTAGAGAATTGCGAATGGCAGCTGCATCTCCCAGGAGGTCATGCTCCTCGCCCCAACTAAGGGCAGCCAATGACTGATGAATGTGGGACTACAAATGGCCCCCTTACATCGAAGGTGAGGGCCATAATTTTGTGGTGTGATCCCCTGGATCAGGTCAAGACTGGCCTTTGTACGGGACCACATCCTTGCTGAGCTCTTTCCTCTCTCCTCTCCCGCTTTGCACCCCACTCTGCTGGCTTTCTCTGAAGAGCACGGCTTCACTAAACCTTATGCACCAGAACTTCCGTCTGAGGCTCTGATTCCAGTGTGCCCAGAACTAAAAGAGTGAGTTTGCTCATATATCTTTCTTAATGGATTCAATAACATAATATCATTGTTAACTAGAATTCTCTTGAAAAATGATAGACTATTCTCTCTGAATTGCTGAAGTCTTTTCTTCAATTAGAAAAGTTCTTTCAGTTCAGGTTGAAGTCTTTTCTTCAATAAGAAAAGTTCTTTCAGTTCAGCAGTGTTCTCTGTGTAGCCTTTATCCATCAGCTTACGTGGAAAAATCATGGTTGGCAAAGGATCAAAGTCACAAAGGTTGAAAATTTGAACCCTATGACTGATTCCTACTTGCCTCTTTTTCATTTTTTTAGTTTGTCTAGTATTCAACTCTATTTACAGAACTCCTCTTAAAAGCTTGGCTTTTCAAGTTAGAACAATGTTCTGCCACAATAGGAATAATTATGATGGCCTTAGTATATGGTAGTCATCTGGGTGACAAAATAAAAGATTTTTGCTTGGAATCAAATAGTCCATTCAAGTCTGAAATGATATGTATTTTCTGGGCCCTCTGTAATTAGAAATGTGATTGTATAAATGTCTGAAAATCTGTTCTGGTTTTAAAGAAATTGGCCTACAGCCTGTTCTAATCCGGACACAAAATTCACAGAATTTGAAGGTCTCCTTGTATCACTACCAGCTAGTGGTATGAGGGTGGGCTGATTCAGCAATTGGAAGAACGGTGATTCCAGCTGACAGGTGCAGTCCTCCAGGAAATGCCAGGTTGACCCTGCTGCTTAGAAAAGCAGAACAGAGAGGTGATGGCAAAGGATACAGGGAACGGAAATATTTGAAAGGCATTATTATTTATGTTGGGTGGGGCAAGGATACATGATTGCACAGTGGAAGAGTTGGAATCCTTCACCCACTTCACAATTGTGCTTTGTATCAAACATAATGTCCAAACATATTGACTGATGCACTGAATTGGATGTTACTGATTCTCAATACTATATTTTGCTCTAAACAAATTGGCTTTTTGTTTCTACCATGTTATTGCTTATTTATAATCAACATCTTCTATCCTAAAACATTCCTAAAGCAAGCAGGTTCTTGCTGTTTTCTATTTAGACATTTGATGTTCATTTGGGTCCAATGTCTTCATGTTTACAAGTGATTTTTGCTGGATTTGTAGGATGTAAAGTTTTTGCCATTTGATCTGTGACTGGGATGCATCCATTAGAAGGTCAGTGCTGAAAAGCCAGGAAATTGCTTTTAATTTTATGTAATTTACGGTTTATTTGTAAAATTCACAGAATTTCACATCCTAAGATTATTTTCCTGGGATTCTGTTTCAAAAAGGCCACTGGATCTTAAGGAAAGATGAACTCATTCTGTTATTGTTGTTGAATTTCCAAACAAAAAGGCTTAAGGCTTGGAATTTGCCATTTATTACTGAGAAAGTAGAGGTAACTATTCTAGTTGCTAATGTCCTTTTTCAATAAATATCCTTTCCCTGCCTGCCACAGGATTGTCATCCCACTTTAAAGGGTTAGATCACAGAAGAGGCGTCTCTCAAAGTTAGGTACTTCCTATCCCTCTTTGATAGGAGGAAAGCAATACTTGGTGAGTTAAAAGAAAAATACATCAGAAAATCTGAATTGTTCTATTCTCTTTCCTATGACCATAATGCATTTTATAACTGTCTTTATCGAAATGGAAACATATGTCAAATTTTTAAAAACAAGAATGGTGGCACTGACAGTATGCTTTTCTTTAAGCTTGCTTACCAAGCAGCAACTGGAAATACAAAAATTAACTACAGATTTTATATTTCAATATACTATGTTATTGGAATGTTTTGTTCTCTAACATGTATTTGTAAGATTTACTGAAAAGAAATTCAATGATATTTGAAATTTTAAAATCCTGTGGGAGTTAAAATTTTGACCTTGATTAGCTTAGGCATCTCTAGTAGTAGTTTCTACAATTAGAATCTGGCAAGGAGAAAAAAAATCAGTGGATAAGAGGAAGGACACTTTGGGAGGCTGAGGCGGGCGGATCACGAGGTCAGCAGATCGAGACCATCCTGGCTAACACGGTGAAACCCCGTCTCCACTAAAAAATACAAAAAAAAAAAAAAATTAGCCGGGCGCGGTGGCGGGCGCCTGTAGTCCCAGCTACTCGGGAGGCTGAGGCAGGAGAATGGCGTGAACCCGGGAGGTGGAGCTTGCAGTGAGCCAAGATGGCGTCACCGCACTCCAGCCAGAGAGACAGAGCGAGACTCCGTTTCAAAAAAACAAAAACAAAAACAAAAAAGAGGAAGGACACAAGGATATTTTCATATGCTTATAAATTGGCTATGTCACCGCTTTAAGTTGGTTTAATATGTTGGTTTAAAATTCAGTCTTCTTCTCTAATTATTTCTTGCCTCCCTCTAGAAATAAGCCAAGATTCCTTGAACTAGAACTGAAACTAGAAGTTCATTATTAGCCTCTCTTAGTTGTTTGGCTAGTAATTGCATGATTAGACTAATACTTTAAGTCGTCAAGGAAGATTAATCACTTGTGAATAAGTAATTATTTTTGTAGATACGACTGTGGGAAAAACAGACCATTGGTAAAACGGAATCCTTAAAATATAGTTAATCCTTAATTATCCATGTTCATAAAAAAGGAAAAGATCCAAGAGATATTTCAGCAATAACCTGTATATGTTATTAACATGCATTTATATGTTTTTAGAGCAGGTTTTCTTCTATAATTAAAATATTTAAGGCTAACCTGAAAATTACTTTACATTCTCTGAGTTTTTACCAATTAATGACAGTGATGTCATCCAAAAATACTCTGGGTGTTGAAGGTCAGTCTAGAAAGAACTCTTTTACTGCAGTTGATTGACTAAGTAAGTAAGCAAGCCTCATCTGAACACTTGAGAACCCTCTTCAAGCAGGAAAAAATGCAACAGACCAACAGCTACCAAAAAAAAAAAAAAAAAAAAAAAAAGGTGCAAAAGTCCCGTCTGTGTCAGAGGGTCTTTGTATCACAGAGTGGTAATTATTTCGTTGCATATGTAAAATATTTGTTGCATTAAGTCATGAAGATTCCAAAACCATGTAATATGAAATCTATATTGAGAAAAGATGAAACTGTATGTTGGAAGGTTAGCTGCTTCCTTTCCCCAAGAGTTTTCCTCAGGGTCATCCCAAAAATGTGCAGGGCCTCAGGTAAATAGTTTTTGTGGGTCCTCTGTCTGTATAAACAATTTGATTTAAAAAGTGTTACAAAGTTTATTCTTCAGAAAATGGGTAAAGTGGAGCTACTTACACATTCGTTTATTGTCCAATCATTGCTTGTAATGATTCCTTATATCAGCCAGTAGATTGGCATTGTATCTTCTGGTTCTTTATTGTCAAATGTGTGGTTCCTGGCTAATTTCATATCTTCCACCATGTGAGAAACAGGTAGCAATGCTGTTATTATTCACAATGCAACGGCTCTTTAGATTCTGTTTGTGCTGAAACAGTATAGACCTCTGCCTCTGCAGTTCTCTAATACCATTTATTTAATGCTGGTTGCATCATTACTCATGAGGCTGCATCATTCATATTGTCACCCATGACTACTGGTTTCTCATGACTGTCTCAAAGGCTGTTACTACGCTTTGTTGATGATGACCACAAATGCAAATCTTATCCAGCATATGCAGAAAAATGTGAATGATACATTGTTTTCTGGTCATGTAAAATTTACTGTATAGAATTTTACAGCATGTAAACTTAGAATACTGTATTTTCCAGTATGTCTTCTGCTGAATGCTTTAGGCAGTGGCCACTGTATTCCTACAATGTGATCTCTTTTAGTGCTGGCTGTATGTTTGCCTTCCACCACTTCTACCAGTGGGGAAAATAAGTGAGGGACCTACAGAGGATAAGAAGAGTGGTCCCATTTGCACAAGAAATGTCCATCCCTTGTCTAGCATGGCTCAAGACCAGCCTGGCACATTACAACATCAACACATGATGTAAGGCAAGAGAGAAAATGGATCTGAAGAGTCACGGGGTAAAGGAGAGCAAAGATCTTGAAAGCTCTTTGTGCAGATGGGCAAGGCCACCCCAAAGCCTGACCCATGGTGTAGAGCCTGTGGAGGAAGTAGAATGACAGCTCTAGGTAGAGGATACCTTGTGCCATCCTGGTTCCTTCATACACTGGAGGTGGCACCGCAGTCTAAAGAGCTATTATGCCAGCTCACGTGTGTGGCTTAAGCCCAGGAATCGGCAGAGTCCTGAATTGTTCTGTGTCCCTCCAAAGTCAGGGTCACTGTCACCCTAAGACAGCATGTCAGCACCATTCCAGAGGCCCAATTTTATCCAATCTTTCACGGTCTCATATAAAAACTATTCTCCTGGGCAGCAGTGCTTTCCTCCTAGAGGTTCTTTGGGGAATTTGGTTTACCTCATGCATGAGGCAGATAATAATTTAATTTTTTTTTTTAAGTGACAGGGTCTTGCTCTGTCACCCAGGCTGGAATGCAGTGGCACAAACATAGCTCACTATAATCTCGAACTCTTGGGCTTAAACAATCGTCCTGACTCAGCCCTGAGAAGCTAGGACTATAGGCACATGCCACCATACCCAGCTAATTTTTTAATTTTTTGTAGAGATGGGACCTTGCTATGTTTTCCAGTCTGGTCTCAAACTCCTGGCCTCAAGTGATCCTCCTGCTTTAGTCTCCCAAAGTGCTGGGATTATAGGCATGAACTACCACGGCTGGCCCAGGTAGAGGCTTAGTGAGTGCTCTGTAGAGGAGAAATGGAGACATAGGTCCTGATCTAGTCTGAGACTTCCCGACCAAATAGCAGAGGGGCTGGTGCCAGGCACCAGATGGGGACTTAGAACATTTCTTGGAAGGTGCTTTAAGGCAGGGTGCTCCCTGAGGTGCAGGCCCAGGTCAGGTTTCCTGCTTACCTGGATCAAAGGATGGTACTGGATCTCCTCTCAGCTTCTTTGTTTTGCTTCATCACTAACAATTGCCTCATACAGTCTTGAGGTTTGTTCTTAAATTGCTGCCTAGTTACTACTAAGTGCCCTCCTTGATGTCCCGGTAGGTAATCTGCAGAGATGTGCTTTTAGGGTCTCTCTGCAGCAGAGGTGAGGAAGTTTAAGATTCTGAGAGCAAATTACCACATTCTTCAAGAATTAACATAAATTCATATGCATTAGCATTATATGTAATAGTTCATCTCCATTTCAGAACAGTGGACTGATCTCTGAAGAGAAACTTTCAGCTCATGGACTCTTCACACAGAGAAACAGCTCACGAAAATGGGGCCATTATTATTGCTTACTGTGTTTCCATTTAAATTGATGAAAGCAGAGCAACTTGTCACTTCAGTAGAAAAAAGTAGAATATATGAGTTTTGTGGAAGCTTCAGGAGTCACAAGTTATGACTAGCAATGTAAATCTATTTTTTAGTATCTAGTCCCATTCAAAGAACAATGAAAGGTAGTGGAAGTCTCTTTGTCTTTTTGTGCTTAGAAGAAATAGATATGAAAAATTGGTATTCTAAAGTCATAGATCAAACATTGTAGTTTAAGAATTTTAGAATGACAATAATTAGAAAGAAATACATCTTTTATGGAAAAAGTAATACTTTTTATTTCTTTGGTGTTGCTGGGGAGAAAAGATGTGGTAATGTTCAGAGGGTAGAACTTTCTTCCTGCTCTGAAGCATAGATGAACTCCAGACTTCAGTTTTAACTTTAATCTAATCCCTTCTGCTTTTCTGTTTTCTTTTTCTTATGCTTTATCTTCTTTTTTATGGTGCCATTTCTTCACAGGTAAGGACATACTGTTAAAAGCCTTTTGTGTGTAAAGGGATCACTTCCTTCAGAAGTTGTTATTTAAATTTGCCTTAGCGGAAAATTAGTTGACTCTATTCCAAAATAGAGACTCTTGTAGGACTCGTCTGTTCTAAGAGAAGAAGGTGTTTCAGGTAGAACAATGGGTCTGATGCAAACTCTGTCCATAAATTAAAAAAGGAAATAATAAATAATTTGTCTCCGTTTTAGGGATGATTCATTGCTGATCTCTTTGCTTATTCTTATGTAACTATTAAAGAAATAAAAAGCTACTCTTAATGTGTAATGAATAATGCTGATCCACATTTGTCACTAAGGAAGGAGCTCCAAGCAAGATTAAAAGAGAAAAGCAATTTGATTCCTTTTATTTAAATTCAAAGAGGAGATACAGAGACATATTTGCATTTTATATATATATATATTTTTTCCTGGAAAGATGTGTAAGAAAACTGTTGACCATGATTATCACTGTGGTGTGGGGTTGGGAGAAGTAGGATAGGAGTAGCTTGTTTATATCCTGTTTAATACCTTTTTGCAGTATTTCAATTTCCTTACTATGTTTCTTTATGTGGTAGGCAAAATTCTCAAATGGCTCCCAGATTTCCTACCTCCTCAGTGGACATGCCCTGTGTAATCCCCAGGTCTGTGACTATGATGGGTTTTACTCTTGTGATTTAATGATGTTGTGTGGCACCATTTACTTTAAGAGGGATGATCCAAGTGGGCCTGACCCAATCACAGGAGCCCTTTAATAGCAGAGAGTTTTCTCTAGCTGGTGGAAGCAGATGATGAGGAAGTCAGACATTTAAAGCATGAGATGGACTGGACTTGCCATTGCTGGCTTGAAGATGGAGGGCACTACACGGTGGGGAATATGGGCAGTCTCTAGGAGTTGAGAGCAGTCTCTAGCAGACAGCCAGCGAGGGAATGGCGACCCATTCCTATTACTGCTGGGAACTGAATTCTGCCAACAAGAATGAGCTTGGAAGTGAATTTTCCCAGATCCTCCAGACAAGAACTCAGTCCAACTGACACCTTGATTTCAGCCTTTAGCTACTCTGAGCAGAGAACTCAGACTGGGAAATTTATTATTTTCCAGTTATTTCTTATTTCCCACACTGGATTTCTGACCTGCCAAACTGTGGGCTAAAAAATGAGTGCTGTTTAATGTCACTACATTTGTGGTAATTTGTTACACAACAATAGAAAACTACTATTACACTTTGGGAGGCCGAGGCGGGCAGATCACCTGAGGTAAGCAGTTCAAGACCAGCCTGACCAATATGGAGAAACCTGGTCTCTACTAAAAATACAAAATTAGCCGGGCGTGTTGGCACATGCCTGTAATCCCAGCTACTTGGGAGGCTGAGGCAGGAGAATCGCTTGAACCCGGAGGTTGTGGAAGCTTCAGAAGTCACAAGTTATAACTAGCAATGTAAATCTATTTTTTTGGATGTTGCAGTGAGCCGAGATTGCGCCATTGCACTCCAGCCTGGGCAATAAGAGCGAAACTCTGTCTCAAAAAAAAAAAAAAAAAGAAGAAGAAGAAAGGAAACTACTATTAGTTTTCCATAATATTTTAATGTAAGAAAGTAAATAATTACAGTAGGAATTATCTGGACAGTGAGATTATGGGTCATTTATTCCCTACTTAATATTTTTTAAAATAAATAAAAAACCTTAATAAATAGAATTAAAAAAACCAAGGATGAGTTGTTATCGTAAGGAGAATATGCCCTCTTTCAAAGTTGGATATAAAGTTACTATACCTGAAGGGAGCCATATTTTCTCATTGATTTCCATTTTATGTTTTCATTTATACATTCCTACCTCATCCTATAACATTATAAATTAGCAATGTGACTTCATGAGAGAAAATTTCCTTAAAACCAAAAAGCAAACCAATTTGAAAACTTTCATCAAGAGAGTGACCAAGCAGTTTATTGAGGGACACTAGGACTATAGGATGGAAAAGGAATGTCTGTTTGCTTTTGCCGGTAAACCCAGCCCCTCTCACAGGTCTTGGCATACTGTCTGCTTCAACACTTATTTGTCAGTTAAAACAAATGAATGTGCTTGTTGTCAATGTTTCATTTTAAAGACTTTATAAGGTTCCTTCCACTCAGGGCTTCTCTTCCACCATTTTGTTTCCTGCTTTAGAGGCAGAAACTCCTATTCCTGTGTGATTGTATCATTAAGTCCAAACAACTTAGCTTCCATAGCAAAGTCACAGCTTAGCTTCCTGCCAGCTCTATCCTGGACATTTATGGTATCTGCTATGGTCTGAATGTTTATGTCCTCCCCTACTCCCTGCCAAATCCATTTGTTGACAACAAATCCCCAGTATGATGGTGTTAGGATGGGTGCTCTTTGGGAGGTGATTAGATCATGGGGGCTCAGTCCTCCTAAACAGGATTAGTGCCTTTATAAAAGATGCCCTAGAGACCTGCCTTGTCCTTCCCACCATGTGAAGATGCAGTGAGAAAGTAGCCTCTTTGATCCAGAAATTGGCACTGTCACCAGACACTGAATCTGCTGGTGCCTTGATCTTGGAATTCCCAGCCTCCAGAATTGTGAGAAATACATTTCTGTTGTTTATAATCCATCCAGTTTATAATATTTTTATTATAGCAGCCGGAAAGGACTAAGACAATAACTTACAAAGCTAAGCTACAGTATCTCCATTTAACCATCTTGGGTGACTCTTTTACAAATTATTTGTTTCCTATTGCTTTGCTATTATAAGTTTAAATTCTCTATATACAGGATTCTCAGCACTTTCACCTTCCTCAAAGATGGGGAATTTATAGATGGCAAAGACTATTCTTATTCCTCTGTTTTATCTACATACCCAGCACAGGGCCTGGCACATATAGCTGCCCCATAAATGTAATAAATGTTAATAAAACAAAATGAATATCTGTATTGGGGAAATGTTTTTTGAAGATAAAAACGCCCTGCAGTTACTGGAAAATTTAGGCCAACTTCTTTTATTTAATCATTTAAAAGTCTAGCTATGAGATAGTTGGGAAGGACATTTTAGTCTCATAATTAAAAAGAGTGATGGCAGAAAGAAAAAAGAAAACACTAAAGATTGTAGTGAAATTACAGCCAATGGGCATCAGTTTCCCTTTCTCTGGTTGATTTCAGGGGCAATCTCACAGGGTAAGAAACTGCTTTTCTCCATCCGTCCTGGCAGGGAGGCCTTCCTTTTATTATGTAGGTATGTAAAATTATTGATTTAAAGTCCCCAGGAAATTTGACTTTTCAAATAAGGGCACATTCACTGGAATATGCTGCCTTTCCCTGCGTGCCGTTAGGGTCATAGAGACAATTAACATGCAGTGGACCTAAGAGAACACAGCTAATCCTCGTGCTTCCTTAGATCTTCAAGTGGTTGCCAACATAAAAAGTTTCTCCTTAACAGAGGACATCTTGACCCTTGTGCTAAATCTGTATCAGTTTTTTTTTTTTCCCAACTCTGAGCTCTGAAGGCTCAATTTAGCATCCAAAGAAATTGAGCTGTGTCCTTTCTCTTTTGTACGTCATTACCAACAATAAAGAGTTGAAGAAGAACTGGTGTGTTGGCTGACAATTTTGTGATGATATATGACAGAGCAGAATACAGCCTTACTTTTTGTCATCTATAGGGCCTCAGGTTATTGACAAGAGTAGGTATTTTTCAACTGGAACACAGAAGTGGGATGGTAACTTCATATGCTCAGGTTACCAAGAACACCAATCCCTTTGACACCCAGGGGCTGCGCAGGTGGCTAGCAATGTTGATAACAAGGTGGGGTGCTTTTCCGTTAGAGACCGTACAACCACCCTCCAATGTGATTGACTACTTCTCCTCACACAGCATTAACAGCAATCTTTTCATAAATTCGGGAAGTGGCAATAGGGAAACTTCTTGTAAGTACTGGCAAGGGTGTTTTGCATTTTATATCCCCCTAAGAAGGCGTCTGTGTTTTTTCTTAAGGCAAATCTAATCCTGTCACTAACTTTCTCTTATTGTGTTTATGCCTCCAGGAGGGAAAGAAGCACCCAAGAGCCTTCATCTCTGTAGACCAGGAGTCCGAAATGGATGGTCTATGCCTGTGCCACATCCAGCCAGCAGGCATTTACATTTGGCTTGCATAACGTTTAAAATGATTTGAATCAGTTGCCAAAAACTAAAAGCCAGGAGATTTTCATGTAAAAAGAAATCTAAATTTTGGCTCTTCTTAAAAGAGGCCTATGTTTTGGACCGGGAAGTCATTGGACCCCATTTCTCACACAGCAAGTGGAACTGGGTAGTGATTGCCAGTTTACCACACGCAGGGTGGCTCCTAGAACATACTTTCCCTGTGTGGGAATTAGAAAGAAGCACTGCCTCTGCACAGGTGGATTTTAAGGGTGCCCCATTGGACAGGACACGGCCCATGTGTAATAGCTTTGCCACAATTGCCACCATCTCCTTGAGTCAGTT
This sequence comes from Homo sapiens, assembly GCF_000001405.40. Taxonomy (NCBI): domain Eukaryota; kingdom Metazoa; phylum Chordata; class Mammalia; order Primates; family Hominidae; genus Homo; species Homo sapiens. The sequence goes on from NC_000002.12 coordinate 191,831,313, forward strand.
TACTCATGTCTGAGCTTTCAGGCATTTGAGTTTGTGACCCCTGCCAAAGCCTTTGGAGGAAGTAGCTGCCTGCAGCATACATCTTGATGAAAGAGGGCTGGCCAGAGGGCTTTCTCTGATTGCTTGCACACAGAGATGGAGACACCAGCATTTGTTTGACTTAGCTCCTGTGTTTTTCTGAGAACACAGCTGGATAATTTTGCAGGAATTATATTCATAGGCTAGGTCTCTGTATCCTCATGATTCACTCTACTTCCTGAACCTCCACAATCCCCCACCCCTGGCCGCATGCTGATTTGCCATTTGTTCCTTTTTTCAGCTTATGAGAGGAAGTGTCCAAGGAGAATATAGCAAGTTCTCTCCTATGACACAGGGATATAACTCCTTTAACTTGAAGAGTTTGAGGCAGACTTCATGAACCATTTTTGAATGAGCTGATTCTAGTATCTATCTCTGTTGACAGCTTGCTCTTATTATACCCTTCCCCAAAGTGAACCCTGCAGCTACTGACAATGGATGAGGCCAAGGAGCTAAGGAGCCCCTCTGTGGCCTCAGCATACCTGAATAATAGTCTCTCTGTGGCTCTCCAAGAACAGTGAGGTTTTCTTTTTTTCTTTTTTTTTTTTTTTTTTAGCACTGGAATGACAATCATCAAAATCATTTACAAAATGCAGTGTAAGTGATGCTGTATAAGGGGTGGTAAAATGAAGTTAATATTATACCATTTGATAGCTTATAAACTGACTTATAATTAAGCAGTTGTAGGATAATTAAGTGTCTGTTTTGGCAGTAGCATGGATTTCAGATTGGAATTGAACACTGGCGTTGACACTAGTTATTTGAACTGGACTAATCATTCAATTCTGTGACCCTTAATAGAAAAGTAGTTAAATTATAACATGAAGGGTGAGACCTTAGAGTAGTTAAGAACTCAGGAGTCCTTTCTCCATTCTATCTTACTGGTTGGATTCAGTAAACTTCAAAATTCTCTACTCTTAAAATGGAGGTAAAAATCATACCTTCCAAATAGGATTTTATATGATTAAATGAGATAATGCATGTATCTAACATGTGATAGGTACACAGTACTGCTGGCATTGGAGTGCTCAGCTGGTATAAAGTAGGTTTTCAAAAATATTGGTTTCCTCCATCTTTCTTGGGTCTTACTGCTTTGGTGCTAAAAATTTTAGCAAATACGAGGAACTAAAGATTGCTTTGCTCAATAAATATTTAACAAATTGCTTTTTACAGTGAAAAGTGTATATATGTATGAAAATCAAGCTGCTTAGTTTAAAGGTGTGACTCCTTAACTAGGGCAGTTTATGTGGAGAGTTAAAAATAATTTTAGAGTTTCAAATACTGCAGGATAATGTAATGGTTAAAACAAAAATAAGAAAATATCTTTAATAATGCAAGTTACTGCCTGTTCCCTTTAGGAATGAGTTCCTGGCTACAGAAGTCTTTATCTAGACACCCAGATCAAGCAGAATACAAAGGTCACAATGCCAATTTCATCTGAAACTTGTTTTGCAGTGCTTGAGTCTTGGTTTTTAGGAAAAGACTTGTGGTTGCTATGGAACTGTTAATAATGATTGCTGCCTGTATCTCAATTCTTCATACTCCCAATCTTCAATATAAAATCACTTAGATTTGGGCTCCAGGGCAGTAAACACACTTTTGAGCAGGAATTAACTGGACTTGGGCATTAGTGTCTTAATGTAGGAAATGACTTTCATTATAACCTTTACTTATACTGGCAGTTAGGCTATGTTAAGGTTTCCTAATAGTGGGCTTAATCGCATGAGTGTCAAACTTTGCTCTTCTGGGTGAGCACTGCTAAAAGCAGAAACATTTTGGGTTTTCATCAGACAATAAATATCAGAAGTCCTTGTTTTGTACAGAACTAGTCTTAGTGAGAGTATTTTGTTTTCACATATAAAAAGAACCAGTAATTCAGCCACATACTGGATTCCTAAGCAGAAAGAAGAAAATATTCCTGTTGAAATATATACCTATTTACTTTTAAAAGAAATCTCACAGAAAAATGACTTCTTTTTTGCTATATTTCTGTGAGATTTGTGACCCATGTAATAGATGCTTACATCTATTACAATAGACCCATGTAATAACTCTAAAATTCTTACTCCTGAATTATATTTGTAAGATATGGATATCAGTCCTTATTAATGTATAACCGATCTTTGGGGAAAACTAATCCAGTTCTTGAGCTCCAGGCATAGAAAGTTAGGAATGGGTTGTTGGATGGGTGGGGAGAAGACATATCTAATTTGGGGACGTTGCTGCCTCACCAGTTTGCAAGAATAATACGAATAAATCGCTTCAATTTCCACAACTGTTTCTCTCTCTAATCCCTACAGTGTGTGATTTTCAACAATTATCTGGCCTTATTCTCTGTTTTATTGCTTAGGATTTTAATGCTTCAAATGTGGAACATAGAATAAATGTGATTGCCAGTGAAACTTTAAAAAAATGCTCAAGTGCAGTTTTCAGCTGACATACAGCTAGTTTCCAACTTCTCAGCTGCAAGAAGTAACAACTCCATAAAGGTTAAACAGGCTTGCTTTGGGCCCTGAGTAAAATTAAGTCTTCTACCAACTCTATGGCACTGCAGAAGACAAAGGATTATCTGTATGAATAAACTGAATTTACAGGTCAATACATTCATGTTTGCAGGACTATTTAAAGTATTAGAAGTTCTGATATAATACAAGAAAAATGCAGATGTAACTATCAAACTCATCAAGCTGCTGCAGTAAATTCAGATACTCTCCAAGGCTGGCAAGGTGATGTCAAAAAAGTTAAACTTGAAAAATGAGACTTAGATTTCTAAATGAGATCGGTTGGGGGAAGCAGAGTTAATAGGGGAAATCAAGACTGAAACAATCAACATTACTGCTACGTTTGGAGGACAGTTTAAAAATCAATTCTTTCTGCTTGTTCTAAAACTGTTCTGCCAAAGAAACTGACATTGTTTCATGCTTTTTATTTTTCGGTTTATTTAATCTTCTTTAACACAGCCATTGTTGGTTCAACAATCCAATATTTGAGGTTACATTATTGCAAAAATAAGGACATAGCTGAATAGGTTATGCCATCAATATGTTTGTTAATCCTATCCCTTTTATTAAAGACAAAGCACAGTTTGTTAATATTGTCTTGGATTAACTCTATTTGTAAGGTTACTTATAGTGGTTCATACTAAAGGCAGGGGATTTGCTTCCTGGGCCAATTGTCTTTAAACTATAATTTAAGAAATCATTAGCATTTTGTAATTAAAAACAGATAAAGCAATATTTTAGTACAATGTTAGGCAGCAGATAAAATTACCCTGTCTGAATATATGTGTACATATACATAAAACGCTAGCATGCTTTAAGAAGTTAAGAAATATTAATATTCTGTGAAATTAATATGTAAATAAAATATAATCTGGAATGAAATTCCCATTATGTACAAAAAAAGAAAAAATAGAATCTTTCACTTCCAAAACCTATAGATTTTAGCATCTTATAAGCCTACATCACATCACATGGAATGTAAGGGTTAGTTTAAATTTGAAGAGCATTAAAGAATAGTATGAGCTAAGTTTCCACAAAACAGTATATATTAATTGTATTTTGAAGATTTATATTCGTTCCAGTGTTAACAAGACAACATCCTTTTGAACTTCCTTAAAGAAATATTTGTAATGTCCTTTATTTATTAAGAAAAATACAGCTTTAACACTATAAAATGTTTATTATTAAAAATATTAGAAAATAAAAATATTTTGAAGATGACATGTTATTCCAGGATATACGAACTTCTTTAGTATTTTTATTTAAAGAGTGAAATAGTTAAGCTACTATTGTAAGTATTTTACTTTCAAGCACATACATTTTTTCTCTGTTTTCATTCTTTTCGGCATTCTTTGTTTCCTGTTTCTCTCATTTTCCAAATTTTCTTTCTTACTTTTTGAATAGTCCTGACTTTACTACGTATCTTACTTCATTAGCTGACTTTTATAATCTCTTCATTTTTCCTTCGTTTGCAATAAAACAATGGTTTCTAGCAAGTAAACAACCAACTGATCATCTCTTTTTACCTTTCGTAGATGTTTTCTTCTTAAAACATATAGTTATATGTTTAGCTTACATATTTATGTATATTATATATCAACACTTAAAGAATAATAATTAGATTCACAGAGTACGGTGGAAATACAATATATTACCGGTACACTATTCAGCAAGCTTATGGAATGACAAAAAAGAATGAATCACTTTTCATGACTAGTATCTTAATTATCCTCTGTTTTTTTCTGACTAAGTCAAAGAGATTAGCATTTTTCAACTGCTCAGTTTCTTCTTCAATCTTGGAGACATTCTACAGAGATAGAACCTAAGAGCAAATTAAAAGTGGAGTCCGTGACAGGTCGCTTTCATGGTAAAGCCTGGTCTCGTGTGTCTTACTATGACTATATGGTCAATGATTACTGCCTGGACAGGAACGCAGGAGTGGGTGAGTCGTGCTGGAGATGTGCAAGAGTTTGTTCTTCAGCCCTGGCTGCCCGCTTGAGCACAGCACAGGATGGCACGGTGGCTCTAAGCTCAGGAGGTCTGGTGCACCTGGAGCACGGCGGGCTGCACGGGGTCCCCATCGGAGCGCTCCGCCTCCTCGGATGTTAGCGCGTAGCTACCCTCATAGCGTACCTTCTGTGCCTGTTCCAGGGCCACTGACTCCTCCTCTTCATCTTCCACAATAGTCAAGTCGATGTTGCTGTCCATCCCCGAGTTACTCCCCCTGGAGGTCGCCTTCTCAGCAGCCTCCTCTGCAATTTCCCCTTCCACCAGAGCGCTGGCGAGGGACGCTTCGGAATGACCCTCTGCAAAGGACTCCTCTTCCTGGTCATTTGGCATCTGCTCACTGCTAGGCAGGTCTTCTGACTTGGTCTCATTTTCTGCATGGCTTTCTCCCTCTCGGACTTTCTTCCGCCCGAAAGTGAGGGGAGAAACCTTGAAGGGGGAGCTTTTTCCTGAGGATATTTTCTGGTGATTTGACGTGAGAGATTTCTTAATCTTCTCTCTCCTCTCTACAGATACGATCTTTGTCCCCAGCTTGTTCATCTTTTTCTCGATGTTCTGGCGAGAAAATGCTTTCTTGAGGCTATCCACTTTCTTCAGGCTGGATCTTTTTATTTTCTCTGCCCTACTTTCTTCCACCTTTTCCTCGGCACTGTCTTCCAGGGCCTCCTCATCGTGGGGCAAATCATCATCTGAGGAGAGGTCCACGGTGTGCAGGGTTTCCTCCAGGGATTTGTTTTCATCCGGAAGCTCCTCCTTCCCTTCCACGGCACCGGAAACGGGCTGTTTCACAAACACGCTGGCAGGGATCTCATTTTCCTCCTGAAAAGACGGACAATGTAGGTTTCATGTTAATAACATATTTCACAAATAGTCCTGAGCTGCTGTAATACGTGTGTCTGTTTTGGAGACACGGTGATGGTAAAAAAACAAATGTTTGTGGCTTGAGTTTTCTAGAATAGGAAGAGTTAATTCTAAACTCGTCAAGTCATTCTATTTAGGCTGGATAAGGCCAAGGGCAGCCTGTTGGGAATATCAGGAGGACAACCGGCAGAAACTGTATCAGTGACAGGCAGAGGGGAAGTGGGCAGTGACTGAGATAGACCAGGAAGCTGCCTAGATAACAGAGCTAAAGAACGTTACTGTGCTGTGAACCCAGAGGCCCTCTCTCTCCTATCCTCTTTTGAGGTCAGAGGGCTTGGGCCTGCCAAAATCCCACTGCAGGAGAGCCTGAAGATCAAGTTGGCAGATAAAAGATAGGGCAAGGGTGAGAACTGAGAAGTCTTCAAGTACCAGACACACACACATAAAGCCTTGACTGGGTTCCCTCTCCAACTAGGAGTCAGAAGTAAAGGTAGGGCCAGCCTTAGTATCTGCTCAAAGGTGCACACTAATTTTGCTGAGGACATCGTTTAAGAGTGAGAGAAGCAAGGACTAGGCTTCCTGGGGGTGCACTCAGGAAGCCTTCTGGTTTAGAATATCCTTTGGGGAGTTACTAAGCGGAGGTGAGATCTTAGGGTTATTTTTAGAGTAGTGAGGGGAAATTATGCTGCCAGCCATAGTTTATCAATTCTCTAGTGTTACACAGAGCTTCTTTGGGCAAGAATACTTTGGCCCTCACTTCCAGCGAAGAGTGAGGAGAGAAGCACAGAAAGCTGCCCCCTTCACCGTTGCCAGCACTCTCCTCCAGCTGCCGGGCACACAGGCAAAGATGGCTCCTCTTGGCTCTCAAGGAGCAGCACCTGAACACTCAACTCTAGAGTGGAAGGGGGATGGTGTTGCAACATTGCTCACTGGGGAGTTTTGAATGCAGACAGACTCGGGTTACACAGCTAAAGAACTCTTGATTTTTAAATATTTTTCTTTGAATACTGGAAAAGGAGAGCCAGTCAGCAAGATGTCTTCACATCTTTTTTGAAAGAAATGGCACAGTAGTGAATGTGTGGCCAGAGGCCTGAGTCTCAGTCTTTGCTGTACTACTGAATAGCAGGACAGCTTTCAGCAAATAACTTAATCTCCTTGGGTCTCAGTTTCTTCCAGATATGAACAAGAGATTTGACCTAGATTAGCAGCTTTCATACTGCACTCCCAGGGGTACCAGGGGCTCTGCTGGAATGCCAGAGGGGGGCAAAGCTCCAGACCCCCCTGCCACCTCTCCTGCAACCAGAGCCTCAGGATTGCCTGATTATATCTAAGGCTGTTCAGTAAACTTTCAGTTTGAAAAATAACTGGATTTAGTGGATTTTAAAGTCTACCTGGGACTTAAACGTCATGCAAAGTTTATGTTAATGGCAAGAACTTCCCTTCTTGTTTTGTAATTTTGATTGACCGAAAAGATGAAAACATGCTTTAAGAGTGTCACTTTATATTTGATACAAAGACTAAATAAAGTTTAGATATTATACAGAAACTTAAAAAAACCCTCTCCTTGTTAACAACTGAATGGTAGAATTATGATATTCCTTGAAAAATACAACCCTGTGTCTCCCCTTATACACACTATACAGAGTCCTTTCCATAAATTGGTTAGAAACAAAGGGTAATGTCTTGTGTCGACGCAAAAAGCAGAAAAGTCCAATTAAATAGAATTCCTCGTTAGAGTGACGATATCATATATTGTGTTTCCCAAAACTCTCTCCACACTCTGCCATTTTGAATGTCATGGTTAAGTGTCCAGGCCATAGTAAAAGACAAAGTAAAAAAATAAATAAAAGGAGCATGGGACTGCCACAGGTTATTTATAACATGGCCTTTTACAAGCACTGCTTTCCCGTGTTTCAAGTTGCGGTTGCCTCTAGTTCCCCGGAGTGTACTCCCCATGAGGGCAGGGATTTTTGTCTCTTGTCCATGCTGTGTCCCAGCACCTAGAGCTCAACAGCTGCTTGTTAAATGAGTGCATGTTGGGTGAGGTGGCTTTCTAAGAACGCCCTGAGAGTGGCTGGAATGGAGATTGCCCCTCTTTTGGGCAGGCTTGAGGACTATAAAAGAACAAGTTCAGCTCTGTGTCTAGAAGGAAGTTTGCTGACTGCTGGTGCCATTGGGAAATCAAGAGAACCTAAGTCCCAATGGGGACAATGATCTCCATTTTTAAGGAAGGATTTTCTTTGCAGTGGATGGGTGTTACTAAAAGAGGGTTAGACAACTGAAATAGCTAAGGCTTGGATGCTTAGTCTAGAAGCAAAATTACTTCTGGGGTTTGACAAGAGGGTTGAGAAGGTTTGACAGGAGTTGCTTACAGGAAAGGAAGAAACCAAGAGATCAGTGAAATGTCATTAAAAGTCCTCAGTGAGGAAAGCAGAAATTCAGGCAGAAAACTGTAAAAATAATCCTTGGCTACCAGAGAAGAGGTACATTTTGCATAGTATAATCTCTCAGGGTAATCAAAGGTAGTAAGTTGTATAACTTCCCTTTATTTAATCCCAACAAAAGGTAGGCATATTAACTGAACTTCTAAAGGAATTAAACTAATAATATTACAGTTTTTCCTTAAATATACATTTTATTATTACAAAAGCATAGTTGCTGTTGAGTTTTAGACTCTTTCGATTCTTTTATCATGTATCTTTTGAGGACAGCTTTGAGGAAAGTTATTATAAGGTGAATCATATATGATCTGTGGTAGATACACACTGTGTATATGAATGGGTATTGGGGGAAGGTAGGAAACCCAATTGAACTCTTTTGTAAAATGCCAGGGAAATTATATGAGAGCTTTTTTGATGCCAGCTATAAAAATAAACCCAGCAGGAACAGAGATAATCCAGAATGAGTTGGATGTGTCTTTATGCAACTGGAAACAAGTGAGATATGTCTTCTTGGCTAACTGCTATGCTTCTGCTGTCATTTTAATTACACAAACAGGATTTAATGTTCTGTATATTGAACAGTGTTTATTTTGTGGCTTCTGATGGCATCTACTCTGAAGGTAAGCCCTTTCTTTTCACACAAAAATCTGTGAATGTCCAAGCACATGTAGCTCTTACCTTTCCATAATGTTTGTTTGGAAGCAGAAAAATACTGATACTTTTCAAAATTTCTGTTCTATAGTAAAACATGTGAGTGGTGTTTGACAGTGAAGTAACTCTTATGGTGGTGGAAACTCAGTCTAAACTTAAGATAATGGATGCTGGATAACTGCCCTCTCCTGAGGTGCCTAATCTCACCTGCACACGTGCCCTGTGCTCAAGCTCCCCCACACACCTCGTGGAAACACTTGATATTTCATATGCCTATAAGCAAGGTGACACTTCTGCCTTCAGCCTCCTGTTGTAGTGTTTCTGATTTGCTTTCTCTTACAGGTTGCAAGACTGATGACGATTTCAAGAGAGAAGATCAAGTACACATCCTCAATTCTGTCACTGCTTCCCTGCCCTAGTTACTTCTAGGTCTACTTAGGGTTCGTAGCTCCTGAAAATGGCACTAGGAATCCCTTGTGGGCTGCACTGCTTCCTTTGGTAGTTCTGCCCAGTAGAGGCCCCAAGAGAGCTGATTATTTACCCTTTGTTTTCAAAAAGGTCCTCAGCTCCCCTGATGCAGGTGTTCCCGGTTCTGACCTTTCACGAGAACCCTTAGGAGTTTTTCAAAGGAAGGGGAATAAAACAGCACACTTCAAACATATATGACTGATATGCTCACAGCATAAAAATGAATGGAAAGAACTGAAAAAGTAGCATTTCTCCTTGTACTTTAACTTGTTTGCTGTTCATATCGATCCTAGTGAACTAATAGTCCTATTTGTATCAACACAGACAAACTTGCTAACATGCTGGACACTTCTTGGTTTGAAGCTCATGGAAGCAAATCTTCTGTGTACATATCTAAATACCTAGATATGCACACCTTAACAGAAAAGAAGACTCTATGACTCTCCTTAGAAAGGAAATCATGGTAAGTCATTTAAAAGCTTGAATAAGGAGAGAAAAAACAACAGTTTGCTTTCCTGTCACTAACTCATCATTCCTGTTGGCAGAAGAAAATAACAAAGGATGTCATATTCCCACTGGGATGCAGTAGAATCCTGGAGGGATATGAAGACCATAAATTTGTGTCCATGGAATATTTTATCCAATAATCTCTAAATACTAGTTACTAAAATGAAACTGTGCCCACCTGACATTCTGATTTATAGGTCTCTTTTACACATTGATGGTTTTCTCCGATTTGTGTTTCTGAGGTATGGATTGCCAAGTGGATACAGTCATTGATTAGAACTGCACCCCTAAGGCAGCTGTCGGTGGAATCAGCAAGTCATAAGAATAAAATGCATTAGTTATAATCCCTGAGCAGTCTTTCACATTCTGGAGGATTTAAAAGTTTCATTATTTTTCAGTGTTATCAAGGGTTCAATTCTTTTTTAAGACACACTGGTTAGGTGTTCTTTGTTACAAATAAACACAAAACAAAACCAAACAAAAAAACCAAAGCACACTGAATTATTTAAAAGCTGATGTAGAAAACCCAGTAAACATGAACTTTACCAAGGTGGGATTATAGTGTTTGTTTTTACTCATTTTGCAATTCAATTCTATAATCTCTATTATTAATAATAAAATGAAACCTTGCTAGTCACTGTTTCTCAGGGCCTCTGTTTCTTTGACACAAAACGAAGTTAAACTGAACAATTATTAAGGTGCTTTCCAGCTCTAACATGTTTGATTCTGTGATGTTAACATAAACCCCACAAAAAGAATTAACAAATTACAGAGTTGATTCCATAGTGTACTGATACCAAATGTGTTTTGTTTTATGTAAGAATCAAAACTCTAGGACCTGAGTTGCATTGGAGAACATTTTTCATTCATTCAATTCAAATAGATATAGATTACAAAGCAGTGGAAGGGGCAGCATTTACTTGGAAGGGCTGCATCTGAAGGAGTCTAGTTTTTTTTTACATAAGAGTATGCAATGATTCTTTCTAAAAAATACCAGCAATAATCAGTTATTCACTTAAAGTGCCTGGGACAGTGCTCACATTCACTAAATGTAAATAATAACAATAAGAACTAATATTTTGTTTATCTCATAAAGTAAAAGGGCACTGGATAAGTAACACATCAAAACTAATATCCCATATGGGAACATTGTAGCGTGATAGAAACATGGCGAGTTGTCATATGAAGGCGTCTTTTATTACCTATATCCTCATTTCTTCCAGGTCTGTACTAATGTAACAGTCTTCAAAGCAGTGACTTTGGATAAAGTACAGGCTTTTTAAAAATGGTCTGAAGATGTTACACTTTTAGCGTCTCTCTAAAATTCTGACCTTATCAAAGGAACCCAAAGGATGAAGATTTGAACACATTTATAGGCTCCATTCTCCAGAAATGTATCCACTGCAAATAGCTAACCTTTCTACTTTTTTCACCCAGTTTCCCAATTTTATGTGGACGAAAGTGTAAGCTGTCCAAGAGTACTCTCATTTTGCTCCCTGGATTTGAAATCATCTCCCAACTGCTTTTTCAAATAATCATTACTAGAACCTAAGAGGACGTAAGAGGCTACTGCATCCTCAGGGCCAGTTACCTGTGAAATTCTAGTCTCTTAAATCAAAAGAGAAAATTTCCTCATAAGTGTAGAGTAACTGATTTTCTGTACAAATTCTATTTTTTCTTTTAGTAAATGATCGCTGTGCTTAGAAGCAAAGTCTCAGTCTTTCTTTAGCATTTGCTTTTTGATCAGCAATGCCTATGAGTCTTATTTTATTTATGCTGGGTCATGTCACAGTATTTTGAATTCAAATATTGATCTGAAGCTATTACAAAAAAGTTTAAAAGAGAAAACTGCTGAATTTAACTAGGATTTTAAGATTTATTTTATTGCTGAAAGAGAGATGAATGTTTCTTCAGTTTTAGACACTACTGGTTATAATTTAAAGTAATTGCTAAGAAATTAGATGCTTAACAGCTATAACAATGTTGTAACACTCAGTACAGACTTAAAGAAGTAATGTCACGTTTTGAGTGGGACAAATTAAGGACAAAGTTTGGAATTTAAAAAATGCAATTATGGCCAGGCATAGTGGCTCACGCCTATAATCCCAGCACTTTGGGAGACTGAGGCGGATGGATCACCTGATGTCAGGAGTTCAAGACCAGCCTGACCAACATGGTGAAACCCTGTCTCTGTTAAAAATACAAAAATGAGCTGGGCGTGGTGGCAGGGGCCTGTAATCCCAGCTACTTGGGAGGCTGAGGCAGGAGAATTGATTGAACCCAGGAGGTGGAGTTTGTAGTGAGCTGAGATTCCACCATTGCACTCCAGCCTTGGCAACAGAGCGAGACTCCGTCTCAAAGAAAAAAAAGAAAAAAAATGTGTAAGTATCTTCAACCACTAACCAAAACAGACCTGTAGATTTCGGCGGGCTCAACAGGATTCCACAAACTGAAAATGTACTCTTCTCAACAGTACCATACCAAATATGCTCAGGTCATGGGATAGATTTTCCTTTCTCGCTCTCTTATTTTTACATAATTTTTTGTCTTAAATTAGAAACAGTAGATTTAATAAGGGGAAGTCTGGCATAGGGTTCAGATGGGCTGAAAATGATAAATTACCTAAAGACACTGAGTAACACCTGGTACATATTTGCCCTCCACATTCTCCACAGGTCTAGGAAGCAGTCCCCTTATGCTCCACTGTGAAGATTATGCTGTGACTGGAGGGTTCGTTGAGTAGGTCTTTTGGGAAGATTCCTTTGCTTTCATGGAGATGAGATATAATGTTGATTTCAACATGGCGGTAGTTATACAATACATGGTTCTCTGTGTGTAGCGGAGCTGTTTTAAGATCCTGGGCAAGGTGAGGTCAGTTTTTACCCAAGGACCATATTTCTAACCAAGCAAAAGTGTAGCCTTCTTTCTGAGCAAATGAATTTCAGATCCACTCAGTAATATCTTCTATTCATTGAGCACTTATACCATGCCAGTCCTTGCTAACTATTTTAAATGTTATTTCTTTCATTCCTCACTCTATGAGAGAGATAGGAGGGAAGAAGCATTAGTGTTCAAGAGTACGTGCTTTGAAATCAATTAAACATGAGTTTGAATCCCAGTTTCACCACTTGCTTACTAACTAGCTTCAGACAAGCCATAAACGTTTTCGAATCTCAACATCCTCATCTGTAGATTCGGGATAAATGAGATAAGATGCTTACCAATGTATGCTGGGTTTATTAAGTGCTTGATTTTTTTTGCTCTTATTAATATCATCAGTGTATAGATGAGGAAACAGGTTTGGAGAAGCTACAAACTGTGTCCAATATCACATATTTAGCAAGTGGTAGAACTAGGATTTGAACTACTGTTTGTGTGACTCCAAAATTTATCTTCTGAACTACTATACTGGACCACTCTCTAATACAAATTATTATTTTATCCATTGGCATAATTACTACTCTGGGGAAACTGCTACTTTTAGAAGGAACAAGAGAGTCCACTGAGGGACTGTGCTTGCATTAGTTTTATACAAAACAATCATCTTGCGATGCCTTGAGAGTTGAGAATTCTAATATCCTTTAGGCTAATAAAGGATCTTACACGGCTTAAGAAAGGTCCAGTCACTTGCCTCTAGTTTCCTGCCTCCTAAAATGCTCTTTAAAGGTGTCCTTGGGGATTGTTTTCTAAAGGGCCCAGAATGGAGTCCGAGCACATTTCTGTGGATATTCTTAGCTTCCAGTTTGGTCTTGAGCACCCCTGTTTCAGCTTTTACTCACTATATGGAGAATTTCTACCATATCTGGCTGCAATTTCACACCTGTCAATTCAATGTGACAAAACAGGAGACCATGTCAGACCCTCACAACAGCATATGCCTTTAAGTTCCCAAGCAGTTTTTTTTTAATGTCAGATTTATAATTCTCCTGAATTTCTACTAGCATATCCTCTCCATCCCTCCCCCCAACATCTGCAGAACATCCATGACAAAACAAAACAAAACCCAATCCTGACGAATTGTGACTTTCCTCTACAAGATAAATACTTTTTTCCTCCTCCTTAACTGAGGGATGGGACAAGAGATAATTTGCCTGATTCATACTGGAAGCAGGAAAATTTCCTTTGGTGTCTCAGACTTAAACAGGTCTGTACATGTTTGGTTTTGTTTGGAGATCAGTATTTAATTTAGAAATGGCTTGAGAGCTGAGATTTCTAATATCTCTTAGGCTAATAAAGTAAGGATCTCATATGGCTTAAGAAAGGCCCAGTTACAGTATCTCTTTTCAATTCATCTGGTGCATGAAAAGCTACTGCATTTGCATTAAAAGCTGAAAAGTTTTCAGCTGCAAAAGCCTGCAAGGTAGAGGAGGACATAGGCTCCCTAAACCTTTACAATATTCAAGTGCAATTTGAGGAGGACAAAAAAGCAGCGAGATGAGTCTTTCCTTTTATGGGGGTAGGAAGGCTTCTAACTTGGCAGAGCAGATTCATTTTGAAAAAGAAGACTCCCTCGGTTTAAATCCCAATTTCTAAATCTCTCTTGGGAGATGAAGGCTTTCCCTGTGTGCCTTTCACAATCAAACTGTTGGTTATAGCCTCTCCCCTCCATGGCTTTGAAATCCTCTCCTATTCATATGGTCACAACGAGACAGCCCTGGAGCGAGGATGGCAATCGCTTCCTGGGCTCTGTGCTGGCTGGATTCCACTGGGCGGAAGGGCTTCCAGCATTAGGCAGGGCTGCCCTGGGATTCACAAATGCCCACCACTTGGCGGAACAAGAGCCCCACGCAATCTCCCTGTCCCCAGATAGCCTCTTGCTACATTAATTGCATCATTGATGCATTAAAAAAAATTAAGTGGCCTTTTTATTCTAAGGCAACCGTTTGAAGGAGAAACATTTAAGACTAGCCTTTGTGACTATAACTGATAACACTCCTTTTATTTTACTTAACAGTTGTGGTCTCTCTGAACAAGGAGAGGCACGTCTAGTGTGTTTGTACTCTCTTTTTCTAGTGCATTTGCTAGAAAAGAACTCCACAAGATTGCTTTGCCCCAAAAAAGTCTTAAAAGAACAAGGCTAACTCTAATGGAATCAATCCTCTATTTGATTGGTCCCCAAAACGTTGATAGCCTTTGTATAAAGGGATAGTTTGACTTTTTGGTTAAAAAAACCACAAAATACCTCACATGATCACTTCATTTCCACTAAGAGTTAATGAACAGCCACTGAATTAATTTGCCCTGTCCAGCTAACAGCTGCAGCCAGAGCCCTAAGCTCCTAATGCAAAGAGACAAATGAATTTGACTAGGGTGCACGCACCTGCACATCTTCCCAACCTGTACAGAGTGCATCCAGGTGCTCCCTGACAAATGACCCGGGGCCTACTAAGCCCGGGGACATCTTCTTTGGATTAGTCTGTAGTGACCTGGGAAATTCCCACCCCTGTGTGAAGATTTCACATTTGCTTTCCGCAGGCAGACAGGGGACAGTGCCTTGTATGTGTGATCCCTGACAGGCAGGACAAATGTAAAAATGGCTGTGAGAGCCAGGATGAGCGAGATCAAGAATGATAAGGAGTTCCAGCCCGCCTGTAAGGAGGCATAGGGGGAACTGACCTGGAAGATGAGCACTTTGAAATGGTTGCGTCGGAGGAGCTGGGCGTGGTTGTTCTCCAGCCGCTTCACCTGTGCGCACTGCCTATCCATGCGCTCTTTGACCGCGCGCGTGTGGGCGCTGACCTTGCGGGACTTCTCCAGCAGCTTGCTCACCGTGTTGCTGGTGGAGGCCTGGTACTTGGAGAGCTTGGTGAGGTCATTCTGGATGCCCTTCACGGAGCCCTCCAAACTGATCTGTCGCTGCTCCATCTTGTGCTGGTTCTCCTGCACAGCGTCTAGCATGTTCACCAGCTTGTCCAGGAGCGTGAGCACCGTGACTGCGTTCACCTGTGAGTTGTCCCGGATGGCCTCCTCTGTGTTCCCTAGGTTCAGGCTGGGGCTTGGTGTGGAGGAAGGCATCGGGCTGGGGCTCGAGGGCTTTTCCTGCCGCATGTCAGACCCAGGGTGCTGGAACTTTTCGGCCTGTGCAGCGTCCTCTCCCATGGCTAGGCAGGTGGGAACGTTCTTTCTCTCTGGGAGCTGCTTCTTGCTCGGGTGAGAAGTTGCGGTGGTGAGGGTGTAGGATGAGGCCCGCTGGTTGGAGCTCAGGGCACCAGTCTCCAGGACTGGCAGAGGTTCAGACAGGCAACAACTGGCTACGCTGATCAGGGGAACTGCATTCCAGCTGCTCTTAAAGGCCCTACTCCACCCAGTGGGAGGAGAAGTTTACAGAACTGAGAACCATTTAGGGTTCAGACGTATGCACACACTTCCTAACCGCGTTCTGGGCACAGGACACTTTGTTGCAGGTTTAGCTTTTCTTTCCTGTTCCCCTTCCCTTTCAATGTCATATTTCAATCATGACTTCATCTAGAGGCGGAGAAAAACATGCTAACTTGGCCCAGCTCCACAGCTTCCAATTGGCTAAAGCTGGTAAACTTTTCTCTGGCTGCTATGCTGCAGATGCAACAGGGTGCCTGTTTCTTTTTCCTGGATACAAGTTATTGTAACGGAAAGTATTGTTTGCATTTGCCCTAGAACTGACTGATGGGTTGCAGAACACCGGGTGTCCTACTGGGAGGCATAGAGTTTAAAGGGTACTGCAGCCAAGTTTGTATTATTAGTTTCTCATTTGCAAAGGAATGGGACTAACTCTGATAATGATAAGGAAAACAGCTCAGTTCTTATTACTCTTGCAGTTGCAGATACAAAATAAGTTAAAAGAGATTGAACTTCAGGGATATTTAAAAAAAGTAATACTGCTGTTATGACTGTTATGTAATATATGGAAACTTTTTGAATGACCACATTTAAAAAAATGATTGTTTTTTTCAAGAAGTGAGACTGAGGAAAAATAAAATGTGGTCTTTTTAAGAACCTACCGTGATGATTTGTTTTAACTAACTTTGAGTTGGTGAGGAGAGACTTTCTCAAATGCCCATCTCTGCAAGGCATTTATTGACACGTGCCCAGAAGTGTCTGTTGGCAGGCTGAGTTGGAGTTTCTCAAGTGGTTCTAATGTTTGACATTTTAAAATTCCTGCTCAGTGAAGTGGCACACCTGTTCTCAAATGTGGCCCTCCTCAGCTGAACCTTGGGATGTGGGGCTTATTTTCCTAAAATGGCTTTACATGCTTGAGTTGATTTTAAACGTATCCAGCCTTTGAAAGTGCTTTCAGCAGGAAGTTTGTAATAGGCCTTCTATGAACAATTTTGAGACGAACAAATGCCAGCTCATACCAGGTCAGGGATTGATAATGGAACAATGCCATTCGTCAATAGTAACACCTACATGTAAGCCAATCAATCAGCAGGCCATTGGTTATCACGTTGGTTGAATCTCTGCCTTCTGCTATATGCATGAAGCACTATCCAGAAGACATTGGCAAAGCATGACGGAGACCCTGCTCTCAATGAGTATAGCTGCCAGTTAGGAAGATGAACTAAAGATATTTACAGAGGCCTTCAATTTCTTCAGATAATTGGTGCCACCAAAACCCACTTAAAGCAAATGCTTTAAAAATAGAGACCAAAAAAGGTGAAAAGAAGGTTTGGTTGAGATGTTATCTTTTAAAAAAGTAAGAACATTATTAAAATTAATTTACCTTATATTTAATAAAATTTAGTTGGTCAAAAATGTGTTAAATATTAGAATAAAGGATGAATCAAGTGTTGATTTTAAGAAGCATAATTTTCTAACAAAATTATATGATATCATGACACGACGTCCTTTTACATTTGACTTTTGTGGGCAAATCATAGAGTGTCACTATTTCAAAAATATTTGAGGGCTTCATCAATTTTCCAAGAGCCTCTCTTAAATTTTGACATTCAAATCATTTCTTTTTGAAGCACTTATTGTGCCATCATCCATGTAGATTTGTTCTTCTTCAAATGTTAATGTTAACTATTCCAGCTGCAGATTCTCATTTGTCAGAGGAGTTGCCCATGATTCAAGGGCTTCTCTAACATTACCTTCATCAACTTCATGATTTCCTACATATTTTGCAAAATTTGCGATTTCACATTATAATCACTTCACCCTGATTTTGCATTGATTTGCGCTGATTTTGCATTGCATTGTTGGATATTGTATAATCAGCTAGATGAATAGAGACATTAAAGAGATGGGGTGTGAGGTGGTAAAAGGAAAGAGGCTAGTTGTTAAATAGAAAGAAAGGTTTGCGTGTGGGCTTATTTATTTTTAAAATATATATTTTGAATAACACAAGTAATATCAGTCATCTATTGCTGTGTAACATACCAGCATGAAACTCAGTGGCTTAAAATAACGTTTTATTTACTCATGATTCTGTGGTTGGCTAGTCAGGGCTCAACTAGAATGGATTATTTCTGCTAGGCATATGCATTCATCTGTAGTTTGAGCTGAGGAATCTGAGATGGACTCATTCACGTGTCTGCCTCCTCAGCTGGGGCAACTAGGATATTGGGATTTCTCTCTTTTCCATTTTTCAGCCTCTGGGGCCTCTCCATCTGATCTCTCTAGTAGGGAAGTCAAACTTTTTTTACATGGTACTTCAGGGTTCTAAGAGAGTAGAAGCAAAGCTGCAGGGTGTCTTAAGGCTGCAGGGTATCTCTGGAACTCTCCCCTTGTCACTTCTACATTCTGTGTTCCAAGTAGGTCACAGGCCAAGATCAGATTCAAGGGGTGGAAATAGACTCCACCTCTTTAAGAGAGAGAAGCAGTAATGTCCCATGACAAAAGGGTGAGCCGCTTGGGAGAGACTGTTGTAGTCACCTTTGAAAACAATCACCACGTGAATAGATTGTTCTTTTAAAAGGCTATCACAGATAAAGTGGAGCCCCTTTTGATCACCATTTCCATTTTATTCCCTTCCCTCTCTTGTCAGGTAATCATTTTAATGAATTTGGCATATATCCTTTAAAAATTATATTTAAAAGTGATCAGTTCATTAGTGAATAGTTTCATGCTGTGATGCAATTTGTTTTGTTGGACAACCTTACAATCAGGGGAGCTAGAAGGAGCTATGTAATGGGAACATACAAGATGGCCTGAAACTAAGTAATAGACTACCCTGAGCAGCCAGACTTACCATTTAGTTGTCCTAAATTAAGTCTTCTTTCTGTCTGAGAGAAATCAGTGAATTTCAGCGGTCAGTTCTTAAAAGAAATGCTTAAAATAATTAATTCTACCTACCACATATTATGAAGTTTCTTGGAAATTAGGTAGTGGAGTTTAGACTTGATACAGTGACAGGCTGGGGAGGTTTTTGAACACGTGAAGGTGATGTGTTTAAGAAGAATCTGTACAGCAATAAGATGTAGAGATGGGTCACTTGGCTGGTGGGAAATAAGTGCTAGGCACTGGGGATGCAAAGATGAATGGTGTGTATTTGTTACCCTTTAAAATCTCCCACCTTAGGAGGATAGGTAGGTAGACAAATCCTAGGGATAGAGGTACAGGTGTGGGCACAGAGAGGGAATGATTAGCTCTGCTGGAGTCTAGGACCATGAAGGCTTTAGTCATGACAGGGTATGGTTAGGACTCAGAATCCTCCAGCTGATCACCAGCTCCCCCGAACACCAGTTAACCTCAGAGGTTTAAGTCACAGAAGCACAGAAGTCATTCCAGGAAAATACCTACTTTATTATCAGTTAAGGAATTGGTCCCAATTTCTATGTGGTTTCCTATTCTGAACCACTAGCCCATAATTCCTAGACCAGAGGCAGCTCAGTGGTCTCTTTTGTTGACCTTTTCCATGTAGGTCCATAAAGTAATCTGGGCACTCTTGGTCTGACAGCAATAGGAGACCTGGAATGAGGATCCCACAGAAAAGAAAGCCCTTTGCCCCAGTGGCTAAAGAAACAAAGAAAGCTAAGCAGGCTACTCCATATATATTTTCCCCTGTCCTCTATGTTGGAGTTTGAAAGCCTTTCAAAGGGTGGGTTTCCTCTTGAACAGGAGGCAGTCCTAGGGTTGTATATTCACCATATGGAAAGAAAGAAAAACCATGTGATGACACATCCACGTGTTTTATGTCATCGAGTTTTGGGGTGATTTTTTAATGCAACAGTAGATAACTGGGAACTGTAGTTTGCAATGACAGTGTAATTCTAAAATAATTATTGTTAATAGTCTAGGTTTGTTCCTAGAACCCCTCTATCTAATATGTTTTATGCATACTACTGTTTCCAAAACTTAACTGCTAAGGTAGTGTTATAAAGCAAAATAAAGGACTTTGTGTGATTATTCTCACCTTAAGAAAAACTTAACACTGGGTTTAATACCAAAAGGTGGTAGGAAAAAAGCATATTACCAGGATAAAATGCATTATGCAGAAAGGAAGGTGGAGTTGAAAGATCATCTGACCCTATCTGGGCGAACTCTATATCGAGTCATTGAATCCTGCAGTGGGTGTGGATAGAAAGTGAGGGTGCAGTTTGCAGAATGCCTGAACGTCTTGCCTTATCTTTTTCTACGGCAGTGAAGAGGAATCAAGTGTTTACTTTCACTAGAAATATTAATGATGAAAAGCACATGATTATATGATTCGAATCTCTTCCAACCAAAGTCCTTGTGTATCAATGATGTCAGTAAGAAGTAGAGAAATGTATAAGGAAATCCTACATAAATGAGTGATGAAGCATAAATAATGTATAGTGTTTACATATAAGGTAAATTTTACCCACTTCCCATGTGCTGTCATTTAGGAACTCCAAGATTTTAGAAAACTCTAGAGGAGCTTACATTCTCAAGGCCTTCTCTGGCTCTTGGGTTTAAATAAGTGTTTCTCTATGTGCCATATCTGTACTTCTCCATAACTGCCCGGTTGTAAACTCCAACCCCTTCTTTAAGTATCATACAATCCACTCACATAAAGTATTTCTAAGTGGAGTAGATGTTAATGAAGTTTTAGAGTCACAGTTAGGAAGATTTCTGACATCTTGCTGGTTTTTCTCCTCCTAGTTTTCTTTCTTCTGTTTTCTCCTTACCTCCATCCACTCTCTGTATCATGAAAAGAAATATTACTCAAACACTGGACATTAGGTTTTATGTTCTACCCCAAGAAGATATGTTATTATTATCATAAAAGAAAGTTTTCTCCCTTTCTAAGAAGAATTCTGGTGCTCTGGTGCCAGTTAACTCTTTTTTACTTTTTTTTTTGTTTTTGTCAAGAACACAGGTAGGAAGACACATTAGAACATTGTTCCTTCATAAGTCATTCATTTAACAAATATTATTGAGTAAATATTAAGTGCTAGGAATACAGCAGTGAACAAGAGACAAAGCCCCTGTTCTTATGGAGCATATATTTTTGGCAGGGGGAGGGGTGTGAGATTGGAAACAGATAATAAATAAAACACAATGTAATATCAGATAATGATAAACACTAGGAAGAAAACTAAAGCAGACTAAGCGGCCTGAGAGTGATGAGGATGCTATCTTAGGGTGGTCAAGGAAGTCCTCTTTGAACCAGGACCATTTAAGCAGAGATATGTTGCAGGAATCTGGATGAGAGGAAAGGGCTTTCTTCTGTAGCAATTTGTCGTTTTTAACATGGTGATATAGTTTTAGTTGGGCACATGGGCATCCAGCTAAAGACAACACTTCCCAACCTTTCTTTGAGCTGGGTGTGGACGTTTTACTGACTTCTGTTCAATAGATGTGAAAAGTGATATGGGCCCCTTCCAAATGCTGCCCTTCAAATAATTAGTTGTGTGCCCTGTTGATTCTTACCTTCTTTTCCCCGTATTTCTTTTTTTTTTTTTTTTTTTAAGGAGATGTCAAAAGCTGACTGTCGACACAGAAATAGAAACCATTGACTTAATGATTGAAGATGGCAGCTCTTCCTGCTCTCTCACTCTTGTCCCCTTACCTCTCTCTCCCGCCACCTTTTCTCATTGCCCTTGGTCAACAGAGTAACAGTTAAGAGCATGGACTCTCAAACCAGATTTCCCAGTTTCTGATTCCAGCAAGGTTGTATGACCTTGGACAAATTGCTTTTCCTTTGTAGGCCCCAGGTTCTTATTATAAAATGAGGATAATGATAATTCTTACTATTATGGGTTGTTACAGAGATTAAATGAGTTAATATTTGTGAAATATTTGGACCAGTGCCTGGAACAGGTAAGCAGCACATGTGTTAAATACATAAATTAAATAAAAACCCTTACTAATATAACTATTTAGTTCAGCCTCATGGCTTTGAAGGTGTGACTTTATTTCTTTTCAAAAATATGTTGATATCTTGTATTGCATATGCCATAGTAAAAATTAATGCCTCTTCTGCTGTCTCTATCTGCCCTGTTCATTCACTCAGTACTGTGTGGCGTACCTTAGGGAAATATATGGGAGTGCCTTGGCCTTTCTTACACATAAGTTAATCAACTGCCTTAAGTGAATTGCTATATGCTCAGCACAGACTTAGACTTTCAGACAATATGAAATAAATATAAATCAACATCTTCATCCTGGAGAGGTTCAGAGTCTTACAGGAAGAGCAAGATTTACGCACAAGAAACAGTTAGAAGACAATACAAGGCAATACCTGATGAAGTGTTGAATTTGTCCTTTTTTAGTTTCAGGAAACACTTAATATCACAATAACCCTTAGTTTTTGTTTTTCATTGCAGACCCCTAAAGCAAACAGGAATTGAGGCAAAGAGCTTTAAATTAAAAGGATAATTTAGTAATAATGCTTTTCTTATAATACAGCATTTTTCATATATGATGTCTTGAGATACTGTAAAACCTTGGAAAATAATGCTTGAAGGAAATGGGTGGGTATCTATTGTTTTTCCATGACCAAATTGATGCTTAGGGGAAGTCTAGGGCTCTGCAAAGAACAGCAAGATGAGCAGATAGATATAATATGCTCTTCCTTCCCCGGCTAGAGGCAGCGTTTCCACCCTTTTCCTCAGTTTTCCTTTCCCTGTCTCGTGACACCTAACTGCTGTTTATTGAATCTTAAATCTCTCCCATGAAGGCGATTTTAGAGATTCCTTTGGTCACGTTTCAGCGTTTAATAAGCCTTATTTTGAAATTGTTAGTTTTGAGGTCTATCTTGTGAATTTGTTCTTTGAAGTTTCATGATAGATGGATGTCAAGAAGTCATAAAATTCTGTCCTCTATTAAAGCAAACAAACAAGCCCATAAAAGCCAAGGACAACAACGGAAATGTGTTACCCTGTCTGAAAAGAAAGTTATATTAATTTGAAAGCTTTAGAGAAGGAAATTCTAAAACCATTTTGCTAACCAAGTCTGTTATATGTCAGGAAGTTCTTCATAAATGATTTAAATCCTTATCATAGCAACATAAAACCATTTCCTCTCATTCTGCTGTTTTTTGAGTTAATGAATAGTCATATAATGTATTTTTATGAACTACCTATTGTCATTTTTCTGTAATTACTACATATTCATATTAAAATTTAGGATTCCTGGTTAAATCAAGGCTATCTGGATAGAACCCACTGCTTATAAATAACTTTGTATCAAAAATATTTTGGCAATGCAACTTGATTCAGCAATAAAATATTTTTGTAGGTGAATAATGGTGGCAGCTAGAAGCATTTGCCTGGTGGTTTACACTTAGGAAGTACTTGAACTATCTTGAATTATCTCTGAATGCTAAAAATGTGTGATTCCAAATTCCTTTCCCTCTGGCCTCACATTTGTTGGCTTCAAAGAACTATTGTCTTAGTGGAAGCTATGGCTCTATTCCAGTTGAAAAAATAAATAAATATTGAGCGAGCCAGAAATCCAGGTAACAAGCAGAGGTGACAAGAGCAGAGGGAATAAGGGTTTGGCTGACTGTCCTCATGTACCTGACTGCTTCATTAAAACATATTTTCAGTATCTCCTCCTAAAACAATTATGGGCTGTTGCACAGGCACAGTCATCATATCAGGGCTGATTAACACAAAACATGATGGAATTTATTATAATGTGAAAGGAATTTCGTGTCTTTGGGGCTTACTTTCCTCATTTGTAAAACTGGTCTCTGATTTCGGAGGCCTTTTCCAGTGATATTATTTTATAATTTAATGAACACTTTAACACATTTTTTTGCAGAGTAATTTTGTTAGTATTGTCTCGCATTCTCAACTTTAAAAACAGAAACAATACAGCATTTTTTGGTCACTAGATTTCACCTCTTCTCACAGTCGAGGTAGTTTGACAAAGTGTAGTGTTTCAGTGGACTGAGAAATCAAAAGACCTGAACTAGATTTTTGGCTCTGACACTAACTGGATGACATTGAACACTCAACCTTGTGGGCACTGGCTTTCCTTATTTATAACATGAATGGTTTCACTGTATGATCTAATTCAATTCAACAAACAGTTATTAATTGCTTCCTGAGTTTAAGACCTTTGAATAGGACATAAGGGTGAAGTTGGGGAAAATACAAATTAAAAGCATGGAGAAAGAAACTGTTAATGAAATATGCGGCCAGTGAGAGAAAAGGACAGAGTTAAGCATTACAATAGAAAAAAACCAAAGTTCTAGGAGCACAAAGGAGGCAATGAATACATTTCGAAGTTTTCAAGTATTATGAAAGATAATGTTAACCTATAATGGAAGAGCCCTTCAGGGAAAGATGTATTTGGCCTGCATTTTGGACACCGTAGCTAGCGGATATAGTTCATTGCAGCAGCTACTTAGAGCCACAATCTACTATGGTGATTAGGCATGTCCATCTCTCGCTGCTAATTTCACTCCTCTGCAGGGTGTAAGAGAAATGAAAACGTGGGAAGATAGAGTTTTTCCAGTTCAGGGATTGACCTTTAAAGGAATCAGGGCAGAGAGAGGGTTATGTCAGTAGAGTAAATGAGTGTAAATATCCCTGACATAAGATTGAACTAATTAAGTTTAAATGGGAGGGAGCCTGATCTAAATTAGAGAAAAATATTATCTAAATTATAGGATCTTTCTTTCAAAAAATGCAATGTAATTATATTATTTTCAAGTATATGTGGTAAGTTGAACTAATTGCTAGAAAAACATTTCTAAGTTTAAGTGCTATTGGAATCTTCTTTTAATGAATAGATAAATTTGGATTCATGCGGACTATCCTTTGGAATGCATATAATTTATGTGTTAATATGTTTGAAACAAAATGGCTAATCAAGCTCTTTAAATTTTGTTCATGCTGCTAATTTGTTTAGTGACCCCCTTTATATAAATAGTTCAGAGGTAAACTCAAGTCCAATATGGTTCTAATTTTCAAAAGTTCGTTACGAATTAGTGGAGTCTGAATGAATGCTGTCTCACTCAGGTTCTTATGTGCTAGAAATGGTGCAACTTGTTGACAATCAGATCTGGCACTGTTATCCCTAAAAAGCTGTCGATAAAATCAAATCATAAAGGGAGACCAGCTAACTGCTTCAGGCTGTCATATACCATGTCATAGTAAGGGACATGACTGATGAGGTTCTGGAGGCTCTTTTTGGACACAAATATATTGATAGCAGTTGGAAGATGGAAGTAAAACAAAGTGGTCAGGAGAGTTCCTCACAGTGTCTGTTCAAGCTTAGCTATTGTTCAGGTAGGAAGAAGGTCAGATCCAGGCAAGAATTAAGGAGAAGCCGAGATGACAAAAGTTTAAAAGAAATCCTGAAAGAGGAAGCAGTCTGGATGCAGGAGCAGGCAGAAGCAAGGAGATACCGGGTGGTTTTCTTGAAGAGCATTCAAAACATGGGAAACGCCATGTGAAATTCTGGGGTCAGCTTTTTGAGCTAATCACACTGGTATTCATAATGGCAGGAACTGTTGTGAGCTGATCTTTGACTCTGCCTCCCAGAGTCACATGGTCTAAAATACCCAAATCTCCAGTATGTAGGTCCAGAAATGTAATCTTATCCGCTCATTCTTAGATAATATTTGGGGAAAATTAACTCACTCTACTGAAACTCACAGGAGAGAAATATATGAATCCAAGTATCTGTGTATTAATTAATAAAAAGAGAGCTAATTGGTATAACAAAGCACAGTGGCCATTTTGGAAGCCTAGTAAATGCTAAGATGGCATAAAAGAAGATTGATATTCCCGAGAAATGTTTTATTGAGTTGTGGGTAACTATATGTACTGATCTTTCATATTTTGGGTACATTATGCCTTGCCATGGGGGGTTTCATGAATCTGTAGAGAAATGAAAAAAATAAGGGCAATACAGTGGACTTACCATAAAACTAAATGTATTTAATTTAGAAGAATGTGCTTTATTTTTGATTATGTCATTGTTATTACTGATGTCAAAATGTTGATTTTAAGACATTATAGTACAATTTTTTTTAAATTACTTTTAACTTTACAGAATAAGAATACTGGCGACCCTATCAGGTCCCAATTTTTCCTTTTTTGGAGTGTGATTTGATTTATGGTTTCATGAAATCCCAAAGTCTGAGAACCCCTGGCTTAGAAAACTTCAATAAGATTTGTCTACCAATGGTTTTCATTTATTCATCCACAGAGTGAAATGCATTATCATATCAAAAAGTACATGCACACTCAGACATACATGAATATGTAAATATTTATAATAGAAACAGAAGTTTCACAAAACAATACTTAATCTTACCTCATTCAGTGTACTCTGATCTATTTCATTTTACTTGTTAAAAATGTCAGTTGCTATCCAATAATTTGATTTCATGACCTACTAATGAGTCACAACCCACAATTTGAAAAACACTGTTGTAGACCCAGAGTCCTCTCTTCCCAGGACGTAGCTGAATAAACACTGACAGGTGTTTCCTTTTTGGATCTCCTTTTCTAGATTCCACACAGACCATATCCCTTCTGGTGCACATTTGTTGCCCTGGATAGGTTACAATACAATTGATTAAATACAAACTTTCTATATGTTAGCTGTAATTCCGCCCTTAGGATACACCCTTGTCACCTTATTTAGTTTGAGAAATATTCTCTACTTTGTTTGGATTTAGAAGTCACTTTGGTCTTATTTTTACAAAACAAGGAAGTCCCCTGGTCTTATTAGCCCCACTTTTACAAAATACTTATTACAATAGGTTATAATGTAGACAAGCAATTTGCACTCATTTTAATTAATTTTTTTTAGCCTCAATTGCAGAGCATAACATTTTAGTTACTAATCAAATTTGAGATTTGGGTAGGGACGGGAGAGAACATCTTACTCCAGCCCTGGCCACTGGCCAAGCAATGGAAGATAACTAGACAGTCCAGAGGAAAAGAAAAAAGGCAACTAAAATGAATTACATTAATGATGACGTTAAAATGTCCAAATGTACGTTACATAGTTTAGCTATGTAAACTTGACACCAGAGTAATGAGGAACAGAATATATGCTATGTATGTTTTGGAGTAAGTATTATTTTATTTTGGATCATAGGTTTGATACCAGTGCAGCAGTGTCATGTGCTGGTTGAGTGTGGGCTGTGGTGCCAGACTGTCTGGGAAAAGGTCCATGTATTGAGGCCCCATTTTAGGATAAAGGGACTAAGCCTTACAAGGGTTAAGTGACCTTGTGCAAGTCTCTTAACCTCTCTGAGATTTAGCTATAAAATGAGTTATAAAATGAGAAACATTAAGAGTACCTACTTCATGGGGTTGGTCTGAGGGTTAAATTAGTTCTACATGTAATGTGCTTGGTCTAATGCCTTTCGTGTGGTTAAAAACTCAGTGCATTTTAGTCGTCATTGCAATCATCTTACAGCTAGTGGTTCACAGGCTGGGATTTAGAGTCAGTTACCTAGATTCGAGTTCCAGCTTATTATTCTAGTTGTATAATATTGAGAAAATTACTTAATCTTTTGAAGCCTCACTTTTCTTATTAAATAAAACTGTGCTAATAATAATACCTATTGTGGTGTTAATGTTTTGTGGATTTGATGACACCACAGAGTGCCTATTACATACAGCTCAATAAATACTAGTCAGCTAGCCAAAATTACCTATGCTACCTCATTTTGCATGTATTCACTTCATATAGTCTTTCTGCTGTATATTTCATCATTCAGATCTTGACTTATACATCAGAGGTCTTGGATAGAGTACAATTTAATTGCTGTTTATCTTTATGTCCTCCTAACAGGAGACAACATTCTACCCTAAAAGAATCAAACAAACATGAAACTTTAAATAAAGTTGCAGCATTCATTTCAATTCAATAACTGTCTTTTTGAATTTCCATTATGTGCTAAGTGTGAGTCCTATAAGACACATTTCCACCTGGCAAAGGTTGAAGAAAAGCCAAATTTAAAAGGCTACTATAATTAGAACTTTCGCTAACGGCAGTTAAACCGATTAATGTCCAATGGGACCCACTCTACTGAAACATATTTTTTAGGCAGTTATACATTTATATTAAATTAAACATTCAGTGAATAAATGAGCTTATGTATCAGTGTCTCCATGTGGTTCTTGGAGTTAATTTTGTAATGATATAGCCAGTGCCGCTGAGGGCATCTCCCTTGCTGTTTTCTCTGCCTGGAGTTCTTCCTATTCATTCTCATATGGCTGGCTTTTTTCCCTCTCATTATTCAGCTAGTCTTCCCTGACCATCCTACCTTATAGGGGTGCCATCCTCAGTCTTTCTCTCCCTGAGCACCCTGTTGCATACTCTTCACATACCACTGTGTAATTGAAATAATACTGTTTGTGAGCTGCTCTTTGCCTGTGTCACTCACTAGATCTAAAGCTCCAGGAAGGCAGGGACTTTGTCTATATTTTTCATGGTTTGTATTATGTTTCTATTATTTGTAACAAATTACCATAAACTTAGCAGTTTAAAACAACGCACAGTTATTGTCTCACAGTTTCTGTGAGTCAGGAGTCCAGGGTTAGATTTGCTGGGTTTCACTAGGGTTAGCTCAAAATTTCACCAGGCAGATATCAAGGTATTGGCTAGGCTGCAGTCTCATCTAAGACTTGGAGTCCTCTTTTGAGGTCATTCAGGATGTTGGCACATTTCAACTTCTTGTGGCTGTAGAACTAACATCCTTTTTTTCTTGCTGGCTGTAAACCAGGGTGAGGGGGAGTGCTCTCAGTTCCTGGAGACTACCCAAGGGTCTAGACATGAGACATTCTTACAACATGGCAGTTTATTTCTTCAAGGCCAGCAGGAGAGTCTCCTATCTCTAGACCCTCTTTTAGGGGTTTGCCTAATTAGGCCAAACACACCCAGGATAATCTCCTTGTCATTA
Organism: Homo sapiens; assembly: GCF_000001405.40. Classification (NCBI taxonomy): domain Eukaryota; kingdom Metazoa; phylum Chordata; class Mammalia; order Primates; family Hominidae; genus Homo; species Homo sapiens. Next base: position 191,860,091 of record NC_000002.12, read on the forward strand.
ACTCAGAGTCAACTGATTAGAGACCTTAATTACATCTGCAAAATATCTTCACCTTTGCTACTTAATGTAACGTAATCAGAGGAGTGATATCTCATCATATTCACAGGTGTCACCATACTCGAGGGGTGAGGATTATACAGGGCAGGTAGACCAGCGGTGGGGATCCTGGAGGCCACCTTATAATTCTGCCTACCCACTGTTGTAGCCCATTTAAATGACAGTAGGTATTTAAACACATATTTGTGCATGAATGAGTGAATGAATGAGTAAATGTCAATTAAATAAATAAGAACGGAGGAATCAGTGAGAAATGTAAATAAACTGTTGGTTGTGTTCAGATATATGTTTAGCATCCTATATTGAGTTCAAAACAATCTTGTGATTGGATTGTCCACTTAATTCACTTTTCTTACTGAGGGACTTGTGACTATTACACCGTGTAAAGAGGAATCAAGTAGTATTTTTTGTATTATATTAGCAAAGTTTCTGTAGTATAGTCTTGATTAATATTTCTAACCAAAGGTCTTATGCAGATGAAGTTGTTAAACCTGAGGATACTAGAATGGCTTGCACATGAAAGCCCGGTTTATCATTAGCAAATCAGGATTAATTGATATTAGAACTTGGACTTCTGCTGTCTGTCATTGGAAATTTAATATTCCACTGTTTCCTCAAAACCAGAGAGAAGGAAGGCATTTTAATTTCTAGGAGAAATAATACAAAATTAGGTTCAGAAAAATGTTTTCCTGACTGTAGCTAAGATACTACTTTGTGGAATGACCCTGTAAAGGAAATGTAGGCACTCCTATTATTTGAGATATAGGAAACTACAGGGATGGGGCAGGCATAGGATAGTGTATTAGGCTACTCTAGCTGCCATAACAAAATACTACATGCTGGGTGGCTTAAAAACAGATATTTATTTTCTCACAGTTCTGGAGGCTAGAAGTCCATGATCAAGGTGCCAGCAAATCCTGTTTCCAGGGAAGGTCTCTTCCTGACTTTTAGATGGCCTCCTTCTCACTCTGTCCTCTTGCAGCCTTTCCTTGGTGCACACACAGGGAGAAAGCTATGCTCTTTCTTCCTTTTCTCATAAGGACATCAATCCTCTTAGAATAGGACTCCACTTAAGGTTAAATGATTAGGACCTTGTTCAGCCTTATTATCCTTGTAGGCCCAATCTCCAAATACAGTCACCTTGGGGGTTAAGGCTTCAACATGTGAAGTTAGAGAGGACATAGTTCAGTCCACAATAGATAGCTTAGAGAGCTATGAGGAACAAAGGAATCTTTGAAAGGGAGCAGGTTCAGTAGGGGGAGTAGGATTTCAGGCTTTCGCATTGGATCACTTGCATTTGAATTCCAGCTTCATCTCTTGCTTGCATTAGGGGCAAATCCAATTCTTATGGGGCCTAGGACTTAGACAATTTTAGAAACCCTCTTTAAGATAGAGAATATAAAGTTAGGTACAGAGTCTTGGAAGGGGGCTTATGCAAATAAGGGCCTCAGAAGCTTAAACTTTATTAATTTCTCAGTAAGTTCACCTCTGTTTGCCATTGAGCTAAGGAAATTACTATATCTGAGCCTGTTTTCTCAATGATACAATGGAGACAATTATTTTAAATCACAGGGATGTTGAAAGGATTAAATGATCACTACCAAGCTCTCCCACCTGTCTATTATTATTGCTACCTTTATTATTATTGTCACCATCATTATTATTCAGCCCTTTCATTTTACAGATGATAAAACAGGCAAAAAACTATTATATGACTTGCCTTACATCATACAACCAGTGAGCTGGGAGGTTGGGCCAGAGTCACCCCTCCTGCCTCCTGGTCTACACTCTTTCCATGGCTCCACAGAGACAGCTTTTTGTACCCCTTTCCCGGTGTTCACATCCCTGAAGAGGATGTTGGAATAGTATCATAATCTTCACCTATAATATTTACTCTATAGCTACTAAAAAATGAAAGAGGTCTAAAAAGCAGAGTTAATTTGGTTGAATTTAAGCTTCTTTTTTATTTTTATATACATTGAATGGGGATAAGGTCAATGAAATATAAAGCCATAATCATTAAATACACATTCTCATCATTTGTGGAAATTTCCAATTGGAAAGCTTAGCTTCCATCTTCATTTGGAGGAAATGATGACTTGGAAACAAAGATGTTTCTATGTTATCTCATTGCGAGTGATTCCCAAGGTCCCATTTGTGAATTCTGTTAGGGACATTAGAAGACTTTCCTGGGAAAGGTCTGAGGAGTCAGTCCCAGGGGCTCTAGTCGGCCCCTTGGAAATATGCACCAGATGACAGAACTTGGCTCTTCGTTTCTCTCGTGGCTCCAAGTACATGAAAATTTTTTCATGTTATCTTGGCTCTGGGAAAACCTGTGTCTCAGAGCTGGTTTTTAACACTTTTAAAGTACAGTTAATGTTGATTCCAATGTACCTAAACATTTTTTTCCCTATGACCCACCACATATATTTTGGCTTGCTCATCAGGGCTTGGCAATCCAAATATGACTGGTGTTAGACCCAAAGATGCTAGTCCTTGAAATTAGTACAGTGGAGAATAAATAATATTTGACTCAGGCTTTAAATCTTTGGTCTGAGTCTGAAGGGAAAAAATACAACCCTGTAATAAACATTTTTCTAATTTCTTTCATTTTCAAATATGGCACCACTATAGAATTTTTGTGAAACCATCAAAACAAACCATGTAGCAATCTAATAGAATCTATACATGTGTATGGTGTAGACCAGCATGGGGCTTTCTGACTCTGCTACTGACAACAATAAGCATGGGTAAATTGTTTAACCTGTAATTCTTACTTATGTACAAATAATAACATGAGGTTTTTGAAGTTTCTAGAGGAAAAAATGTCACTTATCAATAAGATGGTTATGAATACTTTATGGTTGTTGTTATTATTGTTATTAATATACCTATCAGAAATAATGTTTTGTGGCTAGAAAACCAGTGCTAATGTTTGCCTGCAGGATCTTCATGCCGACACTCCTGGTTCATCCATCTACCAGATCTGCTAATTGTTAAACAGGCATGAACATATAATAAAACAGAACAATTATTAGAACTAAGGGGACAGCCAAGCACATTTGTCAAGGAGCCTGTCCATTCTCTTTTTCATCCTTCAAGGTGGGCAGTGGAGAGGCTGGTGGGCTATTCCTCTGAGCTCTGCCCCTTTGCCTGGCCTCCTGACTGCAGGCCCTCTGCTCTGCTGGTTTCTGGCAACCATACCTTTACCCTGCAGTTTCAGTCTCACATCTCTATTGGCACTGAGTCCTCCACATTCCAGTTTTTCAATCTTACTAGAGATGTCTATTGGCATCAGGGCTCAACTCATCTGTCCTATTGTTTTAATACCTTGCAATTGCTTGAGTTAAGAGAGTTATAAAAGTTATAAAAGTTTAAATTCCTAGTAGACACGAAGATGAAAACACCTGATTGTGAGGACTACCAGTCTTTTCTTCATAAACTTGTTCGGATAAAATCAAAAGATATGAAAAACGATCTCTTGGTCAGTAAAACATCAACGCAACTTTTTATATGTACATGGATCCAAATATTATCTTCTACGGAGGCTCCTCATTTAACGTCCATCACCATGTTAGTCTGTATGCTGATATTTGCTAGCAAAGGATTGTTTACTTCTTAATGTTTCTAAGCAGAATAGTGGGTCCAGCAGCAGTATTTTCTCAGAACTGGATTTGGGACAGTGATTCTCAGCCATATCATTCATTCAACAAATGTGAGCTAGGCACTGTTCTGGGTGCTTGGGATAAATCAGTTAACAAGACAGACCCTTCCCCCACCAAAAATTTCCTGCCCTTATGGTACTTATTTTCCATGTAACATACATATATAAAAATACAGGTGGATTTCTACACTACAAATATTTCAGTGTTTTGCTTTTGGGATGCAGCAGTTTGTGTTGCATAGGAAGTAGAGTTCCTCCCAAGAAAGTGAACATTATGTTGCAGGCTAGCTTTTCAAACAGGATTGGTTTTGGCAGGCTTCTCTTGAAATATGAGTGTGAGATAACTTCCATGCTTCTACAGAATACCAGTATGACACGCCTTTCATCTCTAGCAGGGTTGTGCTACTGGTGGAGAAATGCTACAGTCCCAGTGCAGGTTTGCATAAGCAAGATGTAGTCAGTGTTAGCTAGAGTCACCATGCAGGGCTTTCATTTATTTTTCTTTTGACAAGACGGAGTTCAAAAACAGCTTAAAAAAGTTCACTGTCACATTTCTACAAGTACTAACCACTGTGTCATTATTTTCAGTGGTAAGTATGAAAAGTTCAGGAGTAGACTTTAGACAAAACATAGAGAATTGATTGTCATTGCTTAGGAGAATTGGAAAGTAAATAATTACGCTTGAATTAAAAGAAAACTATTATCAAACACACACACACACACACACACACACACACCCCATGCTGATCCATGTCCTTTGTGTGTGCATATTTTAGGAACAGAGGAAACGTGAGTTGTGAGTGGGGGAAAATGTAAGGTATCCCCTCGCTTGAGAACCAGTAATCTTTTAGATGCCTCATAAATGCACAAGATGGTCCCTGGGCTGGATTTTTAAATTTCCGAATTAGCTGAAACAGTTGTAAAATCACAGGGAGCCAGACAGTTTACAATCAACTGCAAATCAAAGGAGGCTCCTCTATGTTGTTTGTTCTAGCAGGCACAGGGAATGTATTGAACTTGCGAAATGTGCTTTTCATATCCCTGTGATTACAACCTCCTACCTTTCCAACCCTCATTTTTCTCTTCTTACCCCAGAATCAGACAGAGTTAAAATCTTCAGCACCAGGAGCATCTAGGAGGCGGCTTTCAAGACAGGCTGTGATGGCTCATTGAGTGCACCTGGTCTGTGTTCCTAGTTAGATCCTACACATACCCAGTCCTGACATCAGAGCTGATTTCTGTCAGCTCTAATGTGCCTGAAAAATTTCTTTCAAGGCAGTTTCCTCTTCTAACACATCCCCGGGGAATTTCCCCTAGGGGGTGTGAGGCAACATTAGATTGTGACTATGATAAGATATTCCTGTGTTGGAAGAGTTTTGTATGAAAAGCAGCACATTACATCTGTTGTTTTCTTTATATAGGGTATATTTCACACTGAATGATACTGGAACACAACCCAGGACTCTGTCTTGACTCCCCTGCAGTCTTGTACTTCCTCCTCCTCAATGACGGCAGATCCCGAAACACTTAGTGACATATGGTAGCCTATCTGTGAAGTATGCTGAATAGTACATTTGCTTTCTGACTCTGGAGTATTGTGTTTCATTTTGGGCATCATATTTTTTAAAGGAGTATTGACAAACTGGAACTCAGCCACCAGAAATCTTTTTGGAACAAGGTAGAAAAACGTAACTACATTCATGTCTGCATAACTAGTACCTGTATAGAAAAGAGCTATACAAAATGGCGAAGAGTCCGCAAAGTGCCATAAGAAACCATTGAAAGAAACTGGAGATGTTCAGCCTAGAGGGATCAATTATTATTATTATCGTTATTATTTTTTGGAGGAGGGTAGTGGCCATGATTCAAACTTTGGAAAGGCTGTCATGTGAAAATGCAAATGATTATTTTTCTTTTTCCATGCAGTTCCAGTCAGCAGAACTAGAATCAATATGTAGGATTCATGGGTAAACAGATTTTTATTCTATATAAGGACGGTCATTCTGCTTATTAGTTGTACAATGATGGAATGTATGTCTGCAAGCAAAAGCTACAAGATCTTATGGAGAAAATTCCTGCACTGAGTAAGTAGTTGAGCCAGACCTGTAAAGATTCCGTGTAATTCAAATATTCTATAATTTTCTGAATCAGGAGTTTCTTGTTCTATTTTCATTTTGACAGAGGACGGACAAAGGCTTGAAAGTCTATTTCTTTCTTCCTACATTCCTTAGTAAGATAATCGAACCAATTACATGGCTGTAATGAAGTTGGTCTTATGTCCTTTATTTTTATTTTTTAGTTGTTTTCTCTGTTTGAGTACATAATCCTATATGAAGGAAAACTTACAACATCAACCAGTTATCCATGGCTCCTCATTATTGCCTGACCAACGTTCTAAAAATCCGAACTGAGCTTGGCCATCTTGTTACCTTCTTGTTTGCAGAGCTAACCTGTGGATTTTCCTACCTAGTATACATTCCCGTAACCTCTGGTAACAGCACCCTCATTTTTCTTTGGGAGACCCCTGCAGGCTGTTTTGATGCTTCCTCGGATAAAGAATCTTGGCCTCTCCCAGGCTAACGGATGAGAACTGACTGATGCTTGGCCAAGTGTCTCTTTCTTTGAATTTGAATGTTGAGTGCTATGACACAGGACAAAGAAAAGTTGGAGCTAATTGTTTCACTACAGCTCCAAGAAGGGAATGCCCTTCAGTTCTTGTTTCCTAGGTTCACATGCAGATGGCAAATAGATCTCACAAGTTGTGTATGTTTGTTATGTAGCCATATTGCTTGATTGTTAGATGAGGAACTTGTGTCAAGATTTGGAATGTGTGACCTTGTATGTTTTCAGTGAGAAGGGAAAATGATACATATGTGGTGTGTACAATTAACCATCTTTTGGAAAGAGATTTCCATGGGTTCATTTAACTCGAGGCCTAAGGGTGTGAGAATTCCTGCTTCCTGAAGTGTTGGAAAGTTAAGGTCAAATGCTGGGTGCGTTTCAAGTTCTGAGACAATACCAGCCGATTTCAAAGCTGGTGTTTGTGTGTGCGTGCATATGTGTGTGTACAGAACTGGGGAGGAAAAGCAGCCTCTAAAACTTTGCTTTGAAAGATGCCAAAACACTGAGCCACATATTTGTGCGAGAAAGATCTGTGTGTTTGGATGAAACCTGCCTCTTTTGTAAACACAAGGCACAGAGAGGCCTGCCTCCTCTTGCCCTGCTTTTGAACTTTTGTTCACATTAGCAGTTTCCCTCACCTTGGCTCTTGAACTTCCCTTTGTAGTGAAATTCACAAGTACTGTGAACTGGCAAGAAACTGTTGGAAAGAAAGGGTGTGCTGCACTAGATTGCATTTTTTCCTGAACACTCTGAAATATCAGGAAGTATGGAACATGAGTCATCACTTTCTGTTGGAAACTTCATGACCTTTACAGAGTAGGTCAAATTCCTCCCAAGCTGTGCTTCTTCACACCCCAGTGCATGACAGTAAAAGGGCAAATCCGAGGGAGGCAGAAGCATATTCATATTTTTTCTTGCAATCTGTTACACATTATCGTTTTTTGACATACTTTGCTTCACATGACAGTACTAATGGTGGAAACTGAGGTCAAGTGTGAGAGAAACTTGCCTGGTCTACCTGGTGTGACTGTTCAAAAACTCAGTTTGGATAAACCCAGAGCCTGCTAGGATTAGGACAGTGTTGAAGGGGAGAGCATTCCACTGAGGACTTGGGGAAATAACTGAGTAAAAGGAGAAATCCCTGAGGGAAGAAGGCCACATTCCAAACTGTGAATCCCAGCCACCTTGCAAACTAGCATTTGATATTATGTACCAGGACAAAAATAGGCAAAAGTACTGCAACAGTGTTCTGGCCAGGTGCCCCTTTGTAGAGGGTTATACAGTTCTACAACTCTGCCCTCAGGCATCACCGTTTTGACCAAGGATATCAATAGAGAAGAACCTGAATTATGAAGAAAAGTTTATGTTGCATACATTATACACTTAAGAATCCAGGAATTGAGAGTGTGGTGTAAGGGAGCAGGCTGGGAAAGGTCACTGGAAAATCAACAACTTTTTGAGTTGAAGTACTCAGCCATTTGAAGACCTTGGTCATGGAAGAACCTAGCTGTGTCAACACCCTTTTTAATTCTATTGGAATATTTCATCTTCCTAAAATCATTCAGAAACAAGAAAGTCTACACAGTAAAATTTTCTTTTATTTATTTATTTATTTATTTTGAGACAGAGTCTTGCTCTGTTGCCCAGGCTGGAGTGCAGTGGTATGATCTCAGCACACTGCAACCTCTGCCTCCCAGGTGCAAGTGATTCTCCTGCCTCAGCGCCATGTGTAGCTGGGATTACAGGCACCTGCCACCACACCGGCTAATTTCTGTATTTTTAGTAGAGATGGGATTTGGCTAGGCTGGTCTCGAATCCCTGACCTCAAGTGATCTGCCCGCCTTGGACTCCCAAAGTGCTGGGATTACAGGTGTGAGCCACTGTGCCTGGCCGTAGTAAATTTTTCTTATCTAAAACGAATACTTTTAATGCCTCTGGCCACTTTTTACTTTAACCGATTTCTTTTTGTCATTGTTTTTTAAGACAGGATCTCACTCTGTTGCCCAGGCTGGAGTGCAGTGGCATGATCTCAGCTCACTGCAACCTCTACTTCCTGGGCTCAAGCGATTCTCCTGCCTCAGCCTCCCTAGTAGCTGGAATTACAGGCATGAGCCAGTACACCTGGCTAATTTTTTGTATGTTTTTGTAGAGATGGGGTTTTGCCTTGTTGCCCATGCTGGTCTTCAATTCCTGAGCTCAAAGTGATCTGCCCACCTTGGCCTCCTAAAGTGCTGAGATTATAGGCATGAGCCACCACACCTGGCCTTAACAAATTTTAATACTAATCTTTCTACATGAATTACACATTTTGCTTTCATAAAAGATTTAGTTAAGATAATGTAGCATTTTCATTTTTCTATTTACTGTCAGATGCTTGGCTGTCACTTCTCATGGCTGCCACTATCTCTAATAGACTTTCTTCTGCTGTTTAATCTGCTGCTTTTCAATGGCCATGGCTAAAAATCCAACATGGCTAACTTTAGAAATTTATTTATATTGATAATATATGTCTTTGAACGGGGCAGAAGAACCTCTCTTGTCAATTTCCTGAACTTTAGTGAATGAGTTTGGTGACATGTGTTTCGCCTTCTTGGAGACCTTTAACCACATTTCATGGGTTTTTTTGTGTGTCCATCTTTGGTTCTCAGTGGGGTCCTAGACATTTGAAGTTGCCATATAAGTGATCCTCAGATAAGTATGAATTCATTGGACTGACTGCTCTTCAATGGTTAGAAAAAGAATCAAGCATATCTATGGCTGAGTTGGGAGTTGAAGTCAGCTGCAGCGTAGCTGGCAAAGTCATTAAAATGCAACAGCTTAATGGCTACTCACATGCTGACTTTCTGTGCAAGTGCAAAGGAGTCTTTCATGGTTAAGGTAGCTGTGTCAACATGAGGAGGGGCTGCAGGCAGCTCGTAAAGGTGTTGCTCACTGGGGATAGGCAGGAAGTGCAGTGTTTAGATGTAAACAGACAAGACAGAGAGGAGCCTTCTGCAGAGGGAGATGAGGACTCTGACTATGACCAACGGGTGGCGCTCTGAGCTGCTAATTGAGTCAGCCGTAAATCTGTGAATGACCTGTTCTTTGCAACTGTATTTATCAAGAAGTCAAGCGTCCTGTAAAATTTAGAGCATCTTGGAGGTGGGAGGAAGTATCCCTCTTACCTTGACCCCTACTTTTTTTTATCTTCTTTACATTTCCAGTGGAAACCCCACTTTTATTTTAGAATAAGAAAATTAAGCTGAGAACATGAGTCTGTGCTCTTGGATGAGGGGTCACCTAGAGTCTGTGACTCCAAAGCCGATATTTTTCCTATATGATAATGCTTTCAAATGTAAAATGTGTCTACAACCAAAGGTTTTCCACTAGAAGCAAAACTATCGCTAGTTTATGTATGTGAAAATCCTGATGTATTAGGTGATTTTTCACATTCAAGCAAAAGATGGCAGTTGATCGTCTATGGTATAATGGCCAAATGATTCAGAAAAGTTGTTTTTATCTTTTTTATCTATCAGTAGATGGCAGGAGATACCATCAAATCAAGCTATAAAAAGGGACACGAATGATGAAATTCAGTCATTGTTTCTTGTATTACCTAAAAAAAATTAGTATCCAGGGTAGTCAGTGTGCTGTTATGTGGGCACCCAGGGAGAGAGCATTTTTGAATATGGATTGGAGTTCAGTTATTAGCTTCCTCATTAATATGGCAGGCTTACGGTTGATTTAAAACAATAGTCAAATGTTGGAACTAAATTTACTTTATTTTGAAGAGACACCTGGAGAAATGATTCATCACTCATGTTGCTAAGATTAATTGGGCATTATAATTGTGTTAAGTGGATTCACACACCATGTAAGAATTCAGGAGCTTTTCCTATTTTCTTTCTGTTTTTTTTTCTCTTCAAAGAGAGAAGAGAAAAGAGTTAGGGAAATCCAGCATCATAATGGGCTTTTTCCAAGATTAATGCAAATAAAGCACTACAGTTAAAACAATACTAACAACACACAAGAATGTTTTCAACATTCCTTAATAGACTCTGGCTCCGTGAGTTAATATTTCCATATCCAAATAAAGGTCATTTTCATCAATATTAAACTTGCTTTTACATATTAGTTTTTCTGAAGTATAGAGTTCTCTGAGCAGTACTGACCACATGTTCCCTAATTTAGAGATTACAGAGAGGTGGAGTACCTGTGGAATTTTCAAGAGTTGAAATTTGCAGTCTTTGAGTGTGTGGTTCTCTTTTTATCCACTTGTCACCACTTAATAATGATATGATTCTTCTCTTTGGTACAAAGCATTTGAATCAGCTACTTTTTTTTAACTTATTTGAATTTTATATTTTGGAGAATTTTTTAGAAAAAAATCAGTCTATGTATATTTTTTCTTTTAGACAACAACTTAACTAAAAAGCATCTCTGGGGTAGCAAGAGCATTTACATGGGAATCAAGTTGAACATCAATCTTGGTTAATGCCAAGTTGGAGATCATAATAGGCATGACCCAGTGGCTCCCCAAGTGGAGGCTGTGTGCTGCAGAAAGTATTTAGCTCCTGAAAACAGAGATGGAACTGGGTTTGCTTGCAAGTGGACCCTTCCACTTTTCCTTATAAATTTCTCCACTAGAGAAAATTTTCACTCAAAAGCACATCATTTTTTCCCTCTTTAAAAAAATCCAAACTGTGGCTAGTACTAAAATATCCTATCAAAGAATACAAAAAAAAAAAAAAAAAAACCTCCCCAGTCTACGTGCTATGCCGTATGAAATTTCTACATTTGACAATCAACCTGTTACTGAGCTTAGCACTGTGCTGTTGTACTATTGGATGAAGATGCTCTTTTGAGTCAGGGTACAGAACCTCTAGGTGTGAGAAATTAGGTAGAACCAAGCAGTTCTGCAATGGGGTTCTAGGGTAGCTTGAATATTCTTGTTACAGTGGTTTTGTCATTTATTGTAAGCTATAAATTTACTACTCTTTATTTAATTTATTGTTCAGTAACATCCTGTTATACTCTGAAGTGACCATGAATTACATGGTCACTCTATTCACAGGTTGCCTGCTTCTACCCACTTCCCTTTGAAGAGAATTCACTTTCCTGTTTTGTGTACCAGTATCTACTGAGCTCAATTGCTAAGGGTGAAAGTTCATATTCTCCCCTATCTAAACTTGTTTTTATTAAAATTTGTGTAAATTCGTTCACATAGTAAATTATAAATGATTGATAAAGCTTAAGTCCTATCCCTCCTGAATGTATGTACATATTAATAGAAAACAAACTTTTAAAGGTGGCTAAATACATCTCACCTCTCATATAACTGTCAAGCATTGTAAAGGGTTTGAGACTTTGTTGTACTTGCAAGCTAACTAGTTGGCTTTCCATAGTTTCATGGATGCTGGAAGAAGATAAGAGACTTCTGGGTCAGAAATAGAGGACAATGTATTACTCAAAGCAATTCTAGTAGCCAGATATTCATTGTTTCAATTCTCACAAGGTGTTTCAAAGAGGGCCAGGTGACACCAGCACATGCAGTGGGTTGTATTACAACAGGGTAATCCAGAAACTTAGTGAACCGGAATCTATTATAATGGGCAGCAAGCATGTATACCCTTTGTTTTCAAGAGAGACACTATATATTCCAAGACTGTTCACAAAGCAAACATACTAGGTAAGATAATTGAGAATAAAGGCTGGGTGTGGTGGCTTATGCCTGTAATCCCAGCACTTTGAGAGGCTGAGGCAGGCGGATCACTTGAGCTCAGATGTTCAAAACCAGCCTGGGCAATGTGGCAAAACCCTGTCTCTACCAAAGATACAGAAAAAATTAGTTGGGCAAGGCGGCATGTGCCTGTGGTCCCAGACACTCAGGAGGCTGAGGCAGGAGGCACACCTGAGCTGGTGGCAGAGGTTGCAGTGTGGAGAGATTGTACCACTGCACTCCAGGCTGGATGACAGTGAGACTCCATACCCCTCTGCCCCCCCACCACCCCCAACAAAGAGAATAAAGACATGCAGACACAAGAGAGATCTGTAGAGATTTTTCCCCCAACAACAATTGCAAATCAATAAGAAGACTAGGATAGATCATTGTGGGAATTTGTTTTTGGCAAATTTAAAGTCATACTAAAGTCAAATGTCTACTTTGCTTATGCATGAGTCTGACTTGTTTTTAAAGTTATTCCAGAAAGTAAGTCTTCCTACTTTAAGTATGTTTTTATCAATAAATACATAACTAAGATCTTATTTTTCCCTGACAATGATAGTAATATTATCATACATGGTCATTATAGAAAATGCTGAGAAGTATAAAGAAAAATATAGAAATCACTTATAATTTCATTACTCAAGAGGTAATAGCTATTAATATATTGGCTTTTAATGCCTCTATATGTATATTTTTAATATACATAACTGAGATTATGTGATGTACTATGTAGTATCATGATAGTTTTGTTTTTTTACATACTAAAAACATTGCTTCAAGTCATGATTTTGAAATTTGAAAACATTACTTGTCTCATTTGTGATTTTAAAAATAATTGCATAATATTCTATCGTGAATATAACCATTTTCAAAACAATTTTTTCAGTGTTAGAAAATTTGCTACCAAATACTATTATGATGAATATTCTGGTACATAAATGCTTCTTAGTGCCTTTGGTTAGATTCCTATGGGAAGAATTATTGGGTTAAGTGTCTAATTTTATTATAAGTTCTTTATCTTTATTGCCTGATCACTTTCAAGAAAGATCACATCAGTTATACACATGGCACAATATTTATGACCACTTTTTTCCCCAACATTTTCATCACAATTGAATATTTTAATTAAAAAAACTTTCAATAGATATTTTTTAAAATATATTTTTTCAACTTATGATTTCTTAGATTATTAGTGAGGAGAAAATATTTTCTTCTGTTAGTTGGTCACTTGTATTTGTTGTTGTGTAAAATATCTGTTCATGTTCTTTGCACATCTTCTGGTAATGTTTTAGTATTTTTCTTAATAAGGGAAAGCTTTCCGATAACATTACATGTAACATTTTGTGTACTAGAATTTTGTGCGCTATTTCTCCAATATATTATTTATTATTAAATTATACTAATGTTATTTTTTGGTGTTTTGAACTTGAAAATTGGCCAGGCATGGTGGCTCATACCTGTAGACCTAATAATTTGGGAGGCCAAGGTGGGAGGATCACTTGAGTTCAGGAGTCCAAAACCAGCCTGGGCAATATGGTGAGACCCCATCTCAAAAAAAAAATTATCTAGTAAAATAATTAACCATTATTCATATGCTTTCTTCTACTGCTTAGAAATTCTTGTCCACCATGGTGGCAGGTGCCTGTAATCCCAGCTACTTAGGAGGCTGAGGCAGGAGAATCTCTTGAGGCAGAGGTTGCAGTGGCCTGAGATCACGCCATTGCACTCTGGCCTGGGAGAGCAATACTTCATCTCAAAAAAAAAAAAAAAAAAAGAAAGAAATTCTTGCCCACTCAGGGGTTAAATATTTACTACATTTTCACATATTTTTTTTTAATATTTAGTTTTTAAAATCTATGCTTCTAAGGGCACCTTGACAGCCAATTTCCCCAACAGTGAGTGAGCTCTACCTTGCTCAATTGTTTGTGGTGGTTTCTTGGTCATTCACTAATGTTATACATTGTAGGGTGTCTATAAAACCTAGTGTTTGAAGTATATTCTTCTTTCCCCTCAGAAATTTATTAGTGAGTGACAATCTTGCTTTGGATACAGGCTACATCTTTATGCTCATCTATTAGGGACTAGCATAGATATATTCAAAATACTTAATTTCATGTATTGATAGGAATAAATAAAATAACAATACTTACTGTAACTCCAACATATGCTCCGGAACCATAACAAAAAATATCTTCCAAAAGGTAACCAACTATTTAAGTGTCAAAACATATTATGATTTTTTTTTGGTCAGTTTCAAGTTTAAACATTTTTAATATGTTGAATTTTGGGGAAGTAAAAAAAATCGTATTCTTCCAGTGTAAAGTAACCTGCTTTAATATTCAGTTGCTACCCATTTAGAGAAGAAAATTGCTCTTCAAATAGCATAATGCATTTTTGTGTGTGTGATACTGGCAAAGGTAGGGAGGATTTAAGAAACATTTTACACTCTTTGGCAGTGGTGTTGATGGGGAGAAATAGAAAAATAAGAAAGGATTGAACTCGTTACTATTTTTTTTTTCCTTCAGCCAGATAATAAAAGGCAAAGCCCGATTTCATACAAAATCAATGGGGGTGAGTTATTTTGACAGAAATTTGCCATCCTTCACTGATCATGTGGTACTCCGGATAATAAATATTTTAAGTCAGTACATTACTGGTAATTTATTAGGTCATATGAAATAATAAAAACAATACAAAAGTCTGGAGATGAAAAAGTCTGGTGAAACAGAAGGTCTATGTAAATGTTCAATATTTTCTAGAGTTTTACTATTAATATTATATATTATTGGAAGAAAAGGAGATGTTTACTAAGTAGAGATGTGCATTTTTATTTCTTTTTAAATTGTCTCTCTCATTATTTTCCTACTAGGCTTATGCTTTTTCTCCTCTAAAAGAAGAAACTCAGAAATGCCTTTTTTTGTTTTAAGTCTGGTTTGTAGTTTTATTTCAATTTCATTTCTATTTCCTTCCAAAGCTAGGCAATACATTCACATCTCTAAGTTCAGATGTTGTTCATGAGGATCAATGCAAAAATTACTTTCTAGGCTGAATGCAGAAATACTTGGGTCTATGAAACTCATTCTCAATAAATTCAAGTTATTATTTTCAAAAAAATCCTAGTGGGTCACCAACTATTGAAGCCAGTGTTGGAGGAACACGACAGCTTACAGGATGCTTGGAATATAAGAGTAGCATGTACTCTGACCTTGGGGAGCCATAGGGGTCTTCAGACAGATCAAGAAGCATCACAAGGAACGGGTCTTTGAAACTAATATATTTCCACAACATTTTGAGGGTGATGATGATTTAGATAATTCCCCTGCCAGGTAGAGAATGAGTGACGCCATTGCAGTGGCTTTGTGGAGAGGTTGGGTCATGATCCTCACGTTGAGGAGTAAGTTGGGCGCTAGGTGCTCCTGAGAAAGCAGCTGTTCCATGTGGTTGAAGCAGAGAGGCAGGGTGGAGGCAAGGTAAAGAGCAGGACTGTAGACTCAGGTTGTCAGAGGCCCATCCTGGCTCTGCCACTCAGCTTGAAATTGTGGAAATCACTTTACCTCTCTCTATTTTAGTTTCTCATTTGTGAAGTGGGTAATAGCACCCATAAGCATTGTTCTGAGGATTAAATGAGCTCATCGTGTAATGCACACATGCATTACATGTATGTAATGTGGATGTATGTAACAGGACATGTGTATGTAGTAGGCACAGTGACTGAGCAGACTAAGACCTTGATATAAATGTTGTGAAATAAATAAAATAAACTTCTTGGGAAAGTTATGAGGGCAGGAAAGGAAGAACCAGGCACATGAGGTCTCCAGAGACCTACAAGGGCCTTAAATGGAGAATTCTGGGTTAGGAAAAGTAGAAAAAAAAATTAGTCCTTAGAAGACTCTGTTGGCTGCAACCAAAGTTTACATTCACTTGACAGAGTGATATAAAACTGTGATTATTGGAATGAAGTGACCTCTGTCTGAGTGTGGAGCATGGATGGGAACGACAATGGTAAAGCTGAGGACAGTGAGAGGGAGAGCTGGGGAGGCCATTTCTTATTTCTCTCTTTACACCCCCGATTTGCTCATGTGTTTTTAGGACACCTCAGATTCCTTTTGAAAGTAGGAGATAAAATACTTTTTTGTTAAGTAAAAAAGAAGTCCAGGTAATAAATAAAACAAGGAAATCCTGGGCAAAGGGATCATGGGCTGAAGAGGAGGAACACTGAGGTAATACTAATGCTTAGGCTGTACACTGACCAAGTGTTGGAGTGCAGCACACACCTCATCTGCAGGTATTGGGCTCAAGGAAAGGGAGTTATAGACAAATTCACCATAGTGGTAGATGAGCAGAGACTCTGAATACATCTGTGAAAACATTTTACTTTTCCTTTAAGTAGAGATGTTTTCAAAATAGTGGGTGATATGATGATATGAGATTAGATGGAAACAGAAAAGAGGAAAGGGGAGTACATGAAGAATTATTTTAATGTTGGGATGGCTTTGTCCACTGCAGCGAACATCCAGAGATGCAGTGACTACCATCTGCCACTGAAAAAGAACCATTGATGGAAGTACTATTTTCAATGATAACTCCTGGTAGCAGTAAAAACATGGTTTTAAATTAAATTTGGAATTTTCCTCCTCAATGCTGCTTCTTCAAAGACAAATGAGCCTCTTACAGTATGTCTAGTTAAATAAAATAATGGATGTGAAAGGCTTTACAAAACATTAATGTGCTATATAAATGGAATGTGTTATCATTGTGTACTGTGTACTAAAAAACATGCAGTAAAAAGATATTATTTTTGTAGACTAAATAGTCAAATATGGGCTGCATGACAGCACTGTGAAGTGAAGTCATAATTGATGAACGACTGTGCCCAGGGAGGGTTGATTTATGTGTGGATGCTAACCTGGAAGAATACTTCTGGTGCAATGTTAAAGGGTGTTTGTCTTGTTTTCTTTCTTTGCCCTTTTCTCACTTAAAGGTTTTCCAGTCAGTTGATGGCATACTTATCAAATTTAATGATAAGACTAGTATGGGGTAGGAAACTAACATATATCAACTTTAGAAAGTATATTGCTATATGAATAAACCAAGCTCAGATAGGCTAGTAACTTGCCCGAGACCACTCATTTAATAGTAGATGGTATTATGTGAGTAACCTAAGACTAGTAACTTGCCCAGTAGAGTGGCAGAGAGCTGGAATTTGAAACTAGGCAACCTGAGTCTAGAGAATGTACATCTAAACCACTTTGCTTAATTATTGATTCATTTACTTAACAAACAAACCGCTCACACTTACATGAGAGACTGATCTGAGCATTATACAACTGTTACTCACTCCTTGTAACAACCCTATGGGGTAGATACTATTATTATTTTCATTTCATTATGGCTTAGAAACTGAGGCACAAGGAAGTTAAATACTCTCCCCAAGGTCACGCAGTTAGTAAGCAGATTGAAACATAGGCAGTCGAGCTGGGGAGTCCATTCCTCTGACCATCATGTTATGCCACCTCTGCTCTATGCTGTGCTCCTTTCAATAATGTGCCCAGCTTCACACAGGTGATCCTGCCCTCTCCTTATACCCTGGGAACCAGGGAGTCTTTGAGGTTTCAAAGGAAGCAGTGAGCATCTATGATTCCGTTGATGCTCTTTTGACCTACCTTGGAGCATCCATGCCTAAAGACATCTTTTGTGATGCCACCAATTCAATCCTAGACTCTTAAATCCTCATCTTTGGTTCTTACTGCCAGATAGCATTCCCCCCTGCATAAAATACATCCTTATTCTCATTACATCTCCCCATAAAACTTTCATCAATTTGAAAATTGTAAAACGCATTCCTTTTTATGCAGACATTTAATCTATGGTTAAATGACAATTGCGCAATATATCCTCCTGCATACCCAAATACCATCCCAACTTGGCACTTTGAAAATAAATTGGCATAGGTTTCGAGGAAATAGAATATTCTCAACCATAGACTTTAGAGGATGCTTATCTGTAAAACAAATTACAGGGCACACTTTGGCTTGATCAACACATCGTACTTAAGAGAGGTTTCAGATAGAACCACCAGCTTAGCAAATGTGATTTGAATTTGTCTGTGGACAAGACACTATGTTCCTTTCTTATGTGAATGGATGAAACCAGAGCTTTCAACCTCTCAGCCTTTCAAACTCTCACTTTCAGAAACACTGAAGTTTAACATATAAAGGTGTTGTTTTTGCTTCACACTCAAATGTTAGATTTTCTGATTTCTTTTGATTGGCTCCAGGTGATGTTAAGTGCAATGAAGAAAATTATCAAAATCAATCTATCTTCAAAGACTTTCTTTGAAATTATAGGATCTGAATCAAAAGGTAAAATAACAGTATTTTTATTCAAAGTTCTCTTCCATGATTTTCATAGCTCTTGCTCTACTAAGGAGCAAGTAAAATTGGTAAAATAGATTTTTTTTCCCTCTTGAAAGGTGATTGTTAGGGCCTTGATATTTTCCAAAGAAATTCAGTATTTCTTAAGCAATCTGACTCTTGCTTACTGGATTTTTAAAGGATTTAATTACCAACTTCAACACATCAGCAAAGTGACTTACATTACGTATTAACAGTAAATGTAGTGCATGAATCATAGCCAAAGAATGCAGCTAACACTGGGAAACATAATACATA
The DNA here is from genome assembly GCF_000001405.40 of Homo sapiens. Classification (NCBI taxonomy): domain Eukaryota; kingdom Metazoa; phylum Chordata; class Mammalia; order Primates; family Hominidae; genus Homo; species Homo sapiens. The sequence goes on from NC_000002.12 coordinate 191,878,809, forward strand.
ACCAACTATAGTCATTAAAAAGTTGAAGTATTAAAGCCTGTCACCAGAGAACTTCCAAGCACTGGAAGACCAATGGTCCTGATCAAAAGTCAAATCCAGTAGAAAACTAGCATATTCTAGGAAGCAAAACAAAATCCAGAGTAATCAAAAATATAATGCTGAAGGTAATGGTTAGTCTTGCTACACAAAATGTGATTGGCAGACTGACAACATTGACTTTTACCCACGAGTTTATTAAAAATGCAGAATTTTAGGCCACACCCCAGACCCTCTGAAGCAGAATCTAATTTTTAGCAGGATCTTCAGGTGATTCATAGGCACATTAAAATTTGGAAAGCACCACTTTAAAGTATTTTTGTTAATGGTATTATGTGAATAATTGTTGTTTTCCAAAAACAGTGTCATACTCAGAGGTAATGGTCATCCTTATTTTACAATGGGGCTATCATCTTATAGTGGGAAAAAATTCTCATACTCTATTGCTTAGGAAAGATAATAACTGATATAGAATTATTTTTCCTGAAGGAGGAAAAGCAGTTATAGGGGAAGGAATAGCAGCTCATCACTTTTAGTAACAACAAATGCCAGCTTGACCTGCATTGTTATTTCACCTTGCACTTCTCATCACATTATGCTGGTGGATTCTTCTCCTTCCTTTCTTATTTTTGAGTCAGAGAAGGAAACTGACCTAGAGGTTGCTGTAGGCATTTAGAAATATGGTTTTCTTTATCAATTCTATTCGATCTGCTGCAGCAGTTCTTACCTGAGTGATTTTAAGAGTTTATCAGTCATGTGACTGTTGAGATACCCAAGCCATCATGCAAGTACCTCTCCCATGACATGATAACTTGTGTTAATAATAAAATGAAGCTGTGATAGGAGATGTGAAACATATAGAAATCAGAGTGGTACCATGAAGGCGTGAGGGAGAAGATGAGGGAGCCAGGACTAAGTGAGGAGAACTGTATCCCTAAGTCACCTGGAAGGTTGTGGAGCAAACAGATCATTAGGCAGCACTAGTGATGGGGAGAAAATGGTCATCAGTCACTCCCTGTTCTTTCTTTGCTGCCTAAAAGCACAGATAATGCCACACATTTTCTTATCTAAGGTCTTGGAGAAGGTTTATGGCAAATTTACCAGGAAAGAAGAAAAGAAGTGGCTTTTTTTTTTTTTTTTTTAATTAAGGCTTAGCATCAGTCTTTAATGCTGTCATGCAGCATTGACAAGTCACACACTTTGGTCTCATGTTGGCAGTGGCAACTTACAGTAAGTCTAAAGGTCTGAGCACCAGACTGGCCTCCAGGGAACAGACATTTGTTCCAACTCCCCCTCCCTCCCCAAGATTTCTTCAGAATTCCATTATGGCCCTATACAAAGAGCAGTGGCTGCTGGGGACAGGTTTTATTTGAGTGTACATCAACTATACATGGAATTATAAAAACATATTTATAGATGTTCCACAGTGCTCCTGTAATCAGAAGCAAAGACCCATTTATGAAAAGGGATTATATCTAGGGCTGTGCAAAATTCAAAAGGATCATATCCCTTTGAAAGAGTCCATAGTCCATGAAACAAAAAATTACCTGGGCCACTGGTAAGCCCCAGGTGTGCCAAGATTGCCTTACAGAAATGGAAAGAGTGTGACCCACAAAGTGAGGACATTCAGCTTCACTAGAGCCAGAGGTCAGGAGGGCCCCTTGATGGGTCCAGGCTCCCAGACTCTCAAGAGAGAGGTGGCTGCACTTGCTGGAGTCACTCACTGGAGGCTGGCTCCCTTGGTGCTGCTGGAAAAAGGGGTATTGCTTGTGGGCACCAGCCAGGCAGTTCTGCAGGAATAGTTTAGGTTCTCAATTTGAGATGGCCAAAGAGAAGACAGAATTCTTCAGGGGAAGAGCAAGACATGGGAGACAAATACAGAATAAGCCAAGAACTGATCATACAACAGAAACGGAGGAGCGTACAGGGTCTGGGAACCAAGACAGCGGGTCGACATTATCTACCAGCCAGAAGCAAAGGGACTCAGAGGGATCAAGTCCAGCTGCTGGTCTGCCTCTTGACCCTGGACGGGGACTGCAGGAGGAGGATGTGGGCCCATCCTGGGAGGGCTGCGGACCCAGTGGGGCAGACTGGAATGCTTTTTCCTGCTGTTCCCACTACCTGATGCCCTATTACTCCAAAACCACCGAAGTCTAGTGTATGACTTTGAAAGATTGTAATATATGCTCTGGAAAACATTCAGCAGTACAAAAGCCCTCCCTGGGCCCTCCCACCCTCTCATGGTCCACAACTGGTAGAAAGATCCAGAAATCCTTGAGCTCTGGATAGGTCCCTGGTCAGTCCTTGGGGAGCTCAGGTAGCTCAGGTAGCTTGAAAGAATCTGCTCAAGTATGGTTCTTGATGTCTGGGGAATCCTTTCGGGGAAGATCACTTCCAATTCAATAATGAGGTCCCCACGTTTCTCTGGCGTTTTGGGGAGGGGAAGGCCTTCTCCACGAACTTTTCGTCGCATGCCAGGCCTGATGGCATCTTTGAACACGACGGGAATGGTCCTGCCGTCCAGAGTGGGGACGTTCACTGTGTGCCACACAGAGCCTCCGGGAGGCTGATCCTGGAAGGATAAATGACATCAGAACCATCTCTCTTAAAGGTATTGTGTGGCTTGTCCTTTAAAACAAAGACGATATCAGCTGGAATGTTGTTGGAGGTCTGGTCTCCTTCTTTGGGGAAGGTGATCTTGGTCCCTTCTTTCCACCCCTTCTTCACTTCGATGGTCAAGATTTTGTCTTCGTTTCGAATGCTCTTTCCGTCGGGGTTTAGCCGCTTGTGGGAGATTTTCATCTTCTTGGTACATCTTCTTGGTACAACCGCTGTAGATCTCTTCAAGGGAGACTCGAAGGTCGTGGGTGACTGGGGGATCTTGCTTCTTTCGGGTGGGCTCTTGGGCAGGGCGGGAGCGGCCAAAGTTCATGTTGGTGAAGCCACCCATTCCCATAGGGAAGCCAGAGAATGGGTCAGCAATGTCCATGACTTCCTCCCCGTTCCGCTGCCCAAAAAAGGCGTCAAACGGATTTTTGCCACCGAAGAACTCAGCAAACATGGCAAGAGGCTCTCCATGGAATGTGTAGCTGAAAGAGGTAGCATTGGCACCACCGCCGCTACCGCCACTGGGGCCGCTGCCCTTTAGGGCTTCCTCCCGGTAGTGGTCGAAGATCTCGCGCTTGCGCGGGTCTCTGAGCACCTCATAGGCCTCGGCGATCTCCTTGAACTTCTCCTCGGCGCCGGGCTCCTTGTTCTTGTCTGGGTGGTAGCGCAGCGCCTGGCGGCGGTAGGCCCGCTTGATCTCCTCGTCTGACGCGCCGCGGGCCAGGCCCAGCGTCTGGTAGTAGTCTTTGCCCACGGCCCCCGCCTGCAGCCCACTGACCTGCTGTCGCCATCCCCCGGCTCCGCCACCGCCCGGTCCCGGACTCTGTATACCCATCCGGCCAGAAGTGCCTGTTATACAAAGAGATCACATTCTTTCTTTAATGGTTAATGACAGTTACAGGAGTAAAGGAGTGCAGTTGGCTTTTTAACCTTAGTTCTCATTTTAGCTGTGACTGGAGAGAACTGCAGTTTCAAAGTCCTGGGTGAGAGTGTCCACAGTGACAATGTCACTAATGCTATAGTCAAATAAGTTGCAACACCATTGCAATCACTTCTTGTCCTGCTTGCAGAGGTTGACATTATAGCTGGGACTTCAGAGGAATCGAAGTTAACTTTGATGGTTGTACATTTTGAATAATATGATTGTCAGGGTCAAACTACCATGCAGCTGTGTAAGCTACACTTTTGTAAATAAAGAAAACGTGGCCAATTCAAACTAAGAATAAGCACCCTATGAATGCTGTTTTAAACCTTTTCTTGCCCTTAGAAGATTCACATTCACAATTCACTTCTCCTTCATGCCACCATCATCTCTTTTCCGCACTGTTCTTGTCTGTCCTGTTGCTGTGGTCTTCTAACTGGACTCTCAGATTCCATGCTTACCATCTCTTGTCTATCTTTTACACAGCAGTTGTAGTATTCATCTCAAAATGTAGTTAGGTTATGCCACTTCTCTGCTCCAAAACTTCCAGAGTGTTCTTATCTCATCCAAAGGAAATCCCAAATTCTATCTCTGTCAGACAAGCCCTGAGAATGTGGCAGGACACCCTCTGCCTGGGCCAACTCTCTGGTATCCATCTCCTGCCTCCTTCACCTTTGCCCAGCCATCTAGCCTTCTTTCTCCACCCATACTAGACAGGTCTTGCCTCAGGGTCTCTGCTTGGATTATAAGTCTCAAAGATACACACTTAATTTACCCTTCACTTACTTTAGGTGTCTGCTCAAAAGTTATCTTACCAGCCAGGTGCAGTGGCTCATGCCTGTAATCACAGGACTTTGGGAAGCCAAGGCAGAAGGATGGCTTGAGCCTAGGAACTTGAGACCAGCTTGGGCAACATAGTGAGACCCTGTCTCTACAAAAAATAGAAAAATAAGCCAGACGTGGTGGCCCGTGCCTGTAGTCCCAGTTACTCGGGTGGCTGAGGCAGAAGGGAACACCTGAATCTGGGAGGTGGAGGCTGCAGTGAGCCACTATTGTGCCACTGCACTGCACTCCAGCCTGGGCGACAGAGTGAGACCCCATTTCAAAAAACAAAGTTGCTTTATTGAGGAAATTCCTCTGAACACTTCCTATAACCCCTATGCTCCAATACTTACATAATTTTAAACCATGTAATACACTATACTTTTTTTTAATGTTTGTCTTCCCCAGCTAGAATATAACCGTGAGAGTCGACATCTTGTTTTGTTCACTTCTGTCTTCTCAGTGCTCCAGAGTGCCAGACATATATTAAGAGAAGTGCTCAGTTAATATTTGTGAATAGATGATTTTCAAGGATTGTTTATGCACCTGGTACTCTGGCCATTTACTCACTCTCCTTGGCTCACAAGCACTTTTGTACCTTCTTGCTTTTGTTGAGATCCTTCCTCTGTTCCTTTCTGCTTTCTCAAAGCTGCATGTTCAAGTCTCACCTTTGCTTCAGGTCTCACCTGAAACCTTCCTTCATTCTATTCTCAAAGCTGAACATGTCTCTCCTCTGGTCCCCCCAGAACTATCCGTGTTCCCTGTGTCTCTGTTTTGCACTAGAATGATTCCTCTTCATGAACTGGAAGCTTCCAAAGGTGGAACTCTGTCTGATTTATCTTTAGCCCCTGACACCCCCATCTCCACTCCACCTCCCCCCATCCCACAGAATCTACTTCTTGTATACAAAGAAGATACTGAATGAACATTTGGTCAATAAATATTGCTGAATAGATTTACCTTACTGTGACAATATTGATTTGATGGTGCAGCACTTGGGTAAGAAATGGTAGTAGAGTGCTCTCATAATTCTGTGCTTTTTTTTCCCCACCAAATTTCCCCTGATGACTTTTTGGTTTGGTGTTTTGTGTGTGAGGGGAGTAGAAAAAAAAGTTGCTCCTGGGTGTTACCATTTCGCTTTATATTAATAAGTGCTGAAAGAGAAAACATTCATACAGAAGACAAAATACCTAATAATCAGAATGTCAGGTTGTCTGCCCAGCTGTCTCAATCCAGGTTGGGTTAGTAACTAAGGGAAAGGTTTCTATTACAGAAAATTCTGTTAGCATCCTTCACTGCCTGAAAAACTTTTTCCCCACCTTTCTGATGGAACCCTTTCCTATATCCTAGTAGGGAGAATCAAGAGCAAGAAGTAGCTGTGCTTAGAAGTAGATACCTTTTTAAAAATCTGATTTTTCTTAGCATGAGTTTTCAACTCCAAGCTGTCAAGATTCTGCATTAGAGGTTCACAGTGTACTTCTCTGTGGAACAGCTGGTCTAATTGGGCAAGTTTTGCTGTGGTGACATTAGGGCTCATTAGGCTTTCTCTTATCAGTGGTATAAGCTGTGAGATTTCCACCAAGCAGAAGGTTTAGGTTCTAAATGAGAAATATAGATTAGCATTTCACATAATGAAATAATGGACTTTAGTGTTACCTTTCTAGTGACAAAAGCAGGAACTTAAATCCATTGTAGGGTTCCTTGTTTAATCAATAAATAAACGAGAGACACAGAAGATTTATTTCTTCTGTGGCAACAAATACCATCATTTTTCTTAATTATCCTTAGGTTTGCTTTTCCTGCTTTCAGATTCTTTGCAAGTTAAAAACTGCCTACACTAAGAAAGGGACATCAGATCTCTTTTTTTTTCTCCATCTCTTTCATACATATAGAGAGTTTTGCTTTTTTGCTGCGAGTCTTATGTTTCTTAATGAAAACCCAATAAAGTCAAAGGTTTCCCAAGGTTGTCCAGGAGGCCTTAAAGGCCAGAGGATCCAGCTGAGGAGGGAAATATCAAGGCAGATGTAGGAGAGAAAACAAATAGTTTGAACTTTGGATCCACAGATGGTTATGCCTGCCAACTGTTATGAGCCAATGAATATCTGGCCTATCATTTGTCATATTTATTGCAGTACATAATGCTGTAATTTCTCATGGCATGGTTATTTATCTTGCTGTGTTCTCTGAACAGCAAAAATTGCAGCCATGTTGAAGCATATGTATACCTTTTGGGTTTCATCTTTAAATAGCAGTCATGCAAATTGGCACAGGCCTGCCCATCAAAGGACTGGGATTATAAATGTTGCAAAAGCAATGAGTTGTCAGATTATGGAAAATTCTGACAATAATTGAAACTATGCTCCCAGTCTTTTTCCTGTGTGCTTAACTACAGAGATTAAGGGAAACAGAAGCTCTCCCCTGCAGTTTGTTTTCTCTCCAAGGTGCCAGGGTGGCTTCCTAAAGTGGTGGCTTGCTAGAGTTGTGAATGCTCTATCTGGAGATCTCTCTGGAGCATGCAGAGACCTGTCCAATTTCACAGTAAGCAAATGGGCTCTGGAAAGAGGGGAGTTTGAGAATGGGAGGAAGAAGGCATGAGGTAAACTCAGTCACTGATTTCTGACAGCAGTCGTGGGGGCACTGTGACATCAAAAGGAGCAGCAGGAACACCTGTCTTTACTGGCACCTCCGCGATTGGCAGTGGTGAGTCGTGAGTAGAGGCCACACGATGCCTTGTGACAGAAGGTGTGACTCACAGGTGGGCAGAGTCTTCAGGGCACTGTTGCTCACCTGGCACATCTCGTTATCCAGGATGATCATTGGGTCCAAATGAGCCTTGGAGTTGGGGCAAATTTGCGTGCACATTGAAGCCTCAGTGGGTGGCAGATGTGAAAATGTGGGTGCCTCCCATCCATACTGGATAAGCTGCATTCATTTCCTGGGCTGTAGAAACTCACAATCTGTTGTAGGCCCCTCTGCTGTTGGTGATGAAGGGCCTGTTGGGCATTGAGACTCCTGAGAACACAGGCAACTTCAAATCTCACTTAGGCATTGGTTTTCCTCACAATGGCTTCAATCAGAAATGTTAACACTTACTATTCCAAAGGGTTCTGAGAGCGCTCTCTTCTTTCTTTCCCTGCAAGGCAATGAAATGGGCCTACAATGTTTAGCAGAAGACAGAAGAGACCCTGACATCATTCTAATTATTATTAAGGCTAACTTTAAAAGTCTGAAGTTTAAGGCATCAAAACCCTTAAGCCCTGGCTTAACCACTTTAGTCTCACCTCTTACCACCTTTCGGTTCCTAGAATGGGTGAGGGTCCCTTCTGCCTCAGGACTCTGCACAGCCAAGACCCTAAAAGGCAAGATAACTCTGGAGAAAAAAGAAGGCTCTAAAAATGTAACCCTGATGGTATAATTCTAAATTGTTCCCTTTCCTCATGAAATAAAAAGAGTGGACTCTATGGAGTCTCTAAAGTTGGCTGAGGACCAACCACTTGGGTTGTCTTAAGTTTAAAAGGCTCTGCTCAAAGAAAGAAAAGATGGGCAGATGACCTAGTACAAACATGAAATACATGCAGGAACCTGCATGAAGAGAGGCAGAAAGGTTAAGACTCAGAGAGAACAGAGACTTTTGAAAAAATACCAAAGAGGACAAGAGGCTTTTAAAATTATCTGCAGTGCTTAGTGCTTGTGGCAGTACAAGGTCAATGGACAACAACAAAAAAAGCCACTATTTTGAGTCCTCTTTTGCATCTGTCTCCTAGGTTAGACAGAATGCTTTTAAGAGTGGAAGAATAATTGGTAAGGGAACTGGAAGGCCAAGATATGTAAAAAGATCATCAGAGAGCCCTGCTCAGATATTTAAGTCTAGACACCTATGTCCACTTCCTAGGGAGACATGAATCACTCTGGATAGCACTTGAGGGAGCAGAGACATTGGGGGAAATGCAAGCAGCCCTGAATTGAATAAATGTCCCCATTTTCAAGAAAGGAGAGTATATTATTAAACAAATGATTTGTGTACATTTGAAAAGTGAGCAAAATTGGGAATGAGTACTATAGTCACGGAAGAAGGTTGCAGAGCTAAGGGAGCATAGCAGGGAGGCAAAGACAGAACTGGATTTAGTCAAATATGTGATGAGAGCAATGGGAAGGTAACATACACAAACTCTAGGATAGGCCATCTGTGCACAAAGAACAAAAATCCTTAACACGCGGCAGCAATTCAACTGTGGTTTTAGGCCTTGGTGATAGATGAGAGAATTGCGGTTCTCCTGAAGTTCCTCTAAGCAGGCCTCTTCTGCCCCTTTCAATACAGCCAGGCTTTAAAGGTGCTTTTCTAGGATATGACTCTTTACTCTTTGTCCTTCCTTCCTTTGATCATCTCTTACACCCTAACTTGAACTGATAGGTTCAGTAGAAGAGCTATTTACATTGGAAAGGCAATTAAGAATAAATTAGGAAAGGTCTAGTTAGCAGCTGTTGGAAAAGTAGCTGAAAGAAGATTTGATAAATATATGCTTCCTGGTCACCTTGGGCAAGGTAATGACTCTCATCCTTGGTTTCTCCTCTCGGAAATGGGAGCAATAGCTAGGCAGCAATCAGATGTCTCTCACTCCAGGTTCCCTGCCCATACCCTTGCTTTTCTTGGTCTGTTCTTGGGCTTTCTATTAATTTTACTTTTGGTTTATTACCTAGCACATTTCATCAGATTCATAGGCATTTTGTTTCGCGACTACTCTAAATAAACAGCAAAGTCTCTTAAATCAGTGATATGTGACAAGAAAAGAAAATGCAATAGCAATTCAGTCAGAGCATGTTTGGTCTAATTGTCTGCTGTTTAAACTATAGTAAATAATGTCAAGGTGCCCTTCTGTTTTCTGCATCTCCTCATAGCAGCTTATGCCCTATGTGATACAAATGAGAGACAGTGACTGAAAAGGGATGCAGGTTCTAGCAGGAGCTTTGCCACTAATAAGCAATGTGACTTTGGACAAATCTTTTTACATCCTGGCATTGTTTCTTCATCAGCGCAGTAAATGCGTTGATCTATCTTATCTCCCAGGTTCTTTCCAAGTCCAGAATTTTAAAGAGCCCATGATTTAACGCCAAAAACTGTATTATGGGATGAGCTGACAGCATACATAAGTGCAAGTTGATTAGGGAAATGGCATGGAATTATTTTTTAAATTGGCTTTCACAATAATAAATCATGGACTAAAGATACAGAGAAGAGAGATCATTTAATGTAAGTGTTCAAAGAAGCATAGCTTATTTTAAACAACGGTTCAAAATAACCTTTCATTCTTTGCCCTTATATTTTTCCTAATGGATGGCCTAAAATGGATACTCAGCTTGAATAGTGGCTTTCATTCAATTTTAAGTCACCCTGTCATGTTGTGTTCTGCTACTTTCTACGTTAGCTGACATTGCAAGAGGTAGCACAATGCAGAATGAAGAGATAGAAATGTGACATGGCATGTCTGAAACAATACTTGCTTTTTGCAGATCAGTTATCATTTAAAGGCTGGTATTTAGAAACATTCTTAGATAATTCAATATCTCTATGTCTCTGGTAGGAAGGATGTCAACCTGAGTTAATTTTTTTGTTTATCAGAAATGATAGGACAAGATGACATTAAAACGGTTGAAAGAAGCCATCCAGAATGCATATTAAAATAATCAAGCAAATCTTTAAGGAGCTTAGGAGTTGCTTGGATTGATTTCCTGCAACCACAGAACTAAAGAATAAGTGATAATTGTCACAGACCATTGTCCAGAATAAACCCAGATATTTCCCATTGTTATCCTTCATCCTGATATGTTACAGTTGGCTGTGACATCACAGTCTTCTGATTTTGATTGAAGTAAAATCTTGTGAAGGAAAAGTGCTCTACAGTGACTGGGGCTTAGTCATTTATTTGTTCCCTGAGTTTACTCAGGCTCACTAATTTGTAGGTACAATAGAGTCACATTATCAGTACTGTTCCAAATTTTGCAGGCTCTCACTGACACCCACTTAAACCATGTCTGTGCTCCCCTGAAATGGTCATTTCAGAGATTCTAACATATGCCTGTGAGATGTCCAGTTGGTCTTCATGTGGTTGTTCCACTCTCTCAGTCAGGCACTGGAGTCTCCTGGTGGGCACATGAGGGATGTGACAGAGCCCTCTAAGTGGCCAAGCTGCAGGATGGTTTGCAACAAAGTGGGGGATGAGGTCTTTCTCCTGTTTTGTGTGTAAATCTTTTAAGGTATATCAACATTACATTGTTGGTGTCTCTTTCTGTATGGATTTTTAATGAAATAGGACCTTGAGGTTTTACCTGAAGCCCTCTCTTTTCCTGGGTACCAGACGGGCATCCAGCAGGAGAGAATGAGAAGTAAGTGCCAGCTTGGGTTCTTTCATCAGCAACCAAGGCAGTGTTTTGGGGTCATTTTTATCTTTTAGGATGACTTTCTTTGGAAATTTCTTCATTCTCTGAAGCAAATAAACTTTAATCAGGTCTTCCTTATCAGTTTTCCTGAGATGTCCAGATAGAATTTTCTGAAATGCAGTGGCAACATAGCCTCAAGTTGGAATCTCTAAACCTGTTCATTCAACAAACATTTTCTGGGCATAGTTTTTGTGCAAAAGACTCTCTTTGCCTTTTTATTCCTCTTTTTCCTAAATAATTTTTTTTTCTTTGGAACTGGCTTAAGTAAAAGAGTTGACATTTAGGACTTCTCTTAACAGAGACTGTATTAGTCCATTCTCACACTGCTCATAAAGACATAGCTGAGACTGAGTAATTTATAAAGGAAAGATGTTTAATTGACTCATAGTTCAGCATGACTGGGGAGGCCTCAGGAAACTTACAATCATGGTGGAAAAGGAAGCAAACATGTCCTTCTTCATATGGCAGCAGAAAAGGAGAAGTGCAGAGTGAAGAGGGGAAGAGCACCTTATAAAATCATCAGATCTCATGAGAACTCTTTCACTATCACAAGAAGAGCATGGGGGAAACCACCCTCATTATTCAATTACTTTTCACTGGGTCCTTCCCATCACATGTGGGGATTATGGGAACTACGGTTCAAGATGAGATTTGGGTAGGGAAACATCCACATCACATCAGAGACTACGAAGACATTTTCAAATAAAGCACAATTAGTAAGGGATGTACTTTTGAAATGTGGGTTTCTACAGCCAGTGCTTTTATTTACACAGAGGGCCATTACTAAATGCTTTGATTTAACTGGCTGATTAGACATCTTCGTAGAGGAAGAGGAATAATTAGAAAACTGCAGAAGTATTTGAACTCTCCAGAAAAAGCCAATGATTGATCTTTTGTAATTTATTGTTGAAGTAGATCTATGTTTATCCAGGGAAAGCATGTTTGGTTGTTTTTGAATTGCCTAGCATTTTTATTGATATTTATTTTAGAATCAGAATGTTATTATAGTAAATTATTTTTCATATGTATCCCAGTACAAAATTGTTTTATTGCATTGCATATAATCATATTTTGCATGAACGGAGTATGAGATTTACTTAATATTTATTTTTGCCTGCACATTGCTACCAAAAATTACCACCATTTAAAAAGAGCTTTGTGCTTACAGCCATCCATAAATTGCATGTTAACATTAATGGACTACAATGTTGATTTAGAAATGGCTAAGTACTGACATATTTTATATAATCATTTATATAACATTCTCAATTTCAATAAAGAATGCCTGCTGTCTAATTGTGTCCCTGCAATGTATGGTAGTTCTTCATATTAATGGCAAAATATCGTTGCCCTTCATGTTTGGAAATGATGTTACTGACAAAGATCTTTAGGAATGTATCTACCAGATCAATAGGTGATCAATAGTTTTCTGTACTCCGTGTGGAAAATACCATAGTCACTACAAGCAGAGTCTAAAATTTTTTTTAGCTGTGTCTTAAAGTTGTGGGTTCCATATACAAATTATTGTATGGACTTAAATAATTAATCAAGAAATAGTCTAGTGGATATACATGTACACACAATACCTTGGTTTTTCATCTTAACAGACTTTTGTTCAAAAGGTCGTCCCACTTCTTTTTCTGTGAAGTTGTGTGGTCAACTTAAAGCATTGCCTATCTATATCCCAGTCCATGCTTTTGGCAATATCTACTGCAATATGTGAAGACTGAAACAATTAAGAACTACAGTTTATTTCTATATACTTCACCTCTTTCCCTCTCTCAGATTATTTTGGAACAAATCCCAAATCAATTCATCTGCAAATATTCCAGAGTGTATCTTAAAATAAGAATTATCTCTCTCTCACTCTCTTTTAAACATAACACAATACAATGATCAAATCTAAAAAAACAATTTAATCATCTTTCTTCTGTATCATCAATACGCATTCAGTGTCTTTGTTTCCTGCCTGGTCTTTTGTGGTCTCCAAGTCACATTTGCCTGCCCTGATGGAAGTCAGCCTCACGGTTCTGTATGAACTCAGGCTCACTCAGTGTCTCATTCAAGCATGCATCCCAAGCCTTTCTGCACCAAGGCAGACAGCACACCACTGGGCCAAACTACAATGCATCCAAAAAGTGAGGGGATAAAAGCCCAAGGATAACACTGACCTAATGGGGACAGGAGCCTGTAGAGCAGGGTTCCAGCCTCCTATCCTTCGAATAGACAATTCCTGGCAGACTGCCGCATGCTTCTCGGAGGTCCAGCAAAATCAGCCCCCTGTGCCTATAGTGGCAACCTCCCTAATGCACTTCTGTTGGCTTTTCCTCCTTTCCAGTAAGATTTTCCTTATTCCCACAGTTCTCTTTCTTGGAATTAAATCTCAAGTCCGTGAGGTATGCAAATTATGATATCCCATACTTTTAATAGTTTGAATTCAGATCCAAATAACATTGCAATATGTTGATATGCAACTGAATTCACTTTCAAAAATTGTAGCAAAATAAATATAACATGAGGTTTATCATCTTAGCCATTTGTTTTTCTCTTTTGATACAAGGTCTCACTCTGTCACCCAGGCTGGAGTGCAGTGGTATGATCACAGCTCACTGCAGCTTCGACATCCAAGGCTCAAGCGATTCTCCTGCCTCAGCCTCCTGAGTAGCTGGAACTGTAGGCATGCACACCATGCCCAGCTAATTTTTGTATTTTTTGTAGGTGGAGTTTTGTTGACCAGTCTGGTCTTGAACTCCTGGGCTCAAGTAATCTGCCTGCCTTGGCCTCCCAAATTGTTGGGACTACAGGCATGAGCCACCACACCTGGCCCTTAGCCAGTTTTAAGTGTGTAGTTCTGTGGTATTAAGCACATTCACATTGTTGTGCAATCATCACCAGCATCTGTCTCCAGAATTCTTTTCATCTTGCATAACTAAAACTCTGTATCTATCAAAATTAAAAATACTCTCCATTCTCTCAGCCCCTGGCAATGATCGTTTTACTTTCTGTTTCTATGAATTTGACTACTCTAGGTACCTATATGTAGAATCACGTGGTATTTATCTTTTCGTAACTGGCTTATTTCCCTCTGCATAATGCCCTCAAGGTTCATCCATGTTGTAGCATGGGTCATAACTTCCTTCCTTTTAAAGCTGAATAATATTCCATTGTATGTTTATACCACATTTTGCTTTTTTATTCATCCATTGATAGACATTTGGGTTGCTTCCACCTTTTGGCTATTTTGAATAAATGCTGCTATGAACATGAGTGTATCAATATCTCTTTAAGACCTTGCTTTCAATTATTTGGGTATATATCCAAAAATGCAATTGTTGGATCAGATGGCAATCACATTTTATATTCCTACTAACAGTGCACAAGGGTTTAAATTTTTCCATATTCTTATCAATACTTGTCATTTTCTGTTTGCTTTGATTTTTAAATAATGGCTATTTTAATGGATATAACTTAATTCTCTTCTGATTAGTAAATTTCTCCTCCATTGTCTTGCTTCTATCTCTGTTTTCCTCTCTTTCTCTTTTTAAAGAAACATGATTGTCCTGTTTTTCCATAATCAGGGTTTTTCTGACTATGTGCCTATACTGTCAATTTATAATGCAAAACTTATAAAAATCCTTTAATTCTGAATTTGAATGGGAAGTATCAGTGTGGTCTGGATACATGACATATTTTTGCCTTTTTCCAAATTACACACTTCCTACTTCTGTTTTCTGTAAAGGCCTAGAACAATAACCAATCCAGCAGCAAATGAGCACCACCAGCTCATAGATTAGGGTCTCTAAAACCAGGACATTTTGGAAAAGAGGCTGATTTAAGGAGCAGGAAAACAGGGCTGTCTGGGGCAGGAAATGTACAAGATAAGGAGGGAAATCTTGTCATATTTGAAAGCAAAGCTACTATCAAAGACTGTAGGAATTGTTTTAATAGGACTCTGGAGCCAATTTGAGCAGGTTGCCACTGATCAAGGATGGACTAACTTGTGCATCAGTAAAGATAATAGTTGCAATGGATTACAACATATCAAATATATTTAAATAAATGCATTCATAATGATGCTAAAAGAGAAGAGAAAAACTCATTGCTCACCTTTGAAGGATGCTATGGGTCCAGTTCATTACTTTGAGAACTGGTAAGTAAATTGATAGAATCCAGCTTTTATTCTTCTTTTCCTATGCTAAATGTACCTAAAGCAATCACATTATTAATAAGGAATGATTTCTCTTTATAAACCATTCAAGTTAATAAATGAAGAAAAACCTACTACAATAGCATTTTGCAGCTCCTACGGACTTGAAGGAGCTGGGCATTGAGCAGCAATGGCTGCTGGCATCATGAAAGGGAAGATGGCCAGACAGTACGTGCCTCTCAATGGAAGTTCACAACACCACCTCTGATGTAGTCCTGCCAAAAAAGGAACACTTGAATCATATTAAGCCTACAGACTTATCTACCAATTTGTAGGAAATATAGGAAAGGGGAATGATTATTAATATGTTTTTCCTTAATTTATTTTTCATAATCCCTGAAAAAAATAGAAATTGAACTGTGAATGGATGCATATTCATTTTGAAAACTAAACCTGAATGTCTGTAGATATTCACACAAAAGTATACAGGTGTCTGCCTAGTTCAGATTTTTGTCTTAGGAAGGGGTTAATCTTAGTGGCAAAGGAGCCATTTTTAAAGAGGTTGACACTTAACAGGATGTCTATTATTTCTTCTGACATCCTATCTTCTTATCTTGCTTTTAGTTATGTGGAGTAAGATGAAAGAAAATTGTTAACACTCCATAGCACTGTGTGCTTGGTTTTAGTAATCTCAGCTGTGATTTAGATATTGTAAATGTTTTCCTCTCTAAAAAGGGGAAAAAATGTGAGACTCAAATAAAAAGCCAACAGGGAGAGGGGCAGATAAATTGCATTCCATAGTGTTCAGTTTTGTGACTGCAAGATTAATCCTATTAATTATCTTGTCTTCTGACCTTATGTAGTTTGGATTCTTTGTTCGCTACCTCTTGAATACACACATCTTTCAGTGAATAGTAAAAATCTGAAAATTTTGAAATGTTAAGTTAAAAGCTATTTGCTTCACTTGGAAACCAAAGAAGAATTGTAGGAGTTCTCCCCCATATCAAGTCCAGGAATATTTGATTTTTTTCAGTTTAATGACTAATACAGAATTCTTTTTGTGTGTGTGAGCAAGCTGCAAATTTCAAGATGACTCATAATGAATCTTCATCTGAAGGCTAGTTACTTACTGCTTGTCTTGAATCTATTTATGATTAATACTTATTGCTAAAGATCTGTTGTGTAGTGTCAATTCATTCCTTCAAACATTTTACACGGTTTTATTAAATATATATTGAGCAACAGCTATATATCAGGTACCGTATTGGGTCATAGGACTATAGCAGTGAATAAGATCTGTACATTCTGTCCTCTCTTGGAAGTTCTCGTTTGGTGAGTTTTTCAGGAAAGCATATGCCAAGATGTAATTAGAACTGTAAGAGATTTATTGAAGGCAATACCCATGAGGGATAACTGAGAAAGGGAATGGGAGTATATGCAGAGAGCCTCAGACCATGATGCACGCCTGACAATTTTGCAGAAGGAAAAGACGAAGGAAGGAGGATTAGGTGGAAAGAACCTAAGACTACAGTGCAGGTCTGCGAAAGTCTCAGCTAGGCTGATGGGGAGCCCTGAGCAAAAATTGCTTTTTAGAAGAGTCCCACATTGGCCAATACTGGCCCAGCTCTAATGCCTCTGCTGCATTGAGTTACCGGCTCAGAGCAGCCCTGAAAGCATATGGTCTGTGTTGCACACCATGGTGGATCTGGGGGATATGACAGCAGGAGGCTGTCAGCTAACTGCACAGGCCCTTTCCTGATGGGCCATCTGAAAGGTACATTGTTGAATGGATACAAGGGTGAAACATATTACAGTAAGTATACTATGGAGGTATTTTAGTAGTATAGCAGGACAAGTTTATATGCATTTACTTTTCTTCCAGTGCTCTGCTCTGGGTCATAGCAAGCAATGTTACCAAAATTCTTTTGCCCTAGGCCTATTAGATAGGGTCAGCCACTGGCAGGAACTGGCAGGAGATTGAAACGTGGAAGAGAGGAGAATTCAATTTATTTTCCCCTTCTTTATTTGTCTCCCCTCATCTCTCCAGCAATAGCTGCATCTCTTGTTTCCAGATCCTATCACAGTTCCTCACTTTGTGGTCCTAACTGTCTCTGAACAGCCATGGTCTCTCTCTGAGACACTGCTTGTGGCCACTGTCCTTTTATTCCATAGAGATTAAAGATCGTACTAGAAACTTCCTGCTGTTACCAGTCTCTGTGTTGCTTCACTGCCCCCTATTTGGCTTCCCAACACTTTCATCACCTTTGCTAACCAATTCCTTGTATTAGGTCCCCTTATTCTGAAATATATAGAGTGCTCTAATTTCCTGGTTATACCCTGATGGACAGACCTAGTCTGAAAGGGGTGAAAAGAGAGATCTCCTTAATGAAATGACATTTAAGCTAAAACCTGAGGTATGATTGGAGCTATCATAAATGAACTGAACGTGGCACTATCACTAGTTCAGTAGTAGTGCATTATCTTTTGTACTATTTGTTTATTTTCAAAACAATTTAACAGCAAAAAGTACAGATTCTTGAACTGCAGGGACTGGGTTCAAATCTGAGTATCTGCCACTTTCTAAATATGTGACCTCAGGTGGGTTATCAAATTCCTTGTGCTTCAGTGTTCCTTTTTTTGTTAAATAAATAAAACAATAACTTCACCTTTTATGGAAGCTATGAGAAGTCAATAAGTTAATATGTATAGGCAGCTTAATGTTTGTTATTCTTTTTCACACACATCGCAGGACTTTGGCAGAAACTGTACTATGTCAATGTGCATGTTGAGCCTTCAGGAAGATAATATTGAATATGGAGTAGACACTGCTTCATTTTTTTTCTAAAATCTAATGTTTCAGGGGAGATGTTTGAGGACAGCCTGGTTTTTTGTTACTTATTCTGGGTCACCTTCTCTTTCTGCCTGTATTCTTGTGGGTTTCTTTCTCATCCTAAAAATTCAGTAAGTTTATTAGGATACGTAAAGCTGTTGGTCACTTTTAATAAGTTTTGCTTAATGTACAGGTATGTCTTATTCTTTTCCAGGTTTGTTTATTCTTTCCTTTTGGGAGAGGTTTTTGCTTTTTTTTTTTTTTTTTTTTTTTTTAATTATACCATAGACGTTTTTCTGTTACATTAGTCTGGGGGAAGCCAGTGTTTTCCCTTCAATTTACAAATTGACTCAGTAAATTCACTTGGCATTTTATCTAAAATGTACCAGGGTCTTATGACTAAGGTAACAGATTATGGCACATGCCATCTAAATTAAGGCCAAATATGGAGATATTTTTATCTTTCTTTGGACACTTAATGACCTGTCTGATATAGACAGGACTCTGTGCAGTTGTTAGAGCTTGGGTGATTAATTGGAATCTGCTTGGTCAGTTAGAAAGCTGAGTTTGCTCTCATAGCCCATTGATTCTTTTCTATTTTCCCCTGTCCCTTACCTTTTCTGTTGTTGTTGTTGTTGTTGTTTTCTCTTCCTCATTTGGAGAAGTCCACAGTTTCACTTACAAGGAATAGCAGACTTACTAGGCCACATTAGTGATTAATACAGTTCTGGGTTATGGCCAATAATAAGCTACAAATTTCCATATATCATAGAAACAATAAAAACTTAACTGGGCAAAGAAACTTGGAGGTTGATTTGCTCATAGTAGAGATCCAAACTATTGTTATTCTTTCATTGGCTACATTGGCTCTGGAGCTACCACAAAGGAACATCTTGGGAATGAGCATTATAATTCAGGATAACCAGGACTTTCAGAACCGTTGTTCCATGGCAACATCAAGGTAAGTAAGAGCATGCATTCTGGAGAAAGATAAATGGGGCTCAAGTTCCTGTTCTTCCTTCTCCTAACTGTAACTGTTGACCAATTACTTAATCATGCTAAGCTGTAAGTTACTAACTAGTACAATGGAGATGAGAATAGAACTTTCCTCATAGGACTGTTAGTGGCTATGAAATTAGATAATGCCACTTGTGTGGTGTCTCACGCCTGAAATCTCAGCACTTTGGGAGGCTGAGGTGGGTGAATCACCTGAGCCTGAGGTCAGGAGTTCAAGACCAGCCTGGCTAATATGGTGAAACCCCATCTCTACTAAAAATAGAAAAATTAGCCGGGCATGGTGGCGGGCGCCTATAGTCCCAGCTACTCGGGAGGGTGAAGCAGGAGAATCGCTTGAACCCAGGAGGCGGACGTTGTGGCGAGCTGAGATCATGCCATTGCACTCCAGGCTGGGTGACAGAGCGAGACTGTCTCAAGAAAAAAAAAAAAAAAAAAAAATTAGGAAATGCTTCCCACAGTCCCTGAAACAGGAAATATTCAATATACCTAAGTTGTTATTATTATTACTAGTCAATATACAAATCAATACCATATATTTCACAGCTGTGCCTTTCTTTCTTTTTTTGTCTAATAAATACATTTATTCTCTTTCAAGACAAGAAATTAGAGTTGCTACTTTCAAATTTGATTCCTGAGGAAAACAACCCACAATATGGGCATGGGGATCAATGAATTGAACATTTGAGCTAGCATTCAGTTTTTAGCAAGGGTGAACTAGAAGAGAATGCTCAAAGTGTAAAACCCTATTTCTTAAGTGGCTTTGGACTGGACTCTTCTATTTTTTTCATCAGAGAAGATCAACTATCTAGTTGATCAGATTTCTGCTGCTTGCTCTTCTATTTTGTTCTTTTCCTCTGACTTTTATGGTTTAAATGTCGTTTGTCCTGACCAAAACTCATGTTGAGGCTTGGCCTCCAATATAGTGGTATTGGGAAGTGGTGCCTTTAAAAGGTGATTAGGTCATTAAGAGGGATTAATGCCTTTCACATGAGAGTGAGTTCTTGCTGTCAAGGGGCTGAACTAGTTACACTGAGAGGGTATTGTTATAAAACAAGGCTGCCTCTGATGTTTGATCTCTTTGCACATGCCTGCTTCCTCTTCCTCCTCTCCACCATGTTATAATGCAGCAAGAGGCTCTTCCCAGTAGCCAACCAGATGCAGCCTCCTGATCTTGGACCTCCCAGCCTCCAGAATTCCAAGCTAAATAAACTTCATTTCTTTGTAAATTACCTAGTCTCAGGTATTATATTATAGCAACGGGAAATGAACCATGACACTGATTTTTAATCTCTTTTTCCTTTACCTTTGCTCTCTGAAAGAGTGTGTCAAATCTTTCTTCACAGCCCAGGTTTAATGTTCTGCAAGGTCAATTTAGCTCTTTATGGCTTAAAGTGATATTTTAAATACTATCATGACGTTATTAGTTACCTTACCTTCTTTAGATTTTTTTTTCCCCAAATGCAGTCAACTCTCTTCCAAAAATATCTTCCTATATCTTATCTTTCATTTTAAGTATTATAAAAGCAAGTGTTCTAAAATGTTTGTTTCTTGGAACAAATCTTTATAAAAATACACTCCTCCAGTTTTATCATGCTATCTTGATTTTCTTGCCAAAACTTCAAAGGACTTAACACTGTTTATTTTCTGTATACTTATTTTTGATAGAAGGCAGGTCTATTTTGATCTGTTATTTGAATAAAAATTAACATGGTACATTTTTCTGAGTCTGCTCACTGTTTAGCTTGACATTTTCTACTCCTCCTTTTTATGTTATAATAAAAAAGAGATGATATGGATTTATATTAATAGTTTGGTTATTAGGCAGACAGAGAAGGATGAAGAGAAAATTGAGGCATGAACAGTCCCAAAAGAAGCAGAAGGAAAACGGTACTTTATATATTTGTTGAAGAGACAAAGTTTCCGCATCTAATTTTGCTGTTAACTTAGTGATTGCTTTTAGGCAGATGACATCATTTTCTTGTTGTCTGCCTGCCAATCTGGGCAAATGTTGTTTTGTTTTAGGAAAATGCCTCTGAGTCAGGATGAATATGTCAGTTGGTGGGAAGCTGACTGATTGTAACTCCTTTTTGTATGGCCTTATTTATTTCCTCAGCTCAGTGCTTCTGCCTCAGAGGGTTTTATTTATTTATTGATTGAGGAATCATTGAAACTGACTATAAGGCAAGTAGTTTGTTTTTCCTATAGTTTTTTGCTCCCCCTCTTCTTCCTTCCTTTCTTTCTTCCTTTTGTTTCTCACTTCCTTTCTCTCTCTCTCTTTTTTTGTTTTGGAGACAGAGTCTCCCTCTGTCACCCAGGCTGGAGTGCAATGGTGTGATCTTGGCTCACTGCAACCTCTGCCTCCCGGGTTCAAGCAATTCTCCTGCCTCAGCCTCCCAAGTAGCTGGGACTACAGGTGCCCACCACCACGCCTGGCTAATTTTTTTGTATTTTTAGTAGAAATGGTGTTTTACCATGTTGGCCAGGCTGGTGTTGAACTCCTGACCTCAGGGGATCCACCCGCCTTGACCTCCCAAAGTGCTGGGATTACAGGCGTGAGCCACCGTGCCTGGCCCCTTTCTCTTTTAGGACAGTTTTCTCATTAATTCAGAAAAGTATTTATCACAGTGGGGAGGGATGAACCATAGTAGGAAATTAGGGTTGGTAGAAATTCCTACCTTTTCTTCTATTTGGTGTAGCTTACTCCCAGGTTACTGATGCAATGGTGCAAAGAGTTCCAAGTGGAGTTGTTACTCTCTGTCTCTTGTCTCTCTTCCTTATAACCCTTAATGATCTGATGGTTTTATCAGGGGAAATCCCTTTCACTTGGCTCTCATTTTCTCTCTTGTCTGCCACCATGTAAGACATGCCTTTTACCTTCTGCCATGATTGTGAGGCCTCCCCAGCCATGTGGAACTGTGATTCCATTAAATCCTTTTTTCTTCATAAATTACCCAGTCTCAAGTATGTCTTTATCAGCAGTGTGAAAACAGACGAATACAGTAAATTGGTACCAGGAGAGTGGGGCGCTGCTATAAAGATACCCAAAAATATATATGTAAGTGACTTTGGAACTGGGTAACAGGCAGAGGCTGGAACAGTTTGGAGGACTCGGAAGAAAACAGGAAAATGTGGGAAAGTTTGGAACCTCCTAAAGACTTGCTGAATGGCATTGACCAAAATTCTGATAATTATATAGACAATGAAATCCAGGCTGAGGTGGTCTCAGATGAGTAACTTGTTGGGAACTGGAGTAAAGGTGACACTTGCTATGTTTTAGCAAAGAAACTGGTGGCATTTTGCCCCTGCCCTGGAGATCTGTGGAACTTTGAACTTGATGGAGATGACTTAGGGTATCTGGCAGAAGAAATTTCTAAGCAGCAAAGCATTTAAGGGTTGACTTGGGTTACAAACTTTCAGTCTCAAAAGAGAAGCACAGCATAAAAGTTCAGAAAATTTGCAGCCTGATGATACAATAGAAAAGAAAAACCCATTTTCTGAGGAGAAATTCAAGCCTTTAAGCCGGCTGCAGAAATTTGCATAAATAACAAGGAGTCAAATGTTAATCACCAAGACAATGGGGAAATGCCTCCAGGGCATGTCATAGACCTTTGCAGCAGCCCCTCCCATCACAAGCCAGGCAGCCTAGGAGGAAAACATGGTTTCATGGGCTGGGCCCAGGGCCCCCCTGTTGTGTGCAGCCTAGTGACTTGGTGCCCTGCATTTCAGCCATTGCAGCTGCTTTAGCCCTGGCCAAAAGAGGCCAAGGTACAGCTTGGGTCATGGCTTCAGAAAATGCAAAGCTCAAGCCTTGGCAGCTTTCATGTGGTGTTGAGCCTGTGGGTGCATAAAAGTCAAGAATTGAGGTTGGGTAACCTCCGCCTAGATTTCAGAGGATGTATGGAAACACCTGGATGTCCAGGCAGAAGTTTGCTGCAGGGGCGGGGTCCTCATGGAGAACCTCTGCTAGTGCAGTGAGATAGGGAAATATGGGGTTGAGGCCCCCACACAGAGCCCCTATTGGGGCACTGCCTAATAGAGCTGTGAGAAGAAGGCCACCGTCCTCCAGATCCCAGAAAGGTAGATTCACCAACAGCTTATACCATGCACCTAGAAAACTGCAGACACTCAACACCAGCCCATGAAAACAGCTGGGAGGAAGGCTGTACCCTGCAAAGCCATAGGGGCAAAGCTGCCCAAGACCATGGGAACCCATCTGTTGCATTAGTGTGACCTGGATGTGAGACATGGAGTCGAAGCAGATCATTCTGGAGCTTTAAGATTTGACTGCTCTGCTGGATTTTTGACTTCTATGAGGCCTGTAGCCCCTTTGTTTAGGCCAATTTCTCCCATTTGGAATGGCTGTATTCACCCAATGCCTGTACCCCCATTGTATCTAGGAAGTAACTAAGTTGGTTTTGATTTTACAGGCTCATAGGCAGAAGGGACTTGCCTTGTCTCAGATGAGACTTTGGATTGTGAACTTTTGACTTAATTCTGAAATAAGTTAAGACTTTGGAAGACTGTTGGGAAGGCATAATAGGTTTTAGAATGTGAGGACATGAGATCTGGGAGGTGCCAGAGGTGGAATGATATGGTTTGGCTGTGTCTCCACCCAAATCTCACCTTGAATTCCCATGTGTTGTGGGAGGGACTCAGTGGGAGATAATTGAATCACGGTCGCAGTTTTCCCCATATTGTCTTCGTGGTAGTGAGTAAGTCTCACAAGATCTGATGGCTTTAAAAGGGGAAACCTCTTTCACCTGGCTCTCATTCTCTCTCTGCCTGCCACAAATATAAGATGTGCCTTTCACCTTTTGCCATGATTTTGAGGCCTCCCCAGCAATGTGGAACTGTGAATTTATTAAACCTATTTTTCTTTATAAATTACCCAGTCTCAGGTACATCTTTTTCATCAGTGTGAAAACGGACTAATACAAGTAGGTTGTCATTGTACAAGAGCACTTGTCTGAGTGGAGGCTGAAATCCATACTCCTGCTGCCCAAGCTGTGTGACCTAGAGGAAGAAGCCCTATATAAAAATAATTATAAAGACATGGTTTATTTGCCCAGTTTGGAGACCTGAGTTATCCTAGAGCAAGTGCCCATTTCTATTCCATGCACAAAAGTTTAGTATGGTCTATTAGTGGTCCGTGCCACATTAGGTGAGTTTGTGAACTGTGCTTTCTTGGAAAGGAGAGCATCTTGATGGCTCGCTTTCATCTTATTCTGTCTGGGCCATCTCTGGGAGAAATTTTTTTTATGTACTTTGCTTATTTTTCAGCTGGTATGTAAGAGGCATTTGACCCTATTCTTCTGTTCTTACCTCTCTGTGAAGTCCCTACTTTATTAAAGAAAAATGTATTAAGTGGATAAAAACCTAAAGAAAAGAAGAAAAAGAAAGAAAGGAAGAAAGAAGGAAAGAAAAAAGAAAGAAGGAAAGATAGGAAGGATATAGTGAAATGTCTTTGTTCTATTCTTGTCTCCAATTTGCTGAGTTTTTTACTCTACTGTCATAAGTAGCCACCTTTAATAGTGTCCTATGTTTGCATCTATAATTTATGCATGCACAAACCAATAGAAATATAAATACTTTCTTATTACTCAATATTCTCTTAAATAGACAGGATATTCTATATGTGGCTTACATTTGAATTTTTGTTTTCATCCAACAATGTCTTCAAGGATTTTCAAATTTGCACATCGAATGGCTTTTCATTATTTTGTTCAGCTACGTAATATTCCATTTATGAATAATTCATTTAACCAGTCAATTCTAGATAAACATTAGAAATGTTTTCAATCAATTGTTCTTACAAACAATGCCATAATAAATAACCTTGTACATTATTCATTTTTGCACATGGCAAATACGTCTGTAGGATAAATTCCTAGAAGCAGAAGAGCTGAGTCAGATGGTATTTAAATTTGTAATATTGATAGATATTGCCAACCTTTCATTCATAAGATTTCAGCAGTTCAAATTCCTACCAATGAAGTTTGAAAATGTTTCCCTAATGACTTACTAGAATAGTGTCTTATCAAGCTTTTAGATTCTACCCATGCTGATAGGTGATATTTCAGTGTCATTTTAATTTGCATTTCTGTTAATGTGAATGATATTATCTTTTAATAGGACTGTGAGATATTTATATTTCACTTTCTGTGAAGTCTGTTTATATCCTTTGCCCATTATTTTGTTGAGTTATTGGTCTTTGATTATTTAAATCAATTTTTAGGAGCATTTCATATTTTAATTTAGCTCTTTCTCTGTTAAATGAGTTGTAAATACAGTTTTTTAAAAAAGAGTTTGTTTTATGTCTTTTGCCTTTGTTTTTATTTTATTTCAACACATAAAAGTCTTTTTAAATGTAATCAAATTTATCAGTCTTTTATGGCTTCTGGAATTTGAATGAGATTTTGAAAGAACTCCTTGAAACAAAGTTTATAAAGGAATTCTGCCATATTTACTTCTATGATTTAATTATTTCCAAGTAAACCTTTGATTGATTTGGATTTCGTCCTGATATAATCATAAGGTATCATATATAAGGTGGATCATATATAAGGGTTCAATTATTTTTCCGGAATGCCACTCACTTTAATCAAGAGTGAGACACGTATTCCCATGATGAACACTTTTATTTGACTTTGTACTGAAGAATAGTCCATAAAATTATACTAAAGACAGACAGCAGTGGTACAAAATTTTAAAGCTACCAGAAAAAAAAAACACTATTTGTAGATAAGATTTTATACCTGGAAAACCCAAGAGAATGAACTGAAAAAGAAACACTAAAACAATAAGAGGTTAAATAAGGTAGTGTGGTAACGGGTTTTTAGACATAAATCAGTAGCTTTCATATACAAGTAACAACTATGTGCGAGATCTGATAGACAAGATCTCATACAGCAGCAGCATAAAAAATAAAATACCTAGAAATACACTTAATAAAGTATGTGCGTAATCTATGTAAAGGAAAGTTTGGGGTACTGTTGAAAGGCAATAAAATACTGCTGAGCAAATTGAAAGATACATTGTATTTTGGACAGGAATAGTCAATAAAGGTATCATTCTTTCTAAGCTATTTCATAAATTGGCAACCCAATAAAAAGGTTAATGGCATTTTTTTTGAAATATTCATATTGATGCAAAAGTATACACGGAAAAATATAAATAGATAGTAAATTTTAAAAAATAAACTTTGAAGGGGAACTAATGCTACCAGATATTAAACTTATTGTAGAGTCTCAGAACCTAATGCAGTTTTCTATCAGTGCATAAATAGACAGATTAGAGGAATAAATAGGAAGTTTAGAAATAGACTCCAAATAATAGCGGAAATTTTTTACATGATAAGGGTACAGTCTCAACCTAGTGGGAAAAAGATGATGTTGGAACAACTCATATATTTTAAATTGCATGTTGTGAATCACCCTATAAACATAGTAAACATTCTAAAATGCATCACAACAGCCCCACTTTCTGGAAAAGCTAATGAGATTAAAAATGCACTTTACATTCTACTAAACCCAGAACTTCAGCGAAGACATAACTTATTTCCTGATCCAAAATGAAGTAAGTTACTGAATTCCATCTCTACCAATCAGAACAGAATTTGTATGTACTATATTCTTTTCACATTCCCCAGTGCATAGGCGTTATAGAGGGGGAGACGAATTAGACTTTTTACAAAGACAAAACATAATACTTTTAACCTCTAGGAGTCATTTATTAAAATTGCCTTTAAACAATGCACAGTGCTTCTGGAGAAAACAAGGTGGCATTCTTGAATAATTTCTATCATTCCTGTTTCACTCAATGTAAAGGAAACTCTAGGACGATGGGATAGTTGACCTTTATTGTGCTTTCTTCTATGCTCTCACGAAGAACACATCCAAGGCATTGGTAATCCACCAGCATGCAGGATATGCGTGGAGGCAAGCTGTGTGCAGTGTTGATTGCTTTCATTAGTGCTCAGGAATTCTTAGGGAAGTAGCATGGCTTATAAACGCAGCTCCAGGTTTTTCATCTCCAGGTGTTCTTATTCTAGGCTTGTTGCTTTATTGCCTTGCTTGCCTAATTTCACTTTCACCCATTTTCTGGTTAAATTTGAATAAAATTTCTTCAGATCTTTTGGAGATATTGGGCAAGAGAGCTGTGTTGTGTATATTAACTAATTCAGGGTCTTAAAGTCATTTGATTCAGGGTGCAGTATAAAGGCAAAGCAGCATGCACAGTAAAGCAAAATGCTAATTATTGCAGGCAATGCAGATGCTGCTTTTATAGGTACCAGATGTGTATCACTTCTCAGTTTCATGGGCTGGCTCCTGGAAAAGAACATGAGGCAGGTGAATGGTATAAACTGAGTAAAACAAATCACTTGGGAGAATAAAAACATCCAAGTAAACAGGGCTACAATTATCTTCAGAAAAATTAGAACGCTACTTTCCGAAGACATCCAGGTCAAATGGGCAACAAAAAATGTAGCAAAATACCGAGGTCCCCAATTTTTTTGAACACTGATGAATTATACTTTTGTTTGTTTTCTTTATACATTGTTTTACGGTTTAATAAAAGGTTGAAATGCCAATGAGTAGATTTGGACACAATTCAATCTAATGTGTGAGAATTTTTCAAGATAATTTTTTTTTCAATGTAGGCTCAGGATTTTAGAGCAAAGTTGGGTATTTAGCTTATACAAATGCATTATGTGCTGTGAATACCAGGTAAACACATAAGTGTTCGTGGAGAAATTGAATTGCTTTCAACCAACCACAAGGTTAAGTTGATCTCTTAATTAATTAATTTGTATCACACACCCCAAAAGGATATTTCCAGGAGGGACACATCAATTCAGGATAACAGATTAGAAGGTGACATTTGAAACCACAAAGTGGAAATAGAGATATATGCTAACTACAAGGACAAGTACAGTTGCTCTGAGTAGACATAAAAATTTCTCTGTGGCTATGTCAAAGGAGAGGGGACCTAAAAAGTTGCATAAAATTTGTTATCAGGATAGAGGGAGCATATCAATTATTCAAATGAGATCATTTTAGCATTTTATTCTGAATGCAATTTAATGCATGAGATCTAATAAAGGGATATCCCAGCAATATAATGTACTGTATTTTTGATGACAGTTTTACAAAAAATGAAGACGGGATTAGTAAAATAAATTTAGCTCAAATCTGAAAAGTTTAATATCTTATAGAATATGGGAGATACAAAAGAATCTGCCATTTCACAAGTATTTAGTGCTAGACTCTTTTATTTGTGGTAGACTTCACTATATTGATATCACAGGGACCCCAAAGTCTAACATGAATGTAAGAATAGACAAAAACAAATATTCAAGAAGATTCTGAAACCCATCCTATACAGAAATGGTTTATCATTTCAATTAAAAGGGAGCTTTATATTAGGAAAATATCTTGCTTATTTTTTTTCTGACAAGCTCCATTATCTACCTCTTTAACTCCATTTTGTCTAGCCTAATTTCATCTATAATATTTAGTACTTCAACTAACCCTTCAAAAAATAGCAGGATACACATGAAGAGCCCATGTTAGTGAATTGGTAATTTCAGGGACAAAATGAAGCACCCACATGCATAATCAGTGAAGGTGGCAAAGGAGATGAATCATCTCTGCAAACCTCTCCTATGTCCTCCCTCTCTCTCAGCAGATAACCTTGCATCCCATTTCAGAGGAAGTAGAAGCTGTTACTCAGAAATAATCTCTGCTTCTTGCTCTGCCCCTACTCAGTGCCTGCCTTCCACCCTTGCTCCTTCTCTTCTCTCATCTGGGCCAAAGCATCCCTCTCTTCTTGGATTCTCAACCCCTCTGCCTTCTCTGAGATCTCCCTTTGTAAATACGTTCCATTCTCTGCTCTTTTCCATTAGTCTTTGTGCTGACGTCTCTAGGAAAAGCAACAGTTACAGAAGAGATGACAAAGATGATGACAACTCTACTCTTCCACCCAATTTCTTTTTTCCTCTCCCACACAAACCTCCTGACATTTACAGCCCATTTCCACTTTTTCACCTCCCATACTCTCCCATACTCTCTTCAGTTTGCTGCCACCTGGCTGTTTCCTTCACTCTGTCTATAAACAGCTCTTGGCAAAGTCACTAATAATGTCCTTGTTGCTATATCCTGTGGGCGCTCCAGACCTTTGTCTTCTGAATCTCAGCAGCAATGGACCTGTACTGCCTTCCTGACATCTTTTCCTCTTTGTTCGGTGAAACATTGTACTTCTGACTTCCTGCTGCTCTGACGGCTTGTTCCCAGTTTCCTTTGTGGTCTTTTCTTCTTCCACCAATCTCTTATATTTTTGTGGAATTCTTCTCCCTGCTGGCTTTTGTTTGTTTGCACCTAGCACACCCACCATAGAGGTTCTCTATCTACTGCCATGTTTTAATTATTATCTCTCTTGAATTTTAGATTTTCATATCCAACTACCTACTGGATATCACCTGCTGGATAAACATTGGGCCGCCTACATAGAGCATGTCCAGGCCTGAACTTGTGTCTTGCCTCTAACTTGCTCCTTCTGTATGTCCTGTGCTACCCCTCCACCCAAAAATGCAGGAAGCATTCTTGACTTCCCCCTTTCTGTCAACCCCACCCCCAGCCAGTCACTAACTTCTGTCGTTTTTGCCTCCTCAATATCTCTCAAATATCTACTATTCTGGATCAAGCAGTGACAATCTCTCACCTGGATTACTTCTAGCACCTCCTTGTCTCCCTGCCTGTGGCCTTTTATTTTATTCATTTTTTTTGAGATGGAGTCTTGCTCTGTCACCCAGCCTGGGGTAAAGTGGCACAATTTTGGCCTGTCACCACGCCCGGCTAATTTTTGTATTTTTTAGTAGAGATGCGGTTTCACCATATTGGCCAGGCTGGTCTCGAACTCCTGACCTCATGATCCACCTGCCTCGGCCTCCCAAAGTGCTGAGATTACAGGCATGAGCTGCCGTGCCCGGCTGGCCTTGTTCTTTCTAATTGGTTCTCCTCGTAGCCAGAGGGATCTTGGTACAAAGCAAATCAAATTATGTCATTTCTTTCTTTCTTTTCTTTTCTTTTTTTTTTTTTTTTGAGACAGAGTCTCATTCTGTTGTCCAGGGTGGAGTGCGGTGGCATGATCACAGCTCACTGTAACCTCCACCTCCCGCACTCAGGTGATCCTCCCATCTCAGTTTCCCAAGTAGCTGGGATTACAGGCATATGCCACTGTATTAATCAGGGTTCTCTAGAGGGACAGAAATAATGGAATATATATATATATACCTAGTAAACTCCCATATATATATTCCATATATATAAATACCATATATATATAGTATATACCATATATACCATATATATAGAGTATATACCATATATACCATAGAGTATATACCATATATACCATATATACCATATATATAGCATATACCATATATACCATATATAGAGTATATACCATATATACCATATATATACCATATATACCATAGAGTATATATACCATATATATGGTATATATGGTATATATACTCTATATATAGTATATATGGTATATACTCTATATATATGGTATATATGGTATATACTATATATATATATTGTATTTATATATATGGAATATATATATGGGAGTTTACTAGGTATTAACTCACACAATCACAAGGTTCTACAATAGGCTGTCTGCAGGCTGAGGAGTGAGGAGAGCCAGTCTGAGTTCCACAATTGAAGAACTTGGAGTCTTCAATTAAACTTGGATGTTTAAGGGCAGGAAACATCCAGCATGGGAGAAAGATGTAGGCTAGGAGGCTAGGCCAGTCTCTCTCTTGACATTTTTCTGCCTGCTTATATTCTAGCTGTGCTGGCAGCTGATTAGATTGTGCCCACCCAGATTAAGGGTGGGTCTGCCTTTCCCAGCCCACTGACTCAAATGTTAATCTCCTTTGGCAACACCGTCACAGACACACCCAGGATTAATACTTTGTATCCTTCAATCCAATCAAGTTGACACTCAGTATTAACCATCATAGCCACCATGCCTGGATAATTTTTGTATTTTTAGTAGAAATGGGGGGTTTTGCCCTGTTGCCCAGGCTAGTCTCAGACTCCTGGGCTCAAATTTTCTGCCCACCTTGGCCACGCAAGGTGCTGTGATGAAAGTCTTGAGCCACTGCCCCCAGCCAAATAGTCATTTTTATGCTTAAAAACCTTCAAAGGCTCATTCTCTCATGAAGTAGTTCCAACTCCTTGATAGGGCTCATCAGACCCTTCATGATATTGTTCTTAATTTTTCTTTAGCCTCAACTTTTAGGTATGTCTACGAGCCATAGGGAAGTTATTTCACTTCCCCAACATATGGGTACAAAGTTTGTAGTTAGGAGCCCAGACTTTGGCACCAGACTATAGGGGTTCAAATTTCAGCTTTGTCACTTAATAACATCATGACCCCAGCCTGCTTACTTAATTGCTCCCTCTCAGTTTTCCCATCTATAAAATCAGATGATAATAGAATTATTGTGAGGCTTAAATGAGTCAAGGAGTATAAAACACTCAGAGCAATGCTGGGGTATAACTGATATTCGGCAAACATCACCCACTATCAATATTGCCACCAGTTCTAGGCACTGAAAAGACTGTGGGACCTCACTTTTGTGATTCAAAATAAAAACAATTCAAGACTGTAAAATACATTTCAGCCAGTAAGTCAGCCTAAGAAAGGAGTGATTTTTTTTCAATGATTTTTACTTTGATCTGTTTTGAAAACGCTAGATTGAAAAATAGAAATAGAACTTTTGTTGCTTGTGCTTTGTTGGTGAATTGACCCTGTGTTCAGTCTGGTTCTCTGTTCCAGAAAATGCTTTTCCCTCTTTCTAGGACACTCTTCCAACTTCTCACTGACTCTTCTTGGCATGTTCTTTTCCTCATTTAGGTCTCATGTTACAAGTTAGTTCTTCTCAAAGGTTGTCCTAGACCTGGAATCTGACCTAGTCCCTGATTACAAACTCTCTTCTCATTCTATATTCCCCCAGTATGACACTTCCTGTTCTGTGTCATAAATTCCATGTCATAATTTCCCCTTTACCGTATCTCGCATTATAATGCTATCACCACAAAGACAAGACCACTTCTATCTTGTTCACATTATTTTCCTTCTCTGCATAGCATAGCATGTGCTCAGTGAATCAGAGACTGACTAAGCATCAGAAACCTCACTTGCCTTTAGACATCATCTCACTAGTACAGAAATAATTCTGTGTAAGAGTATATTTACCTTTTATAAAATACTATTTGTTTTTTTTTCTTCTGACATGATGACTCTGCCTTCAGCATCACTCATAACCCAAAGAACTACTAAGTTGCTCTTTGCTGTTTTCAAATTCAAATAACAAAAATGAGATAATGAGTCTTTTTTTTTTTTTTTGAGACAAAGTCTCACTCTTGTCCCCCGGACTGGAGTGCAATTGTGCGATCTCGGCTCACTGCAACTTCTGCCTCCCAGGTTCAAGCGATTCTCCTGCCTCAGCCTCCCCAATAGTTGGGATTACAGGTGCCTGCCACCACGCCCAGCTAATTTTTGTATTTTTAGGAGAGACGGGATTTCACCATGTTGGCCAGGCTGGTCTCGAACTTCTGACCTCAGGTGATCCGCCTGCCTCGGCCTCCCAAAGTGCTGTGATTACAGGCGTGAGCCACTGTGCCCGGCCGATAATGAGTCTTTTAAGACTGAGTTTGAAAACCTTTTCATACAGTGATGGGAGTTTTCCCTGTGCTGGGTTGTGAGAACTAGTTATGAAGGCATTGCTTTTGGATCTCTTAAGTCTTAAGTCTACCACAAAATCCCTAGTGGTGGGAATCTCAATCTGGGGCTGACCGATAAAGAAGTTTCTGGCTAGCAGCCCCTCAAATCAGGGTCTTGGGGCAGTTACCTGCAAACACAGCAGCTCCTGTGTTTCATACTTGAAGGCCCCTGGGAAGTCCCTGTTCCCTATTTGGCAGTTAGGAGCTGAGATTTCATCTCACCATTATAAATTATTCAACAAACTTTCATAAGTTCTTCCTAGGAGGTTTGTACTAGTGCCTGTAGAGGCATTATGTGATACACAAAGACAAAGACGTGGTCCTGCCCTTCAGGAGTAGTAATCCAGATATCACCTGCTGCTCTTAAGAACCTCTACCCCATGTCTTAAGGGAAATCCAATAACTGCTCTAGGAGTTTTGCAGTGCTCAGGGATTTGTGCTTCATTTAGTCATCTTGGGCTTTGCTATCTTACTGATGCTGGATTTTTGTTTATTGTGTCTTCTGGGTGTTTCTTTATCTTTGCCCTAGTATCAACTCAGACATAGGATGCAGTTTCTTCCCCTTAATTCTTTGCTCTTAGTCCTAAAATATCACTCTGGGGAGCAGCTGTGGGTGGTAGCGTTTTACTAAAGAGATGGGTAATGGTGAGAGAAGTTATATGGCATTCCATAGTTAGATAATCAACAATTGAACATTGGGCTCTTGAAGAAGTTCTTCAGCCATTTCTCTCAACGTGAGTACTGGGCACCTGCTATGTTTTTTGGCCCCCTCTGTCTTTCCTCTCTGTGCTGCCTTTCAGCCACTCCAAAAAGAAAAATAGTATTTTCTCATACTGATTTATAGTGAGCAATCCAGCTCTCTCTCTTCCTACCCATAAGCTGTGCTTGGGATTCAGCTGCATGGCTGTTATTCACCAACGTACTCTGCTAAACAGTGCACTAATGATTCCATGTCCCACCCATTCTCCTTTCTGTCTGATTAGGTGAGTTATATCGCTGCCACCGCCCCCCCGCCAACTCCTCTGGAAGTACAAATGGAGATAGCCACATTCCGTTTATATGACATTTTCTCTTATTTTCCTTGCAGACGTTTGAGACCTAGAAAAATCTTGGAAGAATTTATTTATTGAATTCTTCATTTCCACACTTAAAGGACAAGGGCAAGCCTTGTTCGCCATTGTATTCCTATCACCTACACACAAAGTAAGCACTCAACGAATATTTATTATGTAAGTGAGTTTACACTTCCAGGAGAGCTGCACTGGAGTTAAACGTGTTCATTTTTTCTTTAAATAGCTCGGCACCACCTAATGTTCATCTTATCTAATATATACTGTATTCTAGTCATCATTTCAGGGTACTATTAATTTAAAAACAGGTATAATTTATCAGGCTTGCATTCTGTTCACAGCATTCTCATTGACATCTAAGGCAAAACAGTGAGGACCTGGCAAAACGTTTTTGCTTTGCTGACTGTGGCTCTGTTCTCTTCAGGAGCCATGGCTGCCAATATTCCCAAGAGAGAATGAACTTTTGACTCTGGGCATCATACAAAGCCTCAAGCTGTTCCCTGTAGAGTGAAGAGCTTGGATGGAGTTAAGGACTTCAGTGGTTCTTGCTAATGCTTTCAGGCAGCTTCACCTGTATTTGCATCATCCAGGCAGTCTGCGCCTGAGAAGCACACAGAACAGCTAAAGATCACGGCTTGTTTTGAATATGCCAGCCAGGATTCCTGGGAATCTGAGTATTGGAATCAATGTCTGACAATTTTTTTTCTTTAAATAACCCCCAACAGCTTTGCCACCACCAGTTGTCACCTGTGTGTTTTTAAGCCATCGTGTCCTTGAAAGGAGTGCCATCTCTTACGTATCCTGTTTATTTTCTCAGGTGAAATGATCTCACAAAAACATCTTAACTTAATGAAATTACCAGCCTGTACCAAAAAGCTTTCTGTTTGAATAGGGCATTTCTTTACTTCCCAAGTAGCTTTGCAATGAGAAAACTGATGGTGATATAGCTGTTGACCTTAAAGATGCAATATTTGTGAACTTTCTCAGGAGAAGGTTGTGCTATTTACCTGGTCCTTCAGTGAAATATGATGCTTCCTTACAGAGGTAGAAACGCTTTGGATTTTAGATCCACAATGTGACAGGTTTCCTTACTTTCATTGCCCACTGCCTGCATTTTGTTTGGAAGCTGGAACAAGAGAGCTGCTGATACTGTTTCAGTGGATTCCTTTGTTGTGTTCTCTTCTCAATTTGAAAACCATAAGAATTGCTACTCAATAAAAAAAATAACAGTTGAACTTCATTTTAGTATTGGTTTTGTGATTCCAGCAGTGAGCACTGCAGCAAGCTCTGGAGGAAGCTTTTGGGAGTCTCCATAATTTTGTCCTGACCCCAGCTGGTGATCAGTTTATGTCCTGAAGCTTGCAGAAGAATAGCCCTAATAATTCCTTTCCTAGTGCGGGTGCATTCTAGCTTGCTGTATCTGAAAGGAAAATCTGAAAGGTGACAGTGTTTTGAAATGTTATACCTCTGGAAACAGGAAGAGAAACACCTTGAATTAATGATCTTCTTATTTGCTAAAAAGAGGAAGCATTTTGTGTTCACATGAGAATGCTGTTCAACAACTCTAACTTATTACAATGTTTATGATCCATTTATGATTTATTTCTCCTCCCTTTTCTTTAACATATTATTTTAATCATCCAGTCACTCAATTGTGCTATTATTCTTGTATTCTTTATTCATGTATTCTTTTACTTAATACTTATCTGTTAAGTACTTTTTATGTGCAAGACACTGTGTAGAATAATTGCCCCTGCCTTCCTCAAAAAAATTATTTTTTACACCTAGAGGTTTATAAGCTAACAGGCAGATAGTAATTGACTATAGAGCTATATACAATACCAGGTGGTTAAAAATACATTCCTCTTGCATATTTTTAAACACCATTCAGATTACTTCTACTTATATTATCTGATTTAGTTCATTTTCACACTGCTTGTAGAGTTGGGATTAGAATCCATGTATTCTGGTTTTCTTTCCTTTTGTGATTGTGACTAGACCATCCTTATGCCAAGTGAATTTTACTTAGCATTGAACTACATTTACAGGATACATTTGCTTTTCTGAAAGTTTTGTCAAGGAATGCATGCAGACATTTTCCTTTATCATAATTCTTCCTTTGTTAGAAAAGTTTTTCATTATGATGTTCTTTACATGCCTGTTTGTTTCACTCATCCTGAGACCATTTGGAAGAGGGGGCATATTGCAATTAGAATGTTTGCAGAAAAGTGTGGTTGCCAGACTGGGGATGGCAGCAAAGAGACAAACAAAACATTCTAAAAGGTACTAGTAATTACTGTTTAAAATATGTGCAAAAAGAAAAGAATTCCCTGTTCTGGAAGATATAGTTAATTTACTTTTAAGAAGGGACGCAACAATCTGGAGCAGATTGCACTGGTCGTTTAACCAACGAAAGGGAAAAATAAAATTATATCTCCCAGATAAACTTTACTCTCAATTATGATCTCTATGGTCTCTTCCAGCTCTAAAATTCAATGATTCTAATTATGTTCTCTATGAACGCGTTGTTTCAACTTCTCTAACAAAATAGACTATGAGGCTGCTTCTCCCTAACTCAGGGTAGAGTGGAGAGATGAGAATATCCAGTTAACATAATAGATATAGAAAGTGAGGCCAGATAATTTTTTTCTGGCTTTTGCAATTCAGCTCACTTTATGTTATATAAATTCAATCTGAAAAAAGACCCACATAGATGAGTCTACGGTGGCAGAGACAGAATGATAGATTATCAACAACAAATTATTCCATAATGGGTAGTTAGACATGTTTATGTTACTCCAAAGTGTCATATTTGGAGTTTGTTTTTTCCCTTATAAGGCAATTTCATATTTGACATCATCTTTGCTTTTCTAATAACCCTGTGATATGACAAATATGATTAACAGCATGATGTAAACCATAAGTTCTAAAAATTTTTTTCTTCTTCAGATATCCAAATGACATCATACACTCAAATCAATAATAGAGCTCACAATGGTAGAAGTTCTCAGCAGGAGGGCTTTTCCATCCTCTCCAGGATGCATACTGGAATCTGAGGAGGGGTTTGCTCCACAGTGAATTTTATTTGCATTTCACTTCCAACCAAAATGATGCTCCTCCCAACCTCTTCCTATTGTAAACTATTATTTCTAACTGATGACCCTCTTTGATTATCTAGGAATCCTGTAAACGTCAATTGAGGGAGATGAAGGAAGTCATTAGTATTTCTAAACAGCCAGAGGAGAAGGATCAGGAAAGAGGAACACTGGATACCATCACTTTTTCAACTAATCTTTACCTCCAGATACTTGGGTGGACATAAAGACCATGCGATGGGCTATGTAGGGAACCCCTTTGGAGAACACTGAGACTAATCAGCTGTGCCAGTCATTTCTCCCAGTTAATTGAATTTGTTTACTAACCCAATTATAAGGATACTTAATTTTCATTTATGTCATAGGGAAGACTCATAATTACATGCCTATCTGCATTTTGCTTCCATAAAATGATCTTAACAGACACAAGCCTTGCTATCTTGCTTTCAAAGACAATAGAGACAAAACTTATGAATGCTAACTAACATTCATCAGGGCCCTTGAGTTAGTAGTTTATCTGTGCAGAAGACACGGAAAATACCTCCTGAAGAATATAGGATTTGAGCAGTCTCAATCATGGGTAGGATGTGACACGAAAAATTGTGTAGTTGGTATATTAGTGCATTTTAAACAAAAGTGGTTGTTTTGGAAAATGTACAATTTCCTGGGCAAAACAAAGCAACACCAAGTGGTGGAACATTAAAATAAATGAGGGAAA
This sequence comes from Homo sapiens, assembly GCF_000001405.40. Lineage (NCBI taxonomy): Eukaryota > Metazoa > Chordata > Mammalia > Primates > Hominidae > Homo > Homo sapiens. The sequence goes on from NC_000002.12 coordinate 191,916,313, forward strand.
ACTGGAGTAATTGGCCCCAGTCATGTCACAATGGGTCTTCAGTGCCAGATTCTTTATATAGAAGCATGACAGTTTTTGAGTAGGGATATGCCATGATTACATTCATGTTTCCCAAAGCTAATCTTTTAGCAATGTTTGTAGAAAAGACCAAGATGAGGCTCTTGCAATGCTCCAGTGAAAGTTTTGAGAGCAAAAATCACAATACTAACAGGACTCTATCTGGAGGTAGCAAACATAAGGAGGTAGAGGTGGAGATATGGAGGCAGAGTCACAAGATTTCGAACTGACTGGATATAAATTTGGGGTGTAGTAAACAGAGTCAGGAATGAGTTTAAGTTGGGACAGAATCAGAAGCGAGTTACAGAGGGTCAGGAATGAGTTGAAGTTGGTTGGTTGGTAGGTATATAGAATATATTTTCCCAGTGAAATAATATTGCGATGGTATGTTTCCAGTTTTGTCCATAAAACACTGTTTAATTCATAAGGTGGCTCCTACATTAGAAAAGTATGGTGGGAACAGCAGACAAGGATCAATGCAAGAGATGTGAGAGAGTTAATCAACAAAATTTACATCAAATTGGGTATGGGAGACAAGAGGAGATGATTCCAAGGTTTTGAACTGGGTGAATAAAAAGATAATGATGTTATTCATAGAAATGGGAACATAGAAGGAGGAGTTTTGGACAAGTGAAATTGAGCTGGTGGATGTGAGTCAAAGCATCTTGCTTGCCAGCTCTGTGTTCATCATTAGTGCTCTTCAACAGGCCAGTAAAATTTGGGGCCCGGAGTTTACAGATAATTGGGTTTTTGAGAGAGGTTGGTAACTATTTCCATTGTGGTGATAGTTGAAATTGCAGGAATTGGTGAAGGGGTGGGATGCATTGCTCAAATACAAAAGGAGGAGAGAAAGAGCCAGGGGAGATCTTTGGAGAAAATACATGAGAAGTATAGCTAATAAATATACTGGCTTTGTTCTATGCAGAAATCAAAAGTGTGCCAGTGAAATATACTGCCTCTCTGAAATAACAGCGTTGTGTGTGGGGAGTGAGGGGGGATAGGGTTGAATATTATATCCTGGTTCCCACTTTTAAATCAAACCGAGCAAAGATGACATGATTTGTAAATGTTCTCAGTTGTCAATCCTGTTGTAATGTTTATTTTCAGTTGGGGAATGTTTTCCCTTGTAAAGATCAAAGAAAGCTAAAGCTCCAGGTTTGTGCACAGGGAGGGTTTGTAACACACACGCTTCCCCATTTGTTGAGCCAGTGACCTCCAACTTGATTCAGAAGTAGCATTCACTGCAGAATGAGAAATGATTCATTTCTGGTTCAACTTTAGCCTTGGGCCTGTTCCTACATAAAGAATTGCTGGGTGAGCTTGATTATATTCAGAGGCTTAGAGGATTGAACTTCCAGAAAGTACTCCCTTAATCATTTCAGTCTGGTCCTCAACCTGACAGAACCAAGAGCCCTGAAGGGGAAATGCCAAAGGCTTATCTGTTTTTGACCAACATCTTAAGGGATTTTACTACTCTTGGGGCTTCTGTGGCCTGTTGCGTCCTTTGCCTTGTTTGCTTTCTGTTCTTTCTCCAATGCGTGAACGTCAAAACCAATTGATGTAAACCATGTAAGTTATCATCGCTCCTAACAGAGATTCTGAAACACCTCACTTAATTCTCGCTCCCTTGCAAGGCTCTGACAACCTCTCTATCTTATTTCTATCTTTCCTCAGCTTTATTTTCTTTCACAGACTGTTTCCCATGTCCCCTCCCTTTTGACGGCCCATTTAGTACCCTGCTCTCCCCAGTGGAGAGAGAGTTGCTCAGCAGAGTGTCATGCTGTAATGGAAGCGGGGTCCCACAGGTGCCCACTGCCTGTCCCTGAAAGCTTTTTCATCTTGTCCCTTGTTGCCCTGGAGAATAATTACATCAAAGACCAGTCCCAATGCCTGATATTTCATTACCTCCGTTTTTTTTTGTTTTTGTTTTTTTTGTTTTTTTGCCAAGCCCGCCAGTGGTGCCAGAAATCAAATCAGGGTTGCTGGCAGTGTTGCCTGCCTAGCATGTTCAGCCTCTCCACTGCCCGACACTCTAATGTTCCCTGATTGCAAACCCTGTCATCATCTTCTTTGAATTAGCTGCACCTCCTGAAATGGCATAATGGCCATGCAGAGCTGGAGTGCTGATGCGGTGTCCTGTTTTAACTGTCGGTCAAAGCTCAGGCTAATGAATGCTATTAGCATATTAGCCTGCCAGCTTTGGGAGCCCAGAAGGAGCCGGGCAGCCAAACACAGTTGGCAAAGCACAGCCACAGTGCTTCAGAGAGCTCCTTGGCAATTGTGGCACCAGAGACTCCACAATGTAAATGTACAGACATGGGAATGTATGCAGAATTGGAAAGGTTATTGTTATAATATACGCTAGCAGTAGAAAATGGGATGAGAGATGACATTTTTTAACTGTGGGGCCCACCTCAGGCATTTTAAAGAATAGGATAGCCTTGGGAGTGCCCCGGGGCACTCATAGTCTAATCTTATATTCTTTTAGAAATTAGAATGTGTGGAAGCGAGGTATACTTTCCACATGACTCTTTTTTTAAAGATGGCTTGAGATACTCACCAGACATTAATTTCATTTTAGTTGTAATGACCAGTGATGGGCATCATTGCTTTAATAATTAGGCATCATTCTTAGGACTGCTTGTTGAGAGTAGACGGCAGCTTAATGACCAGGACACCACCCTCCCAACCTTCCATTAAAATTCAGCTTGCCAGAATAGCAAAATATGAAACCAATAATAACTAAAAAAATGCAGTTTTCTAGTAAATAGAGACTTGAAGTGGATATATATTCATCACTAATTTTTACATTAGTGTTTAGGATAAACATAATGTAAGAGCAGGTACCATGGTTGCTAGGTAACCAGTGGTGATTGTCATGCCCGATATTCAACTCTTAAAGGGTATGCTTAATGGGTATAATCTTCAATTTAATTTGAGATTAATTTAAAAATGTATTGCTTGAAATATTTTATGTTAATAAACTTTTAAATATTGCAACATGGTATTAACACTAAATGTGTGACAGGCACTGAATTCCAGAAAGGTTTCTTAAAACTGTATTAACTTGTGGTTAGAGCTAAATTATTCTACCCACAAAAATAACTTTTGAATAAATTAACAAATTAATTAGTGTTATCCTTAAAGACTTGGTGAGAACCTGCATATTTCTGGGTGAAGGATTGCAGACATAGCAAGTGTAATTATAAGGCCTGTAGCTAGAAGTTGGGTCTCTGGCTGTTTTTATTTGTCTATTGTTTCTTCTATTACATATGATCACTCTTCAATCTTTACTGTTAACAAGAGAAATATATGAAGGAACTTCGACTTATTACACCTGAATGCAGCACTAGCATTTTAATTTTAATTTTGGAAAAATAATTTATAATAGTGGATCATGGCATTTTTTCACTCAAAGATCATGGTGCTTAAAATTCCTTATAATCTTCTTATTTTTATAATCTTCCTCCTGCTTGCTTATTTTTTGAAGTATTATTTATTCATTTATTCTTTCTTAAAGGTAAATACACGTATGCCTTTTTTTGGGTAAAATATGGTTAACCTGTTGTTTATTTAACCCCTTGGGAGTTGGATGAGTGTGATAAAATAAAGTTAAATAGGCCATTGGCTATTGTGGACACTGTTGGTTGCTTATTTAACAACAAACCTTACTTGTGTTTCTCCACCCCTTAATTCCTTGCTTCAGATCCTTATTTCATTCACATTTCTGGAGGATGCCTCTCAATAAGGTGGATCTTGATTAATCTGTGGCTAAGGCAAGCACAAGAATTCCAGTTCCCTTGACTGTCATTGGCTAAGGACTGGGCATGTGGTACAATTTGGTCAAAGAAACATGAGGAATATATTGAAAAAGGAGGTACCCTAATTTCCAATCTGGCATTTGAATATTATGTGATCCCGTGACGTTTGAAGCTACAACACCAAACTATAATCACAAATACGGCAATCAGGACTAAAAGAACGAAGATGGCAGATAAAAAAGATGTCATTGTTAAAACACTGAATTAATCAACTCTGGAACTTTAGACTTCTCATGTGAGAGAATACATTTTCCTTATTGCTTAGACAATACATTTTCCATTTCTTGTAGCCAAGACATTGTAAATGATATAACCTTACCATTATTTTATTTTTAGTTAGAATTCATGCAAGGATAAATGCTTATGATTTCTCATTTGCCTTCCCCTCTTTGGCCATTAAAATTGCAGACAATGTACAATATATTCCATTGCTTCAACTGGCTGCCTGCACATGGCATATGCTTCCACCCTTGCCTTCAATGCAGCAAGCAGATGAACTGATTGATTGATTGTTCTGTTCATCAATCACTTGTAGGCAAGCCCCGCTGTCAGTTACCTAGGAAAAGCTATAAATACAATACAATCCCTATAATCACAGCGTATTCAAAAAGACAAAACTGAGTTTGTGAGTGCATATTTGGAATGCATCTTTGACTGGAGTGTGGAGGAAGATGATGGATAAGGATGAGGAAGGGAAGAAAGACCTTAATTTGTATTTTCGGCAATAAAGCCCTGTTAGGAATTGCATTTTTATAAAAATTCATTGGCTCCCTCAGTGTCAATTTTCCTTCTAAGTGTTTGTAAGCAAGGTGAGCAGAGCTTATGATGAAGCACAAATGGAAGTCAATCATGCAGCATGGCAGCACCAGTTGAATATGGGGTGATAGCAGAACTTCAATTTGGACCAAAATTACTCAACTCAGGGAACCCCAACAGACTTATCTCTGTAAATAGCTCCCATTACGTGGATGGTTGGATAATATACATATACTTACAGGACAGTGCTCTCATTATTGTCCACATTACATTCCAGCCACACCAAATTATTAACAGTTCCCAACACACTAGGTTATTCTACATTCTGTTCTTTTGCACATACTGTGAACTTTACATGAGTTGCCCTCCATTCCTTTTTTGTTGACTAAATTTAACTTATTCTTCAAAGGCATCTATCTAGCCACCAATTCCTAGATCACCATCTGCTGTGAGCCCTTTCTGGCTGGGTTTCTACTCCTAAAAGAGTTAATAGTCTTATTCCACTGCTTGTATCTTAAACAGTATCATACTGAGAGGTGACAGCGTGCTGGCAGTCCTCACAGCCCTTGCTAGCTCTCTGCGCCTCCTTTCTGGGCTCCCACTTTGGCGGCACTTGAGGAGCCCTTCAGCCCGCTGCTGCACTGTGGGAGCCCCTTTCTGGGCTGGCCAAGGACGGAGCCGGCTCCCTCAGCTTGCCGGGAGGTGTGGAGGGAGAGGCGCGGGCGGGAACCGGGGCTGCGCGCGGTGCTTGCGGGCCAGCGCGAATTGCGGGTGGCCGTGGGCTCGGCGGGCCCGCTGCCCCAGGCAGTGAGGGGCTTAGCACCTGGGCCAGCAGCTGCTGTGCTCAATTTCTCGCCGGGCCTTAGCTGCTTTCGGGTGGCGCAGGGCTCGGGACCTGCAGTCCACCATGCCTGAGCCTACCCCCGCCTCTGTGGGCTCCTGTGCGGCCCGAGCCTCCCCGACGAGCGCTGCCCCCTGCTCCATGGCGCCCAGTCCCATCGACCACCCAAGGGCTGAGGAGTGTGGGCGCACTGCATGGGACTGGCAGGCAGCTCCACCTGCGGCCCCGGTGCGGGATCCACTGGGTGAAGCCAGCTGGGCTCCTGAGTCTGGTGGGGACTTGGAGAACCTTTATGTCTAGCTAAGGGATCTATATCGGCACTCTATATCTAGCTCAAGGTTTGTAAACACACCAATCAGCACCCTGTGTCTTAGCTCAAGGTTTGTGAATGCACCAATCGACACTGTATCTAGCTACTCTGGTGGGGACTTGGAGAACCTTTATGTCTAGCTAATGGATTGTAAATACACCAATCGGCACTCTGTATCTAATTCAAGGTTTATAAACACACCAATCAGCACCCTGTGTCTAGCTCAGGGTTTGTGAATACACCAATGGACACTCTGTATCTAGCTACTCTGGTGGGGACGTGGAGAACCTTTGTGTGGACACTCTGTATCTAGCTAATCTAGTGGGGACGTGGAGAACCTTTGTGTCTAGCTCAGGGATTGTAAATGCACCAATCAGCACCCTGTCAAAACAGACCACTCGGCTCTCTGTAAAATGGACCAATCAGCAGGATGTGGGTGGGGCCAGATAAAAGAATAAAAGCAGGCTGCCCGAGCCGGCAGTGGCAAGCTGCTGGGCTTCCCTTCCACATTGTGGAAGCTTTGTTCTTTTGCTCTTTGCGATAAATCTTGCCCCTGCTCACTCTTTGGGTCCACACTGCCTTTATGAGCTGTAACGCCACGAAGGTCTGCAGCTTCACGAACCCATCGGGAGGAACGAACAATTCCAGACGCGCTGCCTTAAGAGCTGTAACACTCACCGCGAAGGTCCGCAGCTTCGCTCCTGAGCCAGCGAGACCACGAACCCACCAGAAGGAAGAAACTCCGAACACATCCCAACATCAGAAGAAACAAACTCCAAACACATCCGAACATCAGAAGGAACAAACTCCAGACGCGCCACCTTAAGAGCTGTAACACCGCGAGGGTCCGCGGCTTTATTCTTGAAGTCAGTGAGACCAAGAACCCACCAGTTCCGGACACAATACTTTTCACACTGCATGATGAAGAAATTTAGCTTTATTGTTAGGTAAGTACATGTGCTTCCCTTCAACCCAGTATTGGACTACATTGGTCAATCTGGGCTTCATACCAACATGTTTGTTGAACCAACTCACTTCCGTGTGTATTATTGCATTTATAATTATCTGTGCCTTTTGTTTCTCTCTACTGAGTGTCATCTGTGACTTTCAGGTGTTGATCATTATGCTTTGGAATGGAACAAAGAGAAAAGATGAGACTCAAGAAAGTCATTGTTTCTCTTAGTAATGAGAAGGAAAAAGTGAAGTGAAACTTAACAGCGAATGTGAGAGTTTTTGATTGCCTGTGGGCTTTCATTTTTTCTTTCCATCTGGACCTACTAATTGAGATAATAGGTCAGGGAGACCTGGGTCTGTATTGGTAGGTATGATTGGATGGGCCCCAAGGAACTTCACTTTATTTTAGAATTAGGAGCTCATAGATGAGGTAACTTGATTTGACCTTTGCCTTCATTCTCTTTATCTTGAGGTGACCCCAGTAGAGTCTGCCTTTAGCGGTCTCCTTGGGTCTTTGATAAACAAAGCAGTTAGGGCTGAATGAGCTGTGAAATGAATAAGGGAATATTGATGCCCCACTATTTAATTGCCTCCTAAATCCATGGTAAATTTTTCAGTGATTTTAAACTCTGTAAGAATAGCAGACTCATTGATTTCTGTAATTCATTTATTTAGGGATTTCTATTATCAACTGAATTTGATTGATGGCTTTATGACAAATAGCTGTGTGCTCAGCATATACCAGCATTCTGTAAGCTCACTCAGCCATAAACAATTTGTGAATAATTCTTGGGTCCTTTTGCTGAGTCTGTACTTTGCTATTTAGGGAACAACTGATTGAGATTCCTTAGGTGAATGAGGTAAAGTGAAATTCCCACCTAGTTTGCTTGGATATATATATGTAGTGTGTGTGTGTGTGTGTGTGTGTATTTGTATGTGGACCCTGAGAATTCTCAAAGTCCTCTTTGAGATTCTGAGGCATTTTACTCTCAAACGTCAAGCCCCGTCTCATGATTCAGAATACATCAGAATCACTTGGACACGGAAATAGTGGTATCCTATGTGTGCTGTGATAATTGAGCCCTTCTCTAACTCTGTCTACCCAGACATAAGATATAGTAGGTAGTGATGTTATATGTTCATCAAAAATTAAAATGGATCCCCATACATCTTTTTAGTCTGTTCTTCTTGTTAAAGATTTTGATTCGCAACTTCCTCATGGATAGAAAACAAGTGTAATTTCTATTTTAGAGAAAATCAGATTTTATAAGACACCAGACTTGAAAACTTCTTTGCCAGTGAGATATTTTTGACTATAAATATTGCTTCCAGATTAATGGAAAATTGTGGCATGTATTTTAAAATCCTCTTCGTGATTTTCCTGATTATAAATCAATTTATCTATATTAGAAAAATTGAAAAATAAAAAATGTAAAGAAGGAAATAAAATTACCAATAAAACTACTAACCAGAATCACCACTATTACATTTCTAGTTATAATAGTCATTTTAACTAAATAATTTTCTTCTTAGAACAGTACACAGGCAAAGGTTATTATTTAGCAAAGGTTAATACTGGTCATAATGATGAGGCTTTTGTATTTTTGCTATTTACCTAAGATGGGCAAGCGAGTGTAGAGATTGAGTCAGAAGCTGGGTCAGGGACACTGTACCAAGTTGGACAAGTGTGTGGCTGAACGGAGCACCAGGCTCCCTTTACCTATTGTGGATGAGACATAAAACTTTTACTACAATCTGCAGAGAAAGACAACTGGGACAAATTAAAGTTTGACTTTAATCTCACATTTGGTTTTATAACTTATAAATTCACTAATAAAAGTTTCAGCTGTCTAAAATAAAATGAACCTGCAAAGAAGCAATACTGAGAGAGATTAGAAAATTATGCTGTCTTTCCAGATATATCGCATGAAAATATTTCTCTTGGAGTATGACGATTAGATGATATTTTTCGTATAGATTATGATAATTGGAAAATACTGTGATAATTTTAAAGCTAGGTAAAATAAGCAGATATTTTGAAGGCCAACATTCCTGTTGTCATCTAATGTTTATTTACACTAGCTTCCCTGAGTATAAAATAACTGTTCTTGGTTATTTGATGAAATGAGTTACCTATTTCACACTTAATTTCTTGGGATTTAGAAGTCAGTGCTGTGATGGCCAGGTGTGGGTAGTTCACGCCTGTAATCCCAGCACTTTGTGGGGCCGAGACAGGCAAATCACCTGAGTCAGGAGTTTGTGACTAGCCTGGCCAACGTGGTGAAACCCTGCCTCTACCAAAAATCCAAAAATTAGCCGGGCATGGTGGCACACGCCTGTAATCCCAGCTACTTGAGAGACTGAGTGAGGCAGGAGAATCACTTGAACGGAGGAGGGGGAGGTTGCAGTGAGCTGAGATCGCACCACTGTACTCCAGCCTGGGCAACTGAGCAAGACTCAACTTTAAAAAAAAAAAAAAAAAAGAAGTCAATACTGTGAATAACACATTAAAATAATAATATCTTATTGAAATATCATCTTTTAGGATGAGTAAAGGATTTAGCCAACTAATGTTCATAAAATTATTGCTAATTGTTCTTAGGGAAAAACTAAAGAAAATAATTTATTAATGCTAATTTTCTAGTCAATGATGAGTTAAACTCTTTGTATACAAATAATATAACAAAACAAATATTTGGAACTTTTAATGGACACTTTTTGTTACATGAGTTGTAGTTGATTGTCTCTTCATAGTAAAGTTATGGTTTGTGATACTGAACTATGCAACTAAAAGTTTGGTGTCATAGTTAATGTTCAATTATAGTGAAGGAGAAAAGTGACACCAATATATCAAAGATGAAGCTAATCCAATACGTGTACACTAGAGTTGTCCATGTAGCTTACTATTCCAACTCTGAGGGGTACCAAGAAATATTGTAGTATTTTTGATCTTATTAGTTTCTTCTCTACAAAAAAGTGGATTTGTTATTCTAAGTATCTACCAGTGATCTTTAATAACTTGGACATAAATGTATGGAAACTTTACTTTCCATGCCTTTGTACTTTTAGTTGCAACACTTTCTTGGGGGTAACATCTTTTTAAAGTTTACTCACACCGTATAGTGTTTTATTAATTTAGTTTGAGAACTAAAGAGGTAACATTTCAAGAAGTCCTTAGTTCTAGGAACTGGTAAATGAAGCCACATTCAGTCATTTTGTATGCTTTTTTTACTCAATAAATATTGATCTTAATATATCACCTAAGCTTTGTGTTTCTCAGCTTAGAAGTTTTAATTGTTTGAGTCTATCTTGATACAGAGTCTAGTCAACCTCTCTAATGATTCTACATGCTGCTCTCTATACTTCATTCAGTTTAGTTGTACTGTCATTGAGATGTGAATTCATCCAGGAAAAGCAGATACTTTGCTGCCTCAGACATATCTAATTTTAAAAATGTTTTATTTCCAAAACCCTTTCCTAGGGGTGCCCAGCATTGTGTTTCTCCTTAACTACAGAAGCAAAGTAAGCTGATTTTAGGAAAAATTGTTTCTAGTTCTTTCTAAACATTGGTTTAGACTTTTAGTAATTGATAAGATCTCATATCTTACACATATATGTCTATATCACTGTTCTCTAAGGTTAATCCTTTAACAATGGCACATGTTAAAGATCATACACCAGTTTTCTTTCTACTTAGGCAGTGTTGGAAGTGTTGATGTTGTAGTTGTTTGTATTTTATTTTCCCTGTAAGCTCAGACAGTTCACTACTGAAGTGAGTTTCATATCACCTACAAACTTGAAACCCACTGTGTGTGTGTGTGTGTGTGTGTGTGTAAAATGTTGGTGTGAAACTTTGTCAAAATGTTTCGAAAGTCTAAATAAATAGCACTCAGTGGTTTCCCTTTGGACATATGCTTATTTCTATATTCCCTTCTTGATTAATTTTTAGCTTTATTATGGAGGTTTTCAAACACACAAAAGTGGAGAGAAAAGGTTATAAACTACTGTGTACCCATCTTAGCAACATGTTGCTTTCTTTTTTGTTGTTGTTATATCTATCCTTTTCCCTCAGTTCTTTTTTCTAGGAATATTTTAAGGTGAATCCTGAATACCATATAATTTCATCCATACATACATCTATCTGATAACAGAAAAGTACTCTTTAAGAAATTCAACAGAATTTCCATAACTTCTTAGTATCTGGTCCAAGTCATCTAAATTGTCTCTCAAAGGTTATTAGCCAAGACTCCTCAATATATAAACCGTAACTCTCATGGATATTGCATCTGTAACTTTTATGGAGATGCCATTATCATATCAAGATTAGAAATCAGATTGAGAGCCTTTTGTTTCCAGAATCTCCTCTGGAGTCCTTCTTATGGGTGTGAGTCACACTGGCAAGCTGCCATTCTTCTCACATAGTAGTGGTTATTAACAACAGGTCACACATTTTGGCCACCGGTTCCATATTTTACCCTTGAGTTCCTTTAGCAGTCTTGGGTGAATGCCATCTGGGCCTGGTGATTTATTTACATTTCGTTTGCCACTTGGGTCTGGGAAAGTCCTGTTTTCCACTGTTTGTTCCAATTCCTCTGACCTGACGGCTTTAAAGCAAGATGCAAGTGAGACTCTTTTCTAAAGTCTTCTTCAGTAAAGACTGAAGCAAACAATTCATCGATCCTTCCTGCTATCACCTTTTCATCCCTGAATGGCCTTTGCATTTTCTAGCTGGCTTCCTGACTTTGTTATACTTAAAGGGGTTTGCATTTTTGCTTTGGACTCCCCTGTGAGGTGCTCTATTGATTTCTTCATGGACCATTTGTTTTTAGTTTGCTTCTGACCTGCTCTACATTCCTTTTCTTTGAGAGTAGCAAGTTTTACATTTAAAAATATTTGTATGGCCTTTTCGTGTTACCAACTTGGCATTTGAGGCTCTTGTTGAAGAGCTCTCTGTTCTGATTGTAGCTCACATTTCTCCTGGTCTCCCAATGAGGTGTTTTAATGTGGTCTCTATGGGGTACTTGTTTATTTTGAAAACGTTTCCTACCCATATGTGTACTTTTCTCTTCCTTTCCCTTTCACGAATTGCAAAATCACAAGATGGAAATGGAACTTGAGGCTTTCCCTGTCCCACTTGAATGTCTGGCTCATAAGTGTAATTGCTGTTAATGAGTGGTTCTCCCACAAGCTACTTCTGGCTTTATTTCACAATCCACTCCTGAGAATCATAGGATCCATGTCTAGTTTTGGGAGGTGCTATCCAACTTCCTTCTGTAGCCACAGACCAGCCTTGTGGGCAGTTGTTAAGGCTAGCGTTTCCATACTTGCATTTAACTGACTGGACAAGGGGGAGAAGTGAGTGGTAACTTGTTCAAAATTTAGGAAGAGCCAACTCGAGATTCATCATTTTATCATTTGGTTTATTACTTACAACATGGATAATATGCCACAGATAATTAAGGTTTGATCTTACATGTTGGTTAGATGATATAGAGCATCAGAGTCTAAGAGAAATGTATTGTGCATTACATGCCCAACTTAAAATTTTCTGGTTACCATATTCTGAAAAGTAAAAAGCAACAGGTGAAATTTTCAATGATATATTTTATTTAACCCCAGTAGTTAAAATGTAATGATCTTAACATGTAATCAATATATACATTATTAATACGATTTTTATATGTTTTATACTAAATCTTTGAAATCCAGTGTGTACTTTCTATTTACAGCACATTTCAATTAGAACCAGCCATATGTCAAGTACTTAGTAGCCACATTTGAAAGTGTCTATCATATTGGACAGTGTAGCCTTTGAGAGGGTTATATAGGGTCCTCCTCAGAAAACAGTCTTTTATTCATGAATTCTACAGAAATCATTCAGAATTCACACACACACACACACACACACACCCACACACCATTTTACTTACATCTGTGATAGCCCATCAGAGTAACAAACTCTGAAGGAGGCATTTTACCTGACAAGAACAAAGTTGATGAATATATTTAACTGTATTACTCTAATGTACTTGGTATATCTCCTCTAATTAAAATAAGATTATCTTACAACTTATGAAATGAAGATCTGGCATAATAGACTTAGAATATGATGAAAATGTTTTCATTAACTGCAAAGATACCCTGCAAGGCACGGCATTTTATCTCAAGTCCCCGATAACATTAATATACCCTTTTAATCTCTGAAGCATTTAAGACTTAATAGGAACTCCTTAAAGAATGACAGAATTGTAAGACTTTACAAGGTTGCTTTAATTGGAAAGTCCTTACAGCCCTCCATGATTTTGAACAAGTATAAAATAAAATTCTTCATTGGTGGAATGTACGAGTATAGTCTTGTTTACTCTGCGCAAAACTCAAAAGCCAGACGTGGGGGTGGGTGTAAAAGAAAGGAAAGTAGGGGTTAATGGTGTTTTCCGGTGATTGTCCTTAGCTTCAGTTATAGCATGTGACTTGGCTGCTCTTCCTGCTAGGGGCTGTGTGTACATAAGTTGGGAACTCAGTGCATGTGGTTTGGGAATTTTATCATCACTCTACAAAGCAATTTTTGAGAAAACTGCAGTTACTAGATCTCTACCTTCTTTCACATCATTTTTTTGCATGTGTGTATTTATTTGTTGCTTTTCTCTAATAGATGAGCTATGTACACAGATAGTAAATATTATTTTGTTATCTGCATTACTGCAGATCCCATTTGCCATTCAAATTACAGAATGCAATATTGGGGATTCCATTGAGTGCTTTATCCCATTACCCACACTTGATGTTGAATAGATAGATATAGCAATATTCTACTGAGGATTGGGACAACTGGAGTTTATTTCTCCCCTTTCCAATTGGTAATACCGGCCAGGCACAGTGGCTCCTGCCTGTAATCCCAGCACTTGGGAGGCTGAGGTAGGCGGATCACTTGAGGCCAGGAGTTCGAGAACAGCCAGGCAGAGGTTGCAGTGAGTTGAGATCAGGCCACTGCACTCCAGCCTGGGTGATGGAGTGCAATTCTCTCTCAGGAAAAAAAAATACCCACTTTGGGTGACTCAATATTTATTTTGTTTTGTCTTACTTTTATAGCTATTCTAATGGAACAGCTTAGAGCTCATTAGGGAAAAGTTGCTACATTAATCTGAGAGACCAATATGGTAATACCTCGTTACACTAGTGAGAAAATGATATTCTTTGGAATTGTCTCAAGTACGTGTTCCCTTTTGACATGATAACACTATTAGCCTGTAATGTTTTGTCCTGTAACTTTTGGTCTACACAAAACTTTTAGTGAACAATCTATATGCCCTTCTGACCCTCCACTCTGCTAGATCCAATATGACTTTTCAAAGGAAATAAACAAGAGTCCTGAGATAAAGACGCTAACATCTGCTTGCATTAAATGAGATAGGAGGGAGGAGGAGGAAAGTTGAATAAAGCATATTGGAAGAGCTCCTTACATAGTGGGCCTCCAGCTTTAGTGGATGAACATAGAAGCAACTGTGGGAGTTCAGCCCCACCCTTGGAGAGTTTCATTCAGTATACTTGATCAAATGAATCTGAAATTTAACTCATGCTCTGGATGGTTATGAAGTCAGTGATATGGACACTTCAGTTGGGAAACATTGCCAGGATCAGCAGAAAGACCACAAGATCCCTTTATTTTATACCGATTCCTGGGCTCTAGCAGCTGACCAGTGTAGAGGGTTTTATTTCTTTGTCTTGCTTCAATTCTCTTAGACTTTGACTTACTGACTATATAGCTTCTCATCCATTTTGTGGAGTCTCTGGTGGAACAAGCATTCATACTTCTAATGGCCTATTTACTTGGTGTGAAGCCCTTGGCTTTTTTTTTTTTTTTTTTGACAGTCTTGCTCTGTCTCCCAGGCTAGAGTGCAGTGGCACGATCTCGGCTCACTGCAACCTCCACCTCCTGGGTTCAAGCGATTCTTCTGCCTTAGCTTCCTGAGTAGCTGGGATTACGGGTGCGCGCCACCATGCCTGGCTAATTTTTATATTTTTATTAGAGACGGGGTTTCACCATGTTGGCCAGGCTGGTCTCTATCTCTTGACCTCATGATCCACCCACCTCGGGCTCCCAAAGTGCTGGGATTACAGGCGTGAGCCACTGCAACCAGCCCAGCCCTTGGCTTTTGACCCTGCTCCTGATCACATCCCTGTCTTATCTGTTGCCTTCCACCTGGATCCCTGAGTTTCCTGTTACCTTTAGCCAGAAACCCTGGTCAGTTTAAGCATCACCTGTCATTCAGTTTAATGGACTCAATTTTAGCATTCCCTGATACTCCATTATCCTGGAAACCTGCACAGTCATTGAAAACCCATCACCCTCAGGGTGAGCTTGGGTAAAACAGATAGGTTAGTTGTACTAACTGCAAGCTTAAAAATTTTTTTTTAGTTAGCGAATTTGTGGCTGTGGAAAGACAAAAAGAGGAAGCAATGTATAGTGGTCACAATGGCTCAAATAAACACCTCTGCTGAGAACATCATGGAGGTTAAATTGTGCCTGACACATAGCAAAGGCACTAGGTCTGCAGGTCTTAAGAGAAGTTGTCTGACAACATCATTCTAAAAGCAATCAGATCTGTGGAGCTGGTGCCAATAAAACAATGCCATTATAGGCTGATTTTCCAAACATTCTAAACAGAAACTCTTTCTTAGAACAAAATGGTCTTTTTTTCCTTATTTGACTAGCATTCAGAATGCTGGTCCTCAGCTACAACTGAGCTTCCAAGGCCTTATTACCAAGATGCCAAGAGACCCAGACTGAGCAGTGCTCATACTCACATTGACCTTTTCTCCTCCCTGGAGCTTTCTTTGCTCGTTTGAACTTTTGGTTGACTCACCTTTTTACTTAGTGCAAGCCCCCAGGTCAGAAGGAATTCCTTTTGGGTTGTGAGATGGCTTGGTAATGTGATTGGGTTCATAAGAACTAAGAGTTTTTGTGTGTGTTTATTCAATCAAGAACTGATTGGCTTAAAACTGAGCTCACTTCAATATTTAAGAATTTTTTTAAGATGTGGGCAGGCAGATGATTTTCATCAGAATCCCCTAGAGATCTTTATTAAATATTTAAATTCCCAGGTCCTTTCTGGATCAACTGAATCTGAATTGATGGGACTACTATCAAAACAACTTCTTAAGGTGATTCTCATGCACACACAAAAATATTGAAATGTATTACTCCAGTTGCCAGATGTCATTTTTATAATTTAAAGTACTTATGAGATTTTTAACAAATGTGAAGCAAAGAGCAATACCACTTAGTGTACACTGTTTTAACACAGCTTCAGGAGTATATGAACACATTTCAGGGCAGATGCACAGTGTTCCTATTTGTGTACCTAATGACTTGTGTTAAACAAAAGCCATTCACTGCCTGTAAAGGTATGTTTATGACTTCTTCACTACTACAACTGTTGTTGCCCTTATTTGGCACGAACATTACTAGGGTGTTATAACTTCTTATCAGACAGTCATTCACTGAGTGAATAAAACTTACTTACAGCAAAGGGATAAAAGTCCAATGACAAGGAAAACTATACCCTCCCTACAATGTTAGAAAGCATCTCTAGGTAGCTTTTCTGCTTATGATAGCCTGACCAAAGTGTGGCAATAGTGAGTATTACTGAATAAAATCAAGACAACTGTGTCATACATATTAAATCTTAGTTCCACTTTGAAGTCCTTAAGCAATTATAATAATAAGAGGCCAAATAGGTAATTGTCATAAATGACATACACATGTAGCTTTATGGGGTTTCAATGTGGCTTGAGCACATTGTGTGTAGACTGTGAACCACACTGATGAATTAATTTGAACTTCAAATGGTACTTTTGGCTATGTTGAGGTGAGCTGTGAGTAGTTCATAGGAAGTTATGATTCCCATGGGTGGGATAAATCGGATGAGAAAGACTGGAAGCCGGCAGAACTTTCAGGAAGCCACTGTGGCCTGCCTGGCTGTTAGCTTTGCTCTTCTTTTCCAGAATCTGTATCTCTATACGTTTTTTACCATGTAATACTCCCAACGCCCAGCTGATTGGTCAAGGGGAGGGTAGCTGATTCCAGTTGGATCAATCAAGTTATCTCTCAAGAATATAGAATTTTGGACTAAGAGACCCAAGAAGGGACTACGAGACCCAAGATGGTAGAGCTAGAGAGAGAGCTCAACTAACTCCTGCTGTTGGCTACTGTGGCTCCTAGCTTTCCTAGACTTTTTGGTAAAACCTTTATTGAACTTATGAAATTTGAGGTATTTGACCTTTCACAATTGCAGGATCTGCTTAAGCAGCCTCTATAAGATTGTAAACTAAACATACATATGGCCCAGAAGTCAGAGATGCTGAAGGGGAAAGCCCCGTGGGAAGGTGGAACAGCTGTTGGAGGGGAAAGCCCCATGGGAAGGTGGAACAGCTGTTGGAGGGGAAAGCCCCATGGGAAGGTGGAACAGTTGTGGGCCTGGCCACTGCCTTGTGCTGATGAGTAACTGCCAGGTCAGCAAGGCTGTTTGTGTCTCCATTTCCACAATCCATCTTTCCTTTGAGAGTCACAGAATGCAGAACCCATTCAGAGGATCCTTAAAATTCTGTTTCTAGAGTCACTCTGGAATTAAAATGAAGTGGTGGATTTTCACATAACATATTACCCCAAAAGTTAGTAGCTGAGAAAAACAAACCATAGTTTCTGTGGGTCAAGAATCTGGGAGCCACTTAGCTGGGGGGTTCTGGCTCAGGGTCTCTTGCAGACTGCAATTAAGATATTGGCTGGAACCATGGTCATCTGAAAGACCAACTATAGAAGGATCCACTTCCAAGCTCACTCCTGTGGTTATTGAAAGGCCTCAGGTCCTGGCTGCATGGGCTGCTTCACAATGTAGCAGCTGGCTTTCCCCAGAGAGAATCAATAAGAATGGGTGAGAGACAGCAAGCAGCCAAGACTGAAGCCATTGTTTAAAAATAACCTAATCTTAGAAGTGACATCCCGTTACTTTTGACATATTCTATGCATTAGAACTCAATAAATATAGCCAACACACAAGGGACGGGGGTTGCACAGAGCTTGAATACCAGTGAGGATCATGGGGCTATTTGAGGCTGCCTACCATAACCCTAGATTAGTTTTCTTTTTGTCTTATGTGAAACTTGAATTGTTTGCTGTTACGTAAAACTGAATAAATCTTCCCTAATATGATAGAATTGCAATAGTCTAGGTAAGAGTTTGGGTTTTACAGTGATAAGGGCAAGAGACAGACTAATACAATAAATATTATGAAGTTAGAATTGATCATCTTGGCAATACTGTGCAGTAGTTCAGAGTTAGAAAAATAGTATTACACTTTGACCATTGCGTTTATTAGATACTTGACCTGGGGCAAGTGCTAAACCAATTTTAAGTCATAGTTTTCTCACCTAAAAAAGGGTAGCTATCTTATAGAGAACATGGCACACCCAAGCAGGGTGACTGAGAAAAGTTTAACAAAGCGAATGTTTACCACGGTATGGGCAGGATTAAAGCAAAGAGCCAGGGATGGTGATGTGGATCAGTTACCACCCCTAGGACTGAGGAAGAATACGTAGGGAACTGTAGCTTTAGGAGACACTGCTGGTTAGGGTTTTGGATAGAAGGACATAGCCAACTTGCTGTGACAGGGCAGAGAGGCAGTAGCATCCTGACCTTATTTTTTTCTTTCCCACCAATATGCTTCAAGTGACTTGCATGTAAGCTGAACCCATCCAGAAACCTGAAGACAAAGAAGTGTGAAGATGCTGTCCAGAGTGGTCAGCCTCCCAGGGCACAGACACTGGCTCTGAGGGGCAGATGAAAATTATTCAGCATAGCCTGTAAAGCACTTAACACTAATTATGTCGAAGAGTAAGAGCTCAATAAGTGACAACTATTATTATAATGATTATTGCCCGCTAATGGGATCTGTGAATGGTGATAAGCTGGGTGAGAATGTATGTGTGGGAAACTTTGATGAAACCTCATTTTTTCCTACCCAGGAAGACTGGATCTATGTGTCCCAGTATTAGGAAATTCGGGCAGAGTGGAGTTTATTGAATTGCCTAGCATCATTTACCTAGGCCAAACTAAGAGAAGAACCTCATTCAATACAATACTCTATTCCCTGGCCCATTAACAAGAGTTCTTTTCTTCATTTTCTGACCATTTTGGAATGGTGGAAAGCTCCCTATTTGATTTCTAGAAACTCTCGAGATAAGCCTTCCGCTCTACCTTTGAGAGCTGGTCTTGCTAAGCATGGCAGGTTGCTCCAGCAAGGCCCTTCTGTCCAACTCTCCTCCCACCCAGCTGCCTGCCTCTTTCAGTTCAAGTATCTGTGAAAGGTGACACTCCCACATAATTCAGTGCAGAGTATTCTGGGATTTCCTAAGCAGCAGGCTGGCAACCAGCACCAGATGGAGAAGCTGTGTAACACCGAGTGGAGGCTGCAAAGAGAGGTAGGCAATGAGGCAGATAGCCAAGTGGGCAGTCTGGGAAATGGAGGGCCAAAAAGCAGGCAGAGCTCTTGCTGCCAAGATAGAAAGATTTTTATGAAGTTGTAAATTTCACATTGCCACCTTTCTTCTTCCCACCCTCTCCCCCACAACCTATCTCCAAATTCAGCAACTCTCATTTACCCATTTTTCCAAGGTAGTAATGTGTCATCACTGCCCCCAAGTCTGATGTTCCCCGTAAGGCTGAACTTCAGCAACTCTATTGTGCCTTTAAGGAAGAAATCAACATGGTACAGATGGTATTTCAAACATATTTGTTTCTATGTCATCTGCTCTGAACATAAATATCAATTCAGTAACTTCACTGTTGTAAGTGATAAGTTGAAACATCATCAGTTGTTTTTCAGTTAAATGACAGTAACAAAATGAAAAATCACCATTAAAAAGGCTATATTTGCATATTTTTATGCTGTCAAAGAACATGGCACTAATGTAGCATAAGGAGAATTCTTAAACAGAAACATTACCGTTTTCAAAATCTAAAGAAGATCAAAAGATAAATGCTGAAATTTCATTTATAAAAAGAAATGGAACAGTTATTTCATGGCAGAATAATAAAAGCACTTTCTAGTGGCATTTTTAATAGCATATTAATTCAAAATTGTAATTTTGAGGAGTGATTCCATCTACATAAACACCAAATGCATTTTAAATGCTTAGTATTATCATGACTAGAAATTAAATTAATAATGCTAGGATAGTTAAATCTGATGTAACTTTCTTAAATCTTTGTAATTACACGAATTTTAATCTACATTCATGTTGAACTCTCATCCTGAACTTTGTTTGTTGTTTAAATTTTTCAAAGAACTGAACATTCCTTCGCTTTTAGGAGGTTTGCTTTGGGAAGTTAACTTTCAAAGACATTTATAGTAATTTGAACCCAACAAGCATTTTAATAGCTGTAGGGCCTGACTGGTCTAAGACACATATACACACACACAATCATATTGTCAGTAATTGTCTTGCTATGTTGCTGATTTTATTTTAACTAAGATGGCTGAACTGAAATAGGTACCATTTTAATCCTGACTGAATGAAGGATTCTTTTCAATCTAAGTTATAATATCTGAGCAAAATTTCATAAAATCAAGACACCCATAAGTCAGGGGAAAAGATTTCTCTCCTCCATTAAAGAAGACTATAAAAGTACTACAAAAGGTTTTGGTAAACGATTCCTTAGGAAGAGTTCTTTGTTTCTTTTCTTCTCTTTCAAGTGTACAACAGGATGGTCAGCAAGTCTAATCCTGCTGATCGTAAGGCCTTTAATGAGACATAGGGCAGCAGGTAGTCTAGATTTCAAAAGGTACATACTATTTAGGGCTTCATAGACTCAGAGTCAAACCTAGAATTTGATTGTCTAATGTATGAGTATCTAGGGTAATTCATAAAAAGTGGACAATTCTCCCAGGTAATGTAAACACTATTCAAAACATTAAGCAATGTGCTTTGTTTCACCACCTTACTACTTGGCAAGCTTTTGTTAGTATTGTACAGGTCCTTGGGTCTCTTTGTTTCCTAGACTATATTCAGCCTTCAAAAGTGATTAGGACATGCGACTGATTCTGTAATACAGCATAAAACAAGGCAGATTGTGCTTCACACAGGATTATCCTTCACTGCCAGAACACCCTGCTGCCAAAATGTCAGTGTGGTGGAGTCCTTGGCCATAATAGCTATGGCCATTGTAGTGCCCAGATGAGATTTTTCAAAGGCTGTGCAAAACAGCCGCCTTACCAAACCTGGTGTTTGTGCTTTCAGACTTGGATCCTCATTACCCCTTTCCCTAGGCCTCCCAAACCCCAAACTCAAGAATGGAAAAAAATCAAGGAAATGCTAAATTGTAGATTTCCATAGTCAGAAATTATTTATTTTGATAGCTTGATTTCAACTGGAAAACCATGGTGATATTTGTTAAACAAACAAACAAACAAACAAAAAAGGAACCAGCAACTAGTGTGTATTATTCATAGGTAGCTTGGCTTCAGAGATTTCCTTGCAGTTTGTTTTTAGAGCAAATCTCTGCTCAGAAGTAGAAAATGCATGGCTAACATTCTGCCTCAATTCCCATGTACGCAATATGGAAGTCCTTGCAGTTGGCACATCCCTTTATAGTTAGCTAAGGTTGTCCTTGCACTGAATTTGTTGTCCCTAATATAGTTCTGTCCCCATTGCCTCTTTCTGGAATAGTTCATTGGACCCAGGACAGATTTGAATGGATCCAATTCACAATAACAAACACAACATGATATCTGCTTGGATTTCTAGTTTACTTTTTTTATACCAAAGAAGGAAAGAGTAATCAAATTTTAATAATAAATGTGCAAACACATAATAGTAACATATACAATTAAAAACAGTTTTATTTCCGGTAGTATCTTATGGATTTTTTCTCTCTAGCACATTTTGGGTCTGACAGATCCAGGGTCTTCTACCTACTAATCATTTTAACTATTAACAAGCAGGCTTTTATTTATTTGAAATTTTAAACCAGGCGGGGGTGGAAATGCACATCCTTAGAATTAGGTAATTTAAAATGGCTTTTCCTCATTTCACCCCTCAACTCTTCCATATGACATCAAAAGCCTGGTTGATGAATGTTGTTGCTGGTGGTAATTTATTCTGAATACATCTCTTTCATTTATGGCTGATCTCATGGAAGGAAAGGTTCATTTTACACCTTTTACCTCAGTAGCTTTGGAAGTACGCTTCTTAGATAACATTATTTTTTCTTTTTTTCTTGAATCCCTTCACATGAATGGCCAATGATAAAATCAGAGCCTGTGTCTTCAACAAATGAAACAGGACTAGGTGCCCCTTGTTCCTTTATTCCTGTCTAGTTTTGTGTTTGAGTTTTATTCTACATATCCTTTCACTTTTTAGCCACTCTGATCTCTGCCAACAAGAGCCACTTAAAAAGTTTTCCTTCTTTGAGTAAAGGTCAAAAATAAGTGATATTAATAAGAAATAAAACGAGAGCACATTTGCATTTTGACAATTGTAAGGATGTATATATGACGTCTGAAAATTCCAATAATGACTTGACAATCATTGATTTTTTTCTGAATGAGCTTTAGGATGTGCCTTTCTTTGGCAATCAAGGTGGTCACAATACATTGTCCCCTCATGCTGCTTTGTACTAAGTATTGAAAGGATACAACGAGAGACAAAGGAAAGAGAACAACATTTACAAATGAATCTTAGAGTTGGAATGCCTTTCAGTGGCAGCAAATCATTTTTAATCTGACAGCTCCTAATTACATAGATTGCAAGATAAAATGCACCTAACAAGTGTCAGACTCACGTGAGTTAAAAAACCTGGTGGGTTGCAAAAGGCATTTGATGCTCCTAAACCTTCCTGAAAGTGAATGTCCTTGAAAGCTCTCATGGCAGTGAGTTAAAGAGCTCAGCTGGGGGGTCTGCTGACATGTTGTAATGACTATAATTTATAGCACACCAGCTCCATACTACCCTTTACCCCAGCAGGGTGTTTCCTGGAAACTGGTATGGCTTATGGAGAATTGGAAGGAAGAAAGAGGAAAGGAAAACATGACTCTGAGGCCCTTTTAGCTGCTTCTGTACTGTTAGCTTACACTTTTGGGGCTCCATTTAGAGACCAGTAACTTTCATACTGAACATATCTTATTCATCTTCTGCTGATTAATGTCATAATGGCATAGTTACGTTCTTGACTGGCATAGAGCAGTCATATCACACAACTTGGAAGAAGCTTGGGGATGACTTAAATTTCACCCATTTATTCATTCATCAAGTTTAATTGGGCACCTACAAAATGCCAAGAACTGTTCTTAGAACTGGGGTCGTATCAACTAGACAGGCTTCTTGATCTCACGAAGAGTAACATTCCTTGGGCGTGAAAAGGTGTAAGAGGGAAAAGATCCAAAAGAAAAAACAACTAAACATACACATGAACAAGATAATTTCTGATATGATATCACTTATAAGACTCTGAAGCTATCTTGTTTAGCCTTTTTCCCTGGCAACTATACTTTAGGCAAGAAGAACTTTGTGTGTGGTTAAGTTTGTTAAAATTGGGAGAATGATGAAGAGGCATGAACAGAAAGGTAGAAATTGAAAGACAGCATCCTTATAATATGTTAAAACAGGCATTCTGGTGTGGTTCATAAACTATCTCTGAGGATAATTTCCATAGCAAAATTTCAAAATAATTGAAGCAATTGCACCATCATTGGAGTAAAAATTTGGATGCCAACATGTAACTTCAAAAGATGTATTATTTCTTCAATTCTAGTATAAAACAGAACATAAAAAAACAGCATAATATGGTGGAGCAGAATAGATTTTGGTTTGATTTGGGTTCAAATCTTGGCAGTGGCTCATCCTGACTCTGTGACCTTTGCCACATTATTTGCAACATTACCTGTTACTTTATGTCATTTCATCCTAAAATTGGCAAAATAATAAAATATCTGGGAATTTTTATAAAAAATAATCAAAATAATATTTAGAAAGTGCCCCAAACAATCCCACTCCTATATAGGATGAGTAGGAGGTTCATACATGTTCCTGTTTTTATCCTTAGTCATAAATTATAATTTTATATACATTACACATTATTACAATCAATAAACCATGATATCAATTCTTAAAATCTTCAAATGCAGCTAGAGAGACAAATTCAGTGCTTTAAGGACAGCTTCATTCCATTACTATCAGGTCAAATAAAGGGTTTCATGTGAAATGTAAGGCGTTTTGATTTTGTGTATTCAGGATCAAGCCTGTCATACTGTTCCTTTGAGTATGGCCACTATTCAAGTCATAGCTTTTGAGGCTTTTTGATATTGTGAAACAACAACTCAATGAAGGATCAAAGGATGGAAAATTGAAGGTTGATTCATGCATTTTAGAGTAAGGATGCCTTATAGCATCGGGCACAATATGAAAGAGCCAGTGCCAGGGAGATGATAACTCGGGAGAACAGAAAGACCTTGATTTCAAAGGAGCAAACAAACAAACAAAAAAAAATCAAGAACTTAATCTCTCTAATGCCTCAGATCCTGACAGAAAAATTTACAATGATGAAAGAAAGAAATAAAATACAGATGACTGGAAAAATTTCCCCCACAAACTGCCAAGTGACCCTGTACTATCTCCAGACTTTCCAAAGATACCTTTGAAAACCTCTCCCACAGAAGCCTTCCTAAATTTAAGGACTTGAAAAGGTCGGTACATTTAACATTTTGTTGCAAAATAAGTGGGCAGGGATTATGAAGTAAAATAATTTTGTATTATATACCATGCTTGCACATATTAAATGCAATTCTTGGTTAATGATTTCTGGTTAATGATTCTTTTATAAAAAAGTGCTTGGTATGTTATAGGTATCTAGTTTATTAGGAATAGTGTTTAGAAGTATTTCTGAAGAAGTTAAGTACTGAGCCCTGAGTTAGGAATGTGATTTTTTTTTCAATATTCTGAAGATAAGATCCAATTTGCTTAATTTCAATTTATAATCCTTTCTTCCAAATGCAATCTGCTCTAAGATCTTGTTCTTCCACGCTTTTCCTAGGTGCTCACAGGTTATCTTGTTTTCTTTCCCTCCTTCAAAGCCTTTTCTCTACCTATGGTATCTGGTGCTTCTATGTACTAGGTGAAAAAAGGTTGACGATGTGGCAAAATGAAATTGCCATCTTTTGTGGTTAGCCAGTGCAGTGAGTGTTCAGTCCCCTTGAGGTATTTTTGTGCAGCTTTTTAGAGAAGCATTTTCACGTCCCCACTGAACTGATAACGATGAAACTTCAATCCCTGTTGCCTTCAATCATTTTCTCATTGTGCCAGCTCAATGAATTTTCTTCGACTCCAGTTCTGGCACCTGGTCTGGCAGAGGCGGAGAAAAGGAAAAATTCTTTTGGGGTGGTTTGCAATGAACTTCACTTTTAATTCTCTGTTAATGTGCATTCTGAAGTCCTATTCAGAGAAAAATTCTGTTCATGTTTGTGACAAAAAGCAGGATGCAGAAAAGTGACAGATGTAAGATGAGAGAAGGGGCAGCCTTTAATCATCTTGTTGTCAAAGCAGCTTTGGATTGCCCTTTAAAGAAAGCGTTTTCTTTGCTGCTTCTGGAAAACTGGAGACTCATTCTCTTGCCCTTTGCAGATTCCTTACCCAGAGGGTTAAACTCCACATTGTATGCCAAACTTCAAAACCCTAGATCTTTGCTACAAAGCAATCCAGTTTATACATTCACATTTCAAAAGAATTGGATTCCTTTGCTCTAACTAGATAAAAACTCTGGTGACTCATTTTACACATAATTCTGAGGGAAGTTTACACATAGTCCTGACTCAGTTTACACATTATCCTGATCCATAAAAATATATGGCAAATCTCAATGACTAAAGAACTCATTTTCATTTATGATTGGACTAGTTACTTCATGGAGAGGCTAAGTGTTAAAGCAGGTACTGTTTACAAAGCAAAAGCCCCTTCTCCCTTAATCCCTGTGTGACTGTAATTAAGCAGGAGAGTTAATTTTATGTAAATCATGCATTACTGTAATTGGGCACAAGTGAACATTCATGTACATCTTATTTAAAAGTGAAATATAATGTTATTTTGAGGATGCTGGTGTAGCAAAGTCTCAATCCTCTGGGGGGAAGCCAGCAACATCACTGGCTGTTTATAAGACTCACTCTTTAGTCTGTGAGCTTAATTACAAATCACCCAGCTCTGTTTAGCACTATTCTGTGAAGAACGAGTCACGTGCCTTTGGAATAGCTGAGAAGTGGAACACTGGGGCTTCCATTCCTATTTCTTTCTTAACCTCCACTTAAAGAGCAGTCATTTTTCTCTTTCTACTCATCTTTTCAAACCTAAACAATACTTTCCAATGGTTTGCTCCGCTTGGCAGTTCTGACCCATATATCCCCAGGCAGACTACAGATGGATTTGTCTTCTACATGCAGGGGCTAGTCTGCTTCCTTTTTTAGCTTGTCTTTTCTAATGCTTCTCAGGGCTGCTTTATAACCCTAGGATTTTGTTTTCCAGGAGTAGCCAGATCAGATACTATCCAGCAGCCTGCACTTGTGATTGCTACAGCACCTCCACATCCCTGGGAGGGAGGGCTAGCCTCTGGGTGGAGAGGATGAGCCTTTCTTTTATTCTTTATCTGGAGAGCAGACCTAGTGCTTTGGGACAAGGTTGCCCTGCAGAATATACAAAATCTAATTTACATATCTTGAGGTCAAGATTTGTAAGGAAGAAAATATGCACATGACAAAACTTTTATTTTAAACATATTCTCCTTCTCACCCAGAGTCCTGAAAATCATTTTTTGGAGTTGTGCCTTGGCCTGATTCTGCCCAGCCTGCCAAGCCAGCTCCTCTGCCTGCAAACTCTGTATACACAGAAGGTTAACCTTCTCAGACTTCGGGGCAAGAGGCCTTCCCAGCGATGCCACCTTTCTGCTCCCTGCTTTCTTGCTGTCATTTCATAGTCCTGAAATCCTGATCAGATATTTTAGACTCAGTTCTTCTAGAAGGATTATTTGAATGGACAATCTCTTACA
This sequence comes from Homo sapiens, assembly GCF_000001405.40. Taxonomy (NCBI): domain Eukaryota; kingdom Metazoa; phylum Chordata; class Mammalia; order Primates; family Hominidae; genus Homo; species Homo sapiens. Next base: position 191,943,135 of record NC_000002.12, read on the forward strand.
TTCCTCTTCCCATAATTGCCCTCCTCCTACAATTCAATAGTTTGTTATCTTCATTCCTTTCACCTTTCCAGGGCTTCTGATTTCCCACTTAGCTCTTTCCGGTTCACTTTCTTTTTTCCCCCATACCATATATTGTCATTTCTCATGCTGAGGGTGACTTACAGGAACTGTCATTGGTGAAGAGGTTACGGATGTGAACAGATGAAGTAATTTCTAGCTAAGAATTTTGTTTTCCCCGCAAGTGAGTAGTAAGGAGATAAGTGTGTTCTTTAGTGGCCATAACATTTTCTCTTCCTCTTGGTTCTTAGAAAAAGACTCCTTTAGGTAACATGTAGTGAAGCCTGTTAGTAGAATTCAGTCTGTCTTTGCTGAAGTAATTCTTCCAGTAAAATTCAATGCCATTTTGTATTAGCTAACTTCAGCTCAGGTAATGGGTAGCAGCTATTTGTATATTACTTAAAGGAATGTACATGATTTTTTTACATTATTTTTAATTATTCAATTTTATGTTGTGTTTAGGCTTGAGAGTTGGTTTGAGTGCTTTTGAATATTATCAGGTGTTGCATTTTTGAATAAATAGAAGTAAAAATATGTACACTTAATGTCATTGCTGTTGTTGTTCAATGTTACACTACTTATACAAACTCCTGGTTCTGAACCAAGCTGAATGCCTTAACTAATGGCAGTGAACAGCTCTTTACTCATACTGTGCAAGGCAGAGGAAGAGACATCAGTGGGGAAGGAGAGCTCCAGTTTGAGAAAAATAACTCAGCTTTGAGGCTAGCACCAATTATGAGATGAGTTTAACTTAAGTGTGAACTGGTGAAAGAATGGCAGCTTCAGCATAATGTGTTGTGAGCATGCGATGGTTAAGTGGCAAAACCCTGGGCTTCTCCAGCTTAGGGATCAGAGGAAGAGACCTCCACAAGGTGAAAAGAGAAGAAACAAAGCATCTTTAGAGTGAGTGGGGGGAAAAACTGCCTTAGCATCTCTGGATCTAGGTAGATACGACTTAGGCACAGGGATAATGAGGGAGAAACTGTCAATAAGGTTTCCATGCTTTATGGGTACACTTTGGACAGATGCAGAGCATGAGACTGAGAATGCCTTCAGCTGGCATGAAAGTGCGAAGACAAAAGGCCCCTTTTAAGTAGTATGTGAGATGGTGGAAGGAAAGGTAAAGATGCAGTGCAATAGAGATGATCCTCAGCTAAATTCTTTAAAGGCCTCACTGACTCGTAACTGAGAGTGATTGAAATGTACACAAAAGCTACACTGTATATGTGTAGTTTGACAAATTATGCTTAATAACTATTAAACTTCATATTCTTTAGTGAGGATTCAGTTTATTAATAAATTATTTTGTCTTAGAAAAACTCAACATATATTAATATATTCATATAAATTATTTGAAACGATATACACAAACACCATGGTGCTTTTCTCTTGGTGGTGATACTATTTTATGCCTCCGGCTTATCTATATTTGCTAATTTTGCCAGTTAATAAAGTAATAAAGTGTTACGTATGTAATATATTTATTAATTATTTGATGTACTTCATGATAATTTGGGCTTTGTTTTCATGTCTAGATTCATTAGAAGGCCCCTGTTTTCAAGGTCTAAGTTCATGGAAAAGAATGAAGCTAGATTGTGGCAGAGAAGGGCTATAATGGAGGATGGCTATTGCATGAGGTGAAGAAAAAAGAGGTGGTTATTACTTCGAGAAAGAGAGAAAGCCCAATAAGGGGAGACATCCATAGAGAGGAAGGGAATAAAGCCCTCTCAAAATACAGCCAAACCCAAAAGAATGGGTTTGACTGTGTGGGTCTTGACAGACGCTGCCTCGGGACGATCACCGTGGCTGAGCCACTCGTGTGGGGAGTTCCTGTGATGGATCAGGAAGACAGGGAGGTTTAGCCATGGCAATGGGACCACTGAGAACGGAGGGTGGGGCCTTGCTCCTGTTCGTCTCTCCCTTTCCCCTATAATACCTGATTTGGAACTTCTCATTAGTTCTGAGTTAGGTTCTTGTCCTGGATTAAATTTGGCTTGGAAAAATAAAATATTATTTCTTTCATTTCTTACCTGATACAAGAGAAAGAGTAAAAATTAATTAAAAATTAAAAATGTACAAAAGATTCAAGTTAAAACAACACATTTAGTATTACTGGAAGTAGATATCAACCAAGGTGCCATACCCAGAGTGGAGGTGTCAGTAGATTTCTGTCCACGGTGAGGCTGGAAGGAGGCTTTGAATGTGCTGGGTAGCAGGTGGGACATCACACATAACTTCCTGATGTTGATTTCAAAGGTTCGTATTCATTTGTATATTTATGCACTTGTTATAAAACCCACCCCATTACTTTGTATCATCCTCTGTTTCTCCTTTATCCGTCCTTTATGTGAGCTTCCTGAGGATGATCGTATGCATGTATCAATTAATTCAGTGAAAAACCTTTTATCATTGATATTCAGATGATTAATTATATAACTAACACGTCTACTGTAACTGGGGAGGAACAACAGGTGGTGCAGGGGTTGCATAATTTTGGCAAAGGGAAGGAGCATCTGAAGACAAACATTAGTAGAGAGTCTAATATGACATAGAGATAATCTCTGTCATATTTCAATAGTCTGCACTGATTTCTCCAGGATCCATGCAAGGGAAGACTTTGATCCTGCAAAGTCACTGCAATATTGACTCACTCATTCCCTGTCTGAAATCACACAAGAGGTTTAATGGTATGTGCTTTATCAGGATAGACCTATTTTAAAGTAGCAGAATGACCCCCTCTTATTCAGACACAATACCAGTGGACCCATTTGAAAAAGAGAATTAGAGATGCTGTGTTGTTTCTTAACTCTATATTGTCTTATTTTCCAGAACCAAAACCAGCTCTCTTGTCTTCAAAGAGATGAGAGATGGTTTTTTTTTTTTTTGAGTAAGGATAACTGCTTGATTCCTTCTGTGACCATATGATTCCCCCATGATGCAATATTTAACTGATGAAATGTGGTTTCTTCTTATTTATTTACTTTTACAACACTTATTTATCAAATCTCTATAAAATAATTTCCATATATTGGAAGTTCACTGTGTGCATGTCACTATTCTGAGCACAAGTATGGATTGTCATGTTCATTTCTCAAACTAGTCATATTCGACATGGAATATATTTTTTTCTCCATTTAAAATATGAGGCATAATGAAGTTAGGCAACTAGCCCAAGGTTAGTTAGTAAAGTGAAGCTTAGACTGGCAGTCATATCTGCCTTGCTTCAGAGGCCAAGTTTTAAACATTATGCTCACTTTGGAGGCACCCAGTCCTCACTCACTACCCAGTCACCTTGTCCTATTTTTAATTCTTTGTGTAGAACTTGAAACTTTTCAGTTTTTTTCTTTTTTTATTGTTTGATGAACCCTCTCCCCTCATGCACCTTCACCTCCTCTGCTGAAATGTGAGCCCGTGAGCAGAGACCTGTTAGGCACTTTATTGCTACATCACAGTACTTAGAATAGTGTCTGGCATGGTGTAGTATCCAATAAATGTTTCTTAAGCAAACGAAAACAATTGGCAAGGCACTGATTTTCTGTTTTTTTGTCACTCCTTTGCTAAGGGAAAAACAGACTTGCATGGACAATTAAGGAACAACATGAAAAGCACTATAAGATAATTAGGAAGATGGCCAAGGGAGTCAGAGGGGCTTCACTGATAAGCTGTTATTTGCTCTGGGTTTTGTGAAGAGAAGGGTGTGAAGAAAGCATGAGGAGCATGTAAAATATCAGAAGCAAGAAGTCAGAGTATGTGTGGAGAATGATGAAGTCATTCTGTGTTAAGAGGACACCTCTCCAGCCTTGCAGTTCCTCTTTCAGGGTCCCCAAGCACTCTGAGCTGACCAGTATCAGAGCCTTTGTCACATTCTTCATAATTTTTTTATTTACTTCTCAGTCTTCCCCATAGGACTGTGAGATCTCTGATGCAAGGAACTGGGATGTTCTGATGGTGAACTACTTTCAGGCAGGGACTCTGCCTTATTTATCTTTGTCTTTTTGTAACTTAGCATGGTGCTGGTAACTGAAGGCCCTTGGTAAATTGATAATAAATGTATAATGAATGAATGAGTAAATGAGGGAATGACATGGCTTATTAGCAGTTTATTTATTTATTTGTTGAGACAGAGTGTTGCTCTTTCACCCAGGCTGGAGTGTAGTGGCGCAATCTCGGCTCTCTGCAACTTAGCCTCCCAGGTTCAAGTGATTCTCTGCCTCAGCTTCCCAAGTAGCTGGGACTACAGGTGGCGCCACCATACCTGATTAATTTTGTATGCTTTTTTTTTTGTAGAGATAGGGTTTCGCCATGTTGGCCAGACTGGTTTTGAACTCCTGGACTCAAGTGATCCACCTGCTTCGGCCTTCCAAAGTGCTGGGATTACAGGTGTGAGCCACCACGCCTGGCCATTAGCAGTTTACTTTAAAAGGATTTTGAATTTAAGTTGAGGATAAGCAATAAAAGTAGTTAATATGGTCCTTGGTAGCAATAATATAAGTATAGTGCCTTTTTCCTGAATATATAGAATCTTGATAGAGAGACAGAAGTGATCTTATGGACGAAGAAACTGAGATCTGAGATATGAAATGGCTTGTTCATGGTTCCACAGCAAAATTGCAGGTCTAAGTAGAACATGAATTTAAGAATCACAGCTCTCAATTAAACTTGCTTTCTACAAGTTCTGCTATATAGCGTGCTGGTCAGACAACTGTAGTAGACTGTGCAATTCTGAGCTCTACACTCAAAGAAATATAATGATAAAGGAGAATTTGTCCAAGGAAGGATGATGCAGATGCTAGGGGGATGTGGAAGTGATATCACATGAAGAACAGATGAGGAAATTAAGGATGTTTCACTTGGAGATGAAGAGAGTTGCAGGAAGGCTGTGGGGTGAATGGGAAAACATGATTTCTGTCTTTTTATTTTAAATTCATAAGTCATTATTCCTTTGCTCCCAAGAGAAAAAATAGGAGCCCTGGGTAGAAACCACGTAGAAATAAGCATCATCTTGATATAAGAAAGAATTGTCTGAAAAATTATAATTGCCCAAGGATGAAATTCCAGATTATCAGAAATATGCCAGTAGAGGCTGGGTGATTATCTGTTAGTTCTAGATTGTGAGTTTTTTTTTTTTTTTTTTTTTTTTTTTAAAGCAGAGACCATGTTTTATTTGTATTTCCCTAGGACCTTAAATAGTGCCTCTCACATAGTATGTGCTCACTTAAGATTGTCATGCATCTTTTAAAAGGAATTCCTTCATGGGTTGGGTGAGCATGGAAATGGGCAAGAGTGTATTGTACTATGAACTCCAAGGACTTAGGTTTATGATCATTTGATAAAAATTCACATACAGCAATGCATCCATATCTAACAAGTCAAATCATTTCACCCTCCTACAAGCAAGAGTCAGTGGAATTTTTTCTTTTAATCTCTATAAGTCTCTGTGGATGTTGCATTTTTTCCTCTTCCTTTATGGGGAGGAAGGGTTTCTTTGTCACAAGTATCTTACAAAGGAGACCCTGGCTCGTTACATCTTTCTATCTGTTAACCAAACTAAACTTCCACGAAGAAGTTGAAAAGGAATTTGTCTTGTACAGGTGGTATAGGGCAGATTTATGGGAACATTTGAGTGATGGTTGTGCCAATAGAGTCACACTTTTCACAGTGATGACTAATCTAGAAAACCAGGTTTTTCAGAGTCCTAAATCCTACTTAGATTGTCACCTTTATTTATGTTTTAACGAGTATTTTAAACAAACATCATTTCAGAAAATAAATTTTCACTGAATATTTTATATTCAGAATATGTTGATTTGATATTTGGAGTGTCCTTTTTTTTTTAAAGTCCACGCACAGGTTATTTGAAGGAGACAAAGAGAGCTTTATTTAAATTTACTGTGTTAGCCATGGAAAGCTTTGCAGAGCTAAATGATAATAATTGATTTATTTTCATCTTATTCCTTGAGAATTTTCACAGCTTATTTTTTCCAGATCAAGTTGTGATACCTATTTGTATGCACAAATCAAACAAAAATCCATACCAACTTCCCAGTGAGGTCTTTCAGATGCTATAGGATTAATTTTCTTTCTTACCTCACCACATAAATATGCTCAAAACATCTCTCTGTTTTCATGAAATATCGTCATCATCATCTTAGTTCCATTACAAATTATGGTGCTGCATTAGCCACAAAGCTATTCATGGGGTATTGGTTGTGATTCTAACTTCTTTTCAAAGAACTATATACTATACATATTGTATGGTGCTTTTGAGAATTCACGATTTTGGTGTTTCACATCTAGTGGTGTTATTACATTTTTCCCCTGGTAATTCCACCCACCTAAATGGAATATATTTTGCCACTCTGTGTATACCTAGTATGTAACTTGTTCAGTAAGTTCAGATATATGCACTTAACTGGGGGATTCTAAGCTACTTCCCCAATAAAAACCAATATTTTCTTTCCCTCTCCTTTATGAGTTATAAAACACTTTCCCTCCCCTTCTTCTTTTATTTAGTTTATATGCCAGAGATTTTTCTGCTCTAGGGATGAAAATGGAAGACCAGGGAAGAAAGTTGATGAAATAGAGATGATTCAAAGATCGGAAATATTTTATCCTCACTCGATATAAAGTAAATTATTTTTTCTCTTTTCCAATAACCATCATTTCCCTTGATCTTGGAATCATTCAAAACCTAGCCACTGAGTCCTGTACGAACTAATGTGCTGTCTCAAGATGAGAAGAAACATGAAATATTGGTAGCTGTACAGATTGTACTAGTCTGATTATATTTACAGTTATGAGATACCGCAAATTTAAGAATGCCAATTTTTTCTCATCACTGAGTATTTATTATATATAACAAATACATGGGAAAGAAAAAACTATATTGTGTGATATAAATAGTTTATTTACATTACAGAAAAAACATCAAGACAATGTATACTATTTCAAATATATCCATACATAATCAAATATAGCTGTAGTACATGTTTTCATTGGTGTAGATTACCACAAATGCAAGGCAACATGTGTAGATCTCTTGTCTTATTCTTTTGTCTATAATACTGTATTGTGTAGTCCAAGCTCTCGGTAGTCCAGCCACTGTGAAACATGCTCCCTTTAGATTAACCTCGTGGACGCTCTTGTTGTATTGTCTGAACTGTAGTGCCCTGTATTTTGCTTCTGTCTGTGAATTCTGTTGCTTCTGGGGCATTTCCTGGAAGGTTGGAAAGTTTACAAATCTCAGTCCAATGCTATTACCTAAAGTTTGGCCCTACAATCACAGAATAAAGATGTGGATTAAGCAAATTATTAAAATATTTCAGATGAAAGAATTTATCATTAGTAGAAGCTTGGATTATTTTGGAAAAGTTATTATTTTGCTTTTCTGTGCAGTTGTCTTTAAATTTTTGTTGGGAATTGAACACAGGCAGAAGTTGAAGAGGAAGACATTTACTTTGTCCTTAACTGCTTACTCATTAAGGCACAAAGAATGACTCAGCACAATGCAATCAAGCAAGTCATGGGCCCATTTTATCTCACTTTAAAGGTCTTCAACAATTTTATATTTCAAATGTCCTAAGAATGAATGTTATATTGACTTTTCAATGTTATGAGTTTAAATCCTATCAAACCAGAGAATGAACCAACTGTTAATATCTGATATGTAATGGAAAGGAATATTGTTTTGGACCAGCCTAATATCATTTTTGTACATTACTAGTATAAATTAGGGACATAAATTGGTACCAGTTATTTAGCATCTATAAAAATCTAATATTCAGTCAAATTATCTGAAAATGTCTGACTTTTTTCTCTTGTAACAAAAAATGCTTTGACTATGCAAATGAGAATAGTGGAAAGTTCATATAAAATTCTATTATAATAATCTGTGAAGTATCAGAATATATAAAAATATATGAATATACATACACATATATATCACGTGTGTATATGTGGGTTTATGTGTATGTATGTGTGTGTGTGTATGTATGTGTATATAAATATATATATGTATAGTTTTAGAGGGAGGATAGATCTGTTAAAGAGAACATGGAGCTGAAATCACATTCCCAGCAAATGGCAGCTAGAGATAAAAAGATCAAAAATCCAACTTCTCAACAGGGCAACTCTTCATTTTGAAACATGTCTCCAAATGTCCATACTTTTTGTGACACATGTGGTGTTTAGGAGGAGGGCAGGTGTTTGGCTAAAATAGTGATGCAAAAGAGAAAAGATTTTTTTAAAAAAAGAAAGTAGAAAGAAGGAGAAGAGATAGAAGAGAGATGTAGAAGACAGGAGAGACCAGATGAGGAAGACGAAAAATCAAAGGAAATGGGAGGACTTCTGCTTGTTGCAATTTTGTAAATCTTTTAGCAAGACCTATTTTGAAATAGGTCTTGACAGACAAATGTGGCCAGGTCATCAGGAAAGTAGGGTTTCTGGGGTTTGGAGACAGACAGCCTAGTTGGAAAGTCTGGTTTCAGAGCAGAATGTTTTCAGGTGAGTGAAATGAATCCACACTGGGAATTGGTGTGCTTTATTGACTAGTATGAATCCTGGAAAGGCTCTAGAAGGTTTGGTGGTCTTAAGGCAGATTTGTAAAAGGCATTACAAAATACTAATACAGTTTATGTGCTATGCCTTCCCCTCAAAAGCCAATAAATTGAGGACAGGTTTTATTTTATTATAACATGGAAAATGAGTAAGTCTATGTGCCTTGGAAAAATAGCTTACTCTAATTTGGAGCTCAGTTTAGATAATCTTGAGCAGCAGAATACACAAAATCCTTCCCAGACACAGTGCAGTATGAGCATGGTGAAGTGTCCAGGCTCTGGCACTAGGCCACCTGGACACCATTGCTGCCCTTGTTGCTCAGCTGTGTGAAGTCAGCAATTTGCCAACTTCTACCTCAGGGTCTCTATCTTGAAAGTGGAGATAATTGTTTCTTCTTTGTAATGTTATTAAATGTGCATATATATGTGTGTATATGTGTATACACATATACGATACACACACATAATATGTGCTTACACAATTCCTAGTGAGGAAAGGACCCTGTATATTTCTGTTGCTTTTATTATGTATGGGAATGCAACTGTGATTCATAACAGAATTGAAAACATGAGCTAAAGTATTTACAGTTTTGCATTTGTGTCAGTAGTCGAAGTAGCAATCAAATTGTTGAGATTATATCCATTAAATATAGGTTTTGTTTTTCATGTACTGATATTGGCTAGATATTAGAGTAATATGGCATAGTTTCCTATGTTTTAGATTCTTTTCTTTTTCTTTTTATATGCAGTATTTTTGGTTTCTTGTAATCCTTATGTTCCCCAGAATCTATTTTAATATAATCACTTGGCATCTAAACGTGAGAGTCGAGTTGATGAACTCAACTCGGCTTAGAGCAGCCCAAAGCTTTAGTCAATGACCTGCCCTTAAGCCTTGAGGCCAGGCGAGGATTTATGAACCATATTTTGTCTTTTTCAAGAGCAAATGCCACACTTGTCCTCAAAGAAGATTGTGCAATACCATACTGAAATGCATTATGACCCTTATTTTCTAAAGATACGATACTTTCTTTTATTTTTGTATCTGTTCAAAACAATTTTTAGAGAAACATTCTGATTTACTGGAGAGCTGCACAAATGAAGAAAGTCTAAACGCCTTGTGAATTTGGTGAAAATCTTAAAAACTTCCTTGGAACTTTTTATAGAAGAGTGAAATCAAGTCAGTAAGGACTATCTTCAATGACTTTTCTGGTTACACAGAACATAAATGATACGCATTTTGCTTAAAGTCCAATTCTTGGTTGGTTTGCATTTGGCTTGAAGTCCAATTCTTGGTTACCACTGGTTTGCATGCAAATGAAATTAAGCAAGTACTGGCCTCATTCCTTTACTCCAAGCCCAACGTCAGACATTGCTAATTAATCATGGTTTTCTTTTCTGTTGAAACTAAAGGAAACCCCTGTGTCTTTTAACCTGATTCTCCAGGAAACAATTACCTTTTGATTAGGCTGGGAATTTGATATAAAAGGTTGTTGTGATATTTGCTGCATGTTTTTCTGTATCTAAGGTTTTCATTTACCATAAAAGTACAACTACTTGTATTTTTGCATTTTGTGACTGAAAACTATTTTGTCATCCTAAGATAAAAATGTGTTTGTTATTATACCAAGATATGTTAAAACTGATTCAGATACATAAGGATACTAATCCAGGTAGATAAGGATACTAGTTCAAGCAGGTAAAAAAAACAATCTTTATCATCAGGCAAAATTAAGGAAAATAATTTGTACCACCCCAATATGCTATTGTACCACTCCATTGGCTATTCAAATACTCTTATGCTAAGGACATAGGACTCATAGAGAATGGATGGCTGCAGAGTCCATGAAGGAACTCACCTCGGAGGGATCTGATTAAATAAAAGAGTAACAATATATCCCTTTATTTGGGTAGCCACCAAGTGCTGTTACTGACCTTGTGATGCAGAGGACCACCACACAGATGACAGCAATCTGAATTGTTCCAATCACAGCTGCGATTAAGACATACTGAAATCGTACAGGACCGGGAACAACGTATAGAACACTGTAGTCCTTTTTTTCACAGTGTTGTCCAGTATAACCAGCATCACACCTGGAAGAAATTATAGTGCCCAGTTACCTGTAGGGTGCTGCATTCATTTTTTTTTTTTTTTTTTTTTTTTGAGACGGAGTCTCGCTCTGTCGCCCAGGCTGGAGTGCAGTGGCGCATCTCGGCTCACTGCAAGTTCCGCCTCCGGGTTCACGCCATTCTCCTGCCTCAGCCTCCCGAGTAGCTGGGACTACAGGCGCCCGCCACTATGCCCGGCTAATTTTTTGTATTTTTAGTAGAGACCGGGTTTCACCCTGTTAGCCAGGATGGTCTCGATTTCCTGACCTCGTGATCCGCCCACCTCAGCCTCCCAAAGTGCTGGGATTACAGGCGTGAGCCACCGCGCCCGGCCTGCATTCATTTTTATAGTTGATTGATGGGCATTTATTTTCATCACAAAATTAGGGCTTTTTGTGTCCCTTTCTAAATAAATATTACTTTGTGGCTATGGCTCTCAACTACTTATTTTCAACAAGATGTCTTTGTGTTTCTCGGTTATCAGATATGTGGTTTCCTTTTACATTTATGATAATAATTTCAAAGGTAGGAGGATTACTAGATAATTTGTTTTTGGTGACAATATAGAGAGATAATACATGTCCAGGAATGACTGTTATTTCTATATTTTCTGGAAGGTGAGCTTTACATTTTATTTAATTTGCTCTTTAATCAACCTAAGTCAACATGTTTACTTGAAAAAATATGTGTTTCTGATGACATGGGTACAAAAATTAGTCTGTTTTGGATGAAACATTCTCTATGCCATTGTCAGAATAAATGTTGAGAAATATTAGGATCAGAGTTACAGGATGAGTCATTAATTTTCTGGTCAAAAAAATCATCTGCTGATGATAGAGTCAAATTTTGTTAGAAAAAAGTAAGTATGACGTAGGCAACATAGTTCTGCAAAACAAGACGAGGTATTGTTCATCTGAGAATGAATGTTGCCTCCTCTCACTCAACCCTCATGGAAAGCTCAGGTAGACAATCTACATAGGAAAATTAGCATGTGTCAATGAAATGAGAAAATAGCTCATAAGAAAACAATACTTAAAGAGGATCAACATATCATTGATTTTGTGGAACTATTCTATTACTTCACTTTGAATTTCTCATAACTACATCCTGAGAAATTTTTTCTCTCCATCAGGAAGGGTTTAATAATAATGACACTGCTGGGGAGTGAGGGGGTAGCAAGAGTAACTTCTCAGTTTTGTTCACTCTGCCTTACTTCAGTTGAAGGCCTGTGCTAGTATATTTTGTGGAGGGAAAACATGAAAGGAAGACAGCTCTAGGTGGGGGGCGGGGAGGGGGGAGGGAGGAAGAGTGGGAGAGAGAGGGAGAGAGAGAGAGAGAGAGAAATCTTCTGTTGTAAATGAAAATACAATCTATTTCATCATATGTCACTTGTACTTAATGTAAATAAAAATAAAAATAAATTATGTTTTCATTTTGGCTTTGCCATCTCTGAAATAATTATATTTTAGACATACAGTAGGTATTTAAATACATATATATTAATATATATATAAGAGGCGGGGTCTTGCTCAGTTGCCCAGGCTGGAGTGTAGTGGTGTGACCATAGCTCACTGCAGGCTTGAACTCCTGGGCTCAAGGGATCATCCCATCTCAGCTCTCAAGTAGCTCCTGGACTACAGGTTGCATGCCACCGTGCCTGGCTAATTCTTAATTTTTTTTTTTTTTTTTTTTTTTTAGAGATAGGATCTCCCTTTGTTGCCCAGGCTGGCTTCAAGTGATCCTCTCACCTTGGCTTCCCAAAATGCGGGATTACAGGTGTGAGCCATCATGCCTGGCCAGTATTTATATTTATAAACTAAATCCAGATAAACAACTTCTTTGTGTCTCTACTGAGTTTGAAACTGGGGGGGTATGGCTAATGATTTCACTTTGCACGGCTCCATGGGAGAGCAGATCTATAGAAAATAGTGAATGCCTGGCAAAACAAGGATTGATGATATTTATGAGAAGACCTGAAGGACTTAGGAAAAGATGAACTCTGAGAAGCAACTATGCAATCTAATATACATAAGGCTTCATCCATTCATTTGTCTGATAAATACTTATTGAGCAACTATTCTGTGTTCAGGAGAAAGAGTGGTAATATGGAGGAACTTGTACCTTTAAGGAGCTTATAATGCACAAAGTACAATTTCAAATTCTAGAACAGTTCAGTAATGTGTTATATAGTACTTGAGTGTGTAAGGTGCACATATTTTTGTTTTTTTTTAGTGTGTGAGTATGTGTGTATGTGTGTATGCATGCACAGGAGGAGCAGAGAAAAGTTTTGTTGCTGATTACCCATTCAAGAAGAATGTCTACCAATTTTCTATAAACATCTACAATTTAGTTTCTACATATTAACTTTATACATTAACTATTCTTGCGAGTAAAAATGTTACCTGCAAGATGGCTCCTGCATATTGATAGAATGCTCACACTTCCCATGCATGCAGAAGCCATTGTAATGTTCCGGACAAGGTATGTGGTGTTCTCTGGCACTTTCTTCTAATTTGTTAGCATTCTCTGTGAATACAGATAAAAGTAAGCACCCCCTGTAAATACTTAGCCTGGTAAGATCAACCAGTACATTAAGAAGCAAAGCTATGGTAGGCAAAGATATTTAAAAGGGCAAGAACTAAAGGGCTATGCTTCAGAAATAAGAGGAAGAAAGAACTGAAAGACGTCTTTACAATTGTGTTTAGAGATGAAATTTGCAAAATTACCCAGTGCTTTTTATGCTTTCATGCAATTTCCTACATCTTTAACAGCTAGTGGTGTTTCTAGGACTTGTCAGACAGCTTTAATTTTCCTCACATAGGGACCGTACATTGATCATGAAATACTCCAAGAAGAAATATCCTATTTTTTAAATTTCAAAGCCCAGCATAATGTCCTTAAGAGTAAATTGCTGTAATACCTTGATACTTTCGCAATACGAAAGCTTAAAAGTTAAAATATGGCCGTGTTCAATTGTTAAACACACATTTTCCAAACCGAATGCAAATTTCAACAAATGTATTCTTTCAGGCTTTTAAAATCTACTGCAAACATGATTTTCACTAGCATCCACACATTTTTTTGTTGCCACAATAAACCTATTAAATAAGAAAACGTTATTTCAAAATCACTTATGTAGATATTCACATAGTATACACTGAATACTGTAAGTGTATTTAAATGCATATTTGGCCTGTATTAACAATGCTATGTGAAACCTAAACTTACGATAACGAATAAACGTGGATTCTAAAGTGAACACTTTTGCCTGCCATTACAACATGTTCTACTTGTTTTGCCATGTTTTCATAGATATTTGAAATTTTTTGACCTTTGTTAGTCCAAAAACGTTTGCTTCATATTTGTAATGCCATATTTAAGTGTCTTTTGAGTCTTAATATGTTCATTTTATGATAAAACTTTTGAGTTTTCCCTAAATCTGAAATATGATATTCTTGAAAATTTCTGCCCAAACACATGAGAAATATAGCTTTTATGAACTCAATCTGAAGACACTCTTCAATCTGAAGGTACTCTTCAACACCCTAGTAATTAGTCAGCAGTAATGGAAAATGGCAAATGAATTCCTATTTTTATGAAATGGTTTATTTCCATATAAGGGTATAGGTTTTATTATTAGCAGTCACGGATGATAAGCATATTCATTGGAAGAAAAAAACATGCCTCTGGTATTAGCGAATCAGACAAATCTATTATTTATGATTAAACAGAGCTGCAAAATATCTATACATCTTTAAGATCCAGATGCCATCTGCAAAACAAAGTCTGAAAAAAGTTGTAAAAGATGTATAGTGCTTTCTTGTGTAGAGATATTTATATGCATCATTATGATGGGCAATATTTTATGTTACACACCCAAATTTGTAAGGGATTTACCATCAAGATACTAGAGAGCCTGTAGATGACATTTAAATCATTAGTTTGTTTCTTATCTGTGTCTCTTTAGCTAGGATGGTTGGTGATTTTTTTGTTTGAATTACAGTATTTGCACATCGATAGCAGCTATTTAACTGAACATACCACTTCCATGGAGAAAACTAAGAATGTATAGAACTTTTTTGGTTTCTTCCCTCTTCTTTGAAGTTACTTTGGAATTTTGTGGTATAATGTTTTTGGTAGCAAGTGCAGCTGCAGTAAGCAAATACACCAAAATTAAAGTGGGTAGTGTTGGGTGAAATTTCCCACATGGGAACGTGTGACCAAAATGGAAGCGGGGCAGTTCATGAACCCATGGAGGAGGCTGTGTTCATTCTGTGCCAGGGCCGGGGGCTACACACTATAGCGATCAAACCATGCACCTGCTGTTTAAAGGAGACTTTAGCAGTGGGGTTTGCCAGTCACACTGCTGGTGTAATGAACCAGCTCTGATTTTCACTTTTATTTCTGGACCTTCTTCCCATAACAAACTATTCGACACTTCTATGGTTCATTAATAACCCCTCAGTGCTTCTGAACACCTGCATGCAGGGAAATTTTCTGTGACTTCCCTAAATTTCAGTTATACACTGTCTTTTCAGATATAGTATTTTCCAAACACATCTTATTAGGACTATTTTTCTTTCTGTCAGTTACAAAAGAATGTCAAGAATTTTTTAAAGTGAAAATCCGGTTTTTAGTCTATTTTATTTTTAACACTGTACCTCACCCCATACTGACAGTTTGTTTCTGGATTCGTGCCATATTCACAATTATGAACTGAAGTATAAGGGAAAAATAAGAGCTTGTCTGAATGAGGCTGCTGCCTTAGTGTGGTAAGAGATGGATATTTTCACAAAGTTCATTATCCAGCCAGGGTGATCACATGGGTAGGGAATAGTTTCCATTGTAAAATCTGCTAATTAGTTTACACTATTCCTTATGAGCTTGGAGTGCTCTGTTATGCTGCTCATAGGATACTGTCAAATAAGAAAGCAGAGAGATTGAAAATAAATTAGTAGAAGAAATGATCTCTGGGCAAGAAAATGAGGAATCATCAATATATGTCAACAAATTTATAGTCAATCCAACCAAGTAAATCAGTTGATTGAAAACCTGAATATATAACCACTGCTAGTAATGCAATAGACATATTTTAGAAACAAGATTTTAGTATATTAAGAGTAGAAACACAGAAATCTAATATCCAAACAAACATGTATATGAACCATAGTGTTTGTGATCTTAATGTTTATGTATAGTAGGTATTAAGCAATAACAAAGCATTAAAACATTTTAAATTATATAAAAATTATATATTTCTGGAAGTCTGCATGTTTCCTTCAGTAGCTTATGATTTAGACATTGATTTCTCTGTCCTCCATTTAAAAAGAGGTTTAATGTAAGGGTTGTGCTCTTTCTTCTAAAATAGATAAAAGGCTATGGTAGAAACTCTTCATGTCTGTGTTTAAAATCCTCAACTAGTTTCCTGTTTAAATGTTTACAAATGGTTTGTTCTAGAGAGTTCCTGACCCTTTGAAAAAACAATTCTGATACAATCTGAGTTATCTGCAGCAGAGCTAATAGGGCTCCATGCCCATTGCTAGTCAACACTTCAGTCAAGAGCTATTGAAGTGGGCTGTTCTATAGTACAGCTACTCATATTGTTTCTACCCTGGTGCTTGCAGGGAAAGAAACAGGGAAAGCTAAAGAGACAGAGAATGGCAAATGGTGAGGCCTTACCTTACTGCAAGTCAAGTAAGGTTAAGTGGGTAGAAAGGGGGCAAAGCCAGATTTAGCAGTTCAGACTTAAATCAATACAGTCCAGTATGTACATGTGTGTGTATGTGTTTACCATTGCCCCTGTATTCCTTTCCCTAAAAAGTTGAAAATAAGATGTTGTTTAGATAATTAATCTATCAAAGGAACACATTATGGATCAAAGCAGAAATATTACAGTGTAAAATTTGACTAAATCTATCCATATTTCTAAAAAAGAGAATGTTTTCCTTTGGACAAAGATTAAAGGTTGGCCAAAGAAGTCCTGAAAGTTAAGTTGTATTATCTATCCAAGTGCTCTCCAAGCTGGTGTGTCTTTGTTTTTTAGTTTGAGAGTCTTACTCTATTACCCAGGATGGAATGCAGTGGCGTGATTTTGGCTCACTACCACCTCCACCTCCTGGGCTCAAGTGATTCTCGTGTCTCTGCCTCCCTCTTAGGTGGGACTATAGGCATGTGGGACTAGCTAACTTTTTGTATTTTTTAGCAGAGATGGGGGTTTTCCATGTTGGCCAGGCTGGTCTTGAACTCCTGGCCTCAAGTGATCCACCTGCCTCAGCCTCCCAAAGTGCTGGGATTACAGTCGTGAGTCACTACACCCAGCCCAAGTTGGTGTGTCTTAAAAAACCAGCCTGAACTAGCCAACCCAGAGTCCCAGGTGCAGAGATAGATGCACCAGGTTATTAGTTTCTGATGCTATTAAATATTTATTCAGTTAACCCATTTCTCTTGTTCTGATGCTCTGTTGTCTAGTCATTCTTAAAATAATTCGACTTCTATGTAGCCTTCACATTGGAATGGCTTTGACAAAACAACATGAATATCTTACCCATTTAACAGTTAACATATTTCATTTCAGAGAATTGACTAGTTCTGAATTTCTGTTTATTTTTTGAGGGGGTCACATGTCATCTTCATCCCACTCAATTCTGAAGTTTTTTAAGGTCAAACTTGTGCTGTATAGACCAGAGAACTAGAC
The DNA here is from genome assembly GCF_000001405.40 of Homo sapiens. Lineage (NCBI taxonomy): Eukaryota > Metazoa > Chordata > Mammalia > Primates > Hominidae > Homo > Homo sapiens. The sequence continues at coordinate 191,960,547 of NC_000002.12, forward strand.
CCTACCCGTTGTTCACTACAGTCTGCGAGGCCTTTGGGGGCTGGTCAAATGATATTTCTCTGGTAATGCCCCACTTTAATCAGGACTTTATTGCAAATGTATACAAATTCTTAGGCCATTGATTCATACAGAAGAGTCTGATTCTGTGTAAGCGTTTCTGAGAAAATTGAAAAGATCCTAAACTAGAGGAAACATCAGGAATTTAGTGGATGTTTTAGGTGGGCAGATCTCCACTGCATATTTTTAAACAACTAGAGCTGTTCAGTAGGAGAATGAGTGAGTTCCATTGTAAAATAGTGGGCTTCTGGTGGTATTGAAAGGAGCTGTGTGGCCATTTCTCAGGGATGTTGTAGACTGTTAATGTATATCGGTTAGATTACTTCAGAGCTCTAAGTTCATTGAATTCTGAAAGTAACATTTATTTCTATTGCTAATATTTACTTATGATTAATCATGAATATTTACTAACATTTACTAGAGAATATTATTTTTGATACGCTAGGAGAAAGACGTAGAGAAATAGAGATATTATTTATATATATTAAACAAAATAAATTACTTTTGCCTTAATTATGGGACATGCTACCTTTTGAAAGGGTATAAAATATCTTAAATTTTGACTGTGTCTATAATTCAGACATTCTAGCAGAGAGGACCTTTACTATGTAATGTATTGCCTTTCTTTTGTTTAGTGGACCTAAGTTCAATTTTTAAAATCATGCTTTAACATCCCATATGATCTTGACACGCACATGCGAGTATTACAGTTTGGTTTATTATCTTTTCAACTATCTTTTGCTGTTGGTCCACAAAATGTGTCATACTTCTATAGAAAAACAAAAATTTTCAGTTTTGAATGTGTTTATGTAATCTTGCTATTTTTTACATGTAATGACAGTAGAGGGAAACTCCAGTATTGAAATATTCATATTCTTACACACCTTTTGTAATTACTTAATTTTACCCTCCCCGACTTACTGCCATTTCTCCAAAGCAAAATGAAACTACTTTTATTTAACTAGAAAAGGAAAAAACTGTTCTGTTCTCCTTATATTTACATTGTGCCTGGGACAGAAATAAATTATAAATACAGAAATAAAGTCATGATTGTTCCCATTGTTGGTTAGAGTTGGTTTCAAAGAAGATATACAGTTCTTATGATTTCCTCTCCTTATCTTATCAGGTATAAACATATGAGGCAGTAAAACCTCATATCTAGCTTGAGTTGCAATCCAAGTTTTTTAAAGACTAGAAAAGCATTCCTATTGAATGGGTTCTGAATGTAATGAAGTCTGAGTTCCTGCAACTTAACAGATTCCACAATAACCTCACCTGCTGTCATAGCTTCTGCAAGGCATATACGAGTAGATGAGAAGAGTCTCTCCTTTTTAAAGCTTCTGGGACACAGACTCAAATAAAAATGCTAGTTAAAAGTGACAGCCTAGCATGAGGGACACAGAGAATTTAAGGATACAATCAATTCTCAAGTTTTGTAAAGAGCAGAGACCCAGTCATAACATTCTTGTTATTTAATCTCTGTTAAAGACTTAGAAAATAACACTTCAAAACAGAGACCAAGTCCTTCAACATTCTTGCTACAAATTTAACATTTCTTCTGCAAGTTGAACATTATTCTATTTTTTTCAGAAAAATAATTGAAACTACTTGGATCAGAAACTTTGCTAGTGAGGCAGTGGTATGGGTTGGGAACAGGATGGATGCAAACAAACAGAAATTCCTCTTCATTCCACCATTGATAGGCACTAATATAAAATGTGAAATGTGATTATCCTTATCGTTGCTTGCATATGCTATAAATATTCTTATTGAACATAAAATTAAAATAAAGTGTAAGAAAACTAATTTCCATGTTACTGGATTATCAGGCAAGGCCTTGATGACATGATTCAGGGATTGCTAGAATTTAAATTGGAAAAAGTACCAGCATCTGAAATATACATAGTAATTTGGGGACTGGAGTAATTGAAATGCAACAATAGTGGATGATTATTTGCATGGGCTTTTATTAACTCAGTTTCTATTTGTAATATATTTACATAGATAAATACTGAAAAATCTGTAAAATCTTGGGAGAAAAACTTGTATGCAACATTTTCACTTGACATCCAAATACAATTATAATCCAATAATTTGGCATAACAAGGCTCATGTAGATTTAGTTAGAAATCCTGGACCTCAAAAAATTTTATTATTAATTGCAAAATAAGTAGCTCCTTAGCTGTTTGCTCTGTTTTTTGACTCGGCAATGCCCTGCCTGGCTTTCGATGGCAGAGCCCTCAGAAGAGTGAAGAGAGCAGGCCGCTGGGAGAAGTTGTGTTCTGTCTCTAATGGTCCTTTTCAAACTTCACCACTCAGTCCAGAGCCTATTAACTCTCAGCAAGTGGGTAACTCCTATCAGTTTACAGGTCTTGGTTTGAAGACCTTTTAAAAATACAGTATTTAATGGAACTTTAGAAGTCTTTGACAACATTTCTGTAAGTATCAGGCCTTGGGAAGAGGTAGGAATCTATGGTTCATTAGCCTCTTGGGAGTCCAGAGCTGGAGTTGCCTTAAGCTTATCTGGGGCAATTTGTTGCAGCTCTCCCCATTGAGTTTTCCCCTCAGCATCTCCTTGCTTTCAAGCTGCTCTCAGGAGACAAAGTTTGCTATAAACTTTAGAGAAAGAAAATGCCATGGGAAGCCATTTTATGCTAAGAATATATTTATTCTCTTCCTTTTTGTCTTGAACTAAATCTATGCATTTTTGGCCAAAATTATTTGCTTGTGGTTAATCCAGGCATCCTTTCTTAGTGAGCTTCATTGGTGACAATGCTGAAAATGACACTAAGTAACAGAAGAAAGAAGCAACGGGTCAGGTCCCATCTACTCTAGTCTTCTGGGCCATGTGAGCCAAGCAGTTTTCTTCTTTGTAGGCTGCGTGTGCAGAAATGGATAGTCAAGACAAACCTCCTCAGGTGATGTAACCGTTTTCTTCTGTGACCCTGAAGTGACTAACTGGCAGAGAGTGAAGAGGATTGAGGCTAGAGCATTTACTGGAATATAGTGAAAGCAAAGGTCTGAATAACACAGATAGAACACCAAAGCTGTCTTTCAGTAATTTATTATATGAATATTTCTTGAGTAGCTATTATGTGTCTGGCACTATGCTATGTGTTGTGTATCCATACGCTAAAGCTATTGGTTGTCGCTCAGTGATTTTGCTTATTATCTTCTAAAGACAATCAAGAAAACTGATTCTTAAGACAAGATGATAGTAATTATGTCTTAAATTACTTGAGAATCTTACAACAGGACCATCATTGTGTTAATACTTAACATGGTCAAAATGTATTCCTTAGTATAGCCTTTCAAGGTAGATTTATAAAATTTCCATTTTTTTATAGATTAGGAAAATGAAATTAAAGTAGGTTAAATTACTTGTCTTAGTAATTTACACAACTTGTAAACAGAATTGCTGTCGAAGTCAGGGCTCTTTCCAGTGTGATATGTACAGTATGATAGTTAGGAACTTATAAAAATACACGACAACATCTGGCCTTCATATCTTATTTATCATTTGTGTTTGATGACTCCTGACTCTTTATCCCACCTAGATTCTATTGCTACTCTAAAAAACAATTTCCTTCCTTTCTCTTTCTTTCTCTCTTTCTGTCTGTCTTTCTTTCCTTCCTTCCTTCCTTCCTTCCTTCCTCCTTTCTTTTCTTTTTTCTTTTCCTTTTCCTTCTTTCCTTCTTTCCTTCTTTCTTTCCTTCCTTCCTTTCTTTCCTTCTTTCTTTCTTTCTTTCTTTCTTTCTTTCTTTCTTTCTCTTTCTTTCTTTCTTTCTTTCTTTCTCTTTCTTTCTTTCTTTCTTTCTTTCTTTCTTTCTTTCTGCCTTTTAACCCATGTACCTTGTCTAGGGCCAATCCCTCATGAATCTCAACCCCTCCATCATCCTCAAGGGCTCTCCGTCAATTATCTCCCTTTGTTCTTGTATCTTCAACTCTTCCTCACTCTTTGCTCATTTCCATCAGCATTTCAACACACTCAAGTGTCTTCCTTCTTAAAATAAAAATGAAAAAGGCCCTCTCAATCCATGTCCCTTGGTAGACCTCGTTTCCTTTATTCCATTTACAGTGAAACTTACAAGTGTTGTCTCTGCTCCTTTTCTTCACTTCTGCACTCACCTCTCCTCATTCTTGCAGCTCTCTGGTCACCCCTTCAGAGAAACTATTATGACCAATGTTACCAACAACACTGTTGTTAAAACTAGTAGTCTCTTCTCAGGCCTCAGCCATCACAATCTCTCAGTAATATTCACTACAGCTGACCACATCCTCCTTTTTGAAGCCCTCTCTTCCCTGGGTTTCCATGATACCACCCAGTTCTTGTTCTTTTTGGTTGGTCCTTCATAGTCTACTGTGTAGGCTCCCATTTTCCAACTGATTCCTTAAATGTTGATACTTCCCTAAGGTTCTTCTCTTGTTGCAGTTTAAACATTTTCCCTGAGAGAGCTCATCATCACCCAAGGCCTTTATTTGTCATTTTACTGCCTCTGACTTCCAAATATTGATTAGTCAGCCCAGATCAACTTTTTATAGGTGATGAGGTGATCACACTTTTATGGAGTTTCATATCTATATATCAACATTCCTAGGGTCTCCCAGGTACCTCAAACTCATCAGATCCTTCTCCCACTTCCTTCCCCTGCTTCTTATCCCAGGCATATTTATCTACTCATTGACCAAACAGGAAATCTGGGTTTCACTTTTAAATTCTAACTGAGTAAATCACCAAGATTTCTACTTCTTAAGTATCTCCCAAATTTGTCTATTTCTCTACATTTCTACTGCTACTCACTAAAGTCAGACCATATGTCAGCAAATCACCATGCCTCCAATTTTGCCCTCTCGAAATATGTTTTCCACCTAGGCCAGAGTGATCTTTCTAGAAGAGAAAACGTGAGTACATTTTGATCGCCCTTAAAACTTCCCAAAGAAATAATTCTCAAGTTATTCCTCACTGTTCCTTTAATGAGCCAAATGCTAACAGTACTCAGAAGGCAATTCAGAATCTAGTCCCAGCTTCTCCATTCTCACCTTTTGCAATTCTTCTGCATCTTCTTACATTCATCATATGAAATTTTTCTCTCCCCTCTGGGACTTCCCATATGCTATTCCCTTTGCCTGGAATGCTCACTTTCCTTCCTTTTCGTTTACCAAAGTCCTGCTCATCACTTAGGTCTCATCCTTGGCATTATTTCCTCTAAGAAACTTCTGCAATGTTCTCTTCTGTCTCCTCAGTCTGGGCTCACTGCCCCTCTGACCTAAAACCACTCTCCTATTCTGGCACCATCCACACCAAATCTTCATTATTGTTTACTTGTCTGTGTGACACGTTAGTTCAGAAACTCCCTTTTAAAGGCTGGTAATATATTTGATTTAAGAAAAAAAAAAAAAACTTGCGTAGTCTCTGTACGTAGCACAGAACATAGCACAAGATGATGAATACATAGTTTTTAAAATAAAGGAATGTTTCCCTAGGTTTCTCTACTGATATTGGGAAGTTTCCAGAAAATATACAAAAGTAAAAGCAGTAGAAAAGGAATCTTAACTTTGCTTCATGGGAACAACTTTTTGTAGGTGAGGGTGGCATGTCAAAGGGGACTGTAAGTACTGCCTTATGAAAGAATATCTGCCAGAGGGGAGTGGCTGCAGATCCTGGAGAAGTGGAGCCAGAGAAGGGGATGTGGTTTCTTCTTTCCACAGCTTCTGGTGAGGCTAATGGAGAAATGAACAGATCATCGAGTTTTAAAAATAATATCACTTCTGTTAGCCAGGGATGTGTGTGATCCTGAAAGGAAGAATTTATTACCCCTTTCATTTAAAGATTGAAGTATGGGAACTTTAGTTCTAGGTGGAAAAATTTGTCATTTGTATGCATGTCATACCTCAAAAATCACAGTGGAACTATGTATGGTCAATTCTGAATTAACAGATTCTAATTTGGCCATTCACACTGTGTGTATAGCATTGTCCAGAAGTGAGAATATTGAAAATTTTCAGGGCAGAAGGAAACTTTTATTTAAAAAAGCAAAACAAAACAAAAAACAGGCAAATGAATTTCAAAATAGAAACTAGTATTTTAAATTAATAAAACATTTTCCTTACTTGTCAGCTTCAGAATAAAACCATGCATTTATTCTCATACTTAAAAGTATTTTATGGTAATAGATGCTAAACACCACAATTAGCAGCACAGATATACTTGATGATACTGTGATAAATAAAACTAGTGATCAGTTTGGTTTTCTACAAGAGCATCCTAAAAAGAACTGGAGGGGTTTTTATAATTTATTAAACTAAGGAACAGAGGTATAGCTTTTACTCTTCAATAGGCTTTCTTGAGCACAGTCTCAAAAGTGCTTGAGAAAAGACACTAGAAGAAATGTAAAATTCTCGATGAAAACTGGTTTAAAACTGAACTTCTGAGAAAAAAAAAAAGGAAACTGAAAAGTTCCATAAAATTGGTAGTAAAAGTGCTTCTAATAGCTAGAAATGTTTTGTATTATTTAAATGGAATATTTAAGTTTAATGTTTAATTCTAAACACTAATGAACTACCCAGTTTAGAAATTGTAGATAGCCACAGTTGGGGATATTATGCAATGCTAGATACCTGAGCAGAATTTATAGGTATTATAGGTACAGCACCTTAGTACTGTATTTGGACATCACAGGATCTTAGAGGATGCTGTTGATGCTCTGACACCCCTCACAGAAGTATGTATATAGATATATATATATCTGTGAGTTTTGTATAAACACAATTCTACTATGATCTCTTACAAATAGCTAATTTTAAGGATAAAATAGAATTATAGTACACTAAAATTCCCATTTTAAGGGCAATGCTTCTTGTTCTAGTGCAGATTGACCTCCTTCCCTTGTGAAAAATAGATTTCCAGGCTTTGGTCTTGATCAGCTCAATCAGAATTACCAGCTGAGGGGCCTGGATCTGTCTTTTAAAAGGTGCTTTAGGTGATTCTGACGTGCAAATAGTGTGCAGCCTGGTGTTCCTGACCTCACGTCACCATTTTTTCTTACCTCTCGCAGGCTTTGGCTATCTGATGCTAGGCTTTCCTGCACCCTGGATCCCCCTTCCTTCCCCTGATAACTGTCCTACAGTGGCCCACCTTTCTGGTCCCAGGTCTATCTTAGCTCCTCTCTGTAAAGTGCCAGTCTCCGCTGTGGTCTATGAGTGTGTGAGCCATGGTTTGCCCTCTGCTGCTCTTCCCGCATCCACTCTTGGATGTTACGGGAAGTCCTCAGGGGACCTCAGCTTGCCAAGCCTTCCTTACCCTTCGTAGTCAGCCTGGAAAACTCACTCTGTTTTAGAATGTCTTTGTCTCTTTTGAGAACACTCCACTCCATGTATGGCCTGTGTGCCTGTAACAAGTGCCAACATCTGTGAGAGATTTCTAGATTTTGTCAATTCTCAGATATTTGGAGACCAATTTTTTCAAATCTCCAGGCTTCTTTAATGACTCTGTTGTATAACTAACAGAATTGACAACAAGAACACCCTGTGTGAAAGCAAATGAAGCATCCTTGCAAATACAGGAACAGATAACACAGCTGAGAAAAGGTGCAGATTATACCAATGTTTATGATTGCTTCAATTTACAGATGAGAGTAAAGGAGCATTGGGCCACTGGTGATATCTATATCAGCTCAGCTAGTCCGTGGGAAAGATGAAGTCACAAGAAAGGTAACAGCGGCAGGAAAGAAGACAAATAGAGGAAAACAATTGGAGGCAAAATTACTATTTGTGTCACTGTGGCAACTGAGATAAATGATATTAAAACAAAGAGTGGGTATTGACAGCAGAATAGAAGAGGCAGAAGTTGAGAAATATCTCTTTGGTTTCATGGGGCAGGACAAATGGCCACCTGTGCTTCTAAATTGCAGGCCTTACGGACATAGAACATGCTCTTTAGACCAGAGTTTCCTGAGGGGAGCTCTGTTGATGCCTGACTACTTCTGTAGCAGAATTCACGGGAAAAAGGGGTTCTGTAGTCAAATAAATTTGGGATAGAGTGGATTAAACCAAATTATATTGGTTTCTTTACTGCTGCTTTCCTCAGAGCCCTTAAAAGGCTAACTTACACTGTGAGATGCCAGGAGGGGACAAGCATTATGTAGTGCTTCTAGACTCATTTCTCAATGGAACCTCCCTGCTCTTTGGAGGAACATTTTGTGGGACTATTCCATCAGACTTCATTCTGGGAAACACTGCATTAGATTATGGCATCTCCAAATTTTTAACATCACCATACATACAGAAAAAAATAAATTGAGTTTTTGGTAAAAAGAGGACATTATAAGCCTTGGGGCTCTAGCCACCCAAGCCACCCAGAAGGCTAAGGTGGATCACTGCACTAACACACCTGTTACCTATTCAGGGCACATAAGAAAGTTTTGCACTAGATTATACCCTCTCTTTGGGCAGAGACTGTGTATTGTTTCCAGGTTTATATATATATATATATGTTTGTGTATATATGTATGTATGTTTGTGTATGTGTGTGTGTATCTATGTGTGTGTGTGTATATATATATATAGAGAGAGAGAGCTAACGTTTAGGACAGAGACTGACACAAAGTGTTCAATATATAGAATGAATAAATAAATGAATATTATAGGCATAGGAGATATGTTTGGCAGCTACTTCTACCTCAGTGTGGTGGCTTTGAAAAAATTAATGCCCCTGGTTGTTTGCATCAGAGCCAGCTCATCACCACTTCAGTGAAATGTCCATAAAGGTACAATCAATCCCTACCTTAGGTGACAAGGTAAGGTGCAATATGGCAGAGAAGTCTACTCAATAGAAAGTATACATTCCAGTACAAAAAGACTAGGTGCATAGGTAAGAGCCATATTTCCTATGTATTTCAGTCTCCTTCAGCAAAAGGTAAAAATATGCAGAGCAAAAATGTGTTGCTAATCATGAAAGACAAGAAGGATATCCATGAATGGTGTGAAAGGTCAAGCATAAGCAAATGTTGATGGGTTTGTGTATGTCTCCTGAATGATGTCATGGCCCAGAAATGGCAATGAGAGAATTTATTGTGTAGATCTGAATTAATTTATAAATCTGGAGTACTGCCATTTGACAGTACCTGACCAAATTAGTGTAAGCAATTCTCATTGAAAGAGCCAGAAGGCATACCATCTCTTCTCATAGTCAGGAATAAGATAAAATTATTTAAAGAAACAAATGTAGCTGATTGTGCTATGAGTATTTCTGAAGGTGGGTTTGACATGTTAAATGAGCATTCTAAATAAAACTGGCAATAAAAAAGTCATGGAATCACTCTAAGAAAATCACAGAATTTTATAGGTTTTGCTAAAAAATAACTTCCAAAGCCAGTATAAGCCCTGAAGAATTTAACAACTTTTGGTATTTCTCAATCATCTATTGGTACATGTCAGTGAATCAAATATCTTTGTGTTTAAGCACAGTAAGACTGTCATTGAATGTGATAATGCTGCCTAAAATAAAACTTTTAAGATGTGAAGATCCATGGTAGATTTCCGTGTTGTCCCTCTATTTAACCTGTTAAAGAGACACAGTAATACCAATGAGCAAGTTTTTTTCATGCCCAGCATTACTTTTTTTTTCTATCAGCAAAATATTATATCTAGTGATTGGTAAAATAATGGAACCAATAGTTTATTGGTTACTGTCTTTGGTAGATCCATGTTTACCCCAAATTCACATTCACCTGGAACCTCAGAATGTAATCTTATTTGGAAATAAGTAATTACTTAAAATGAGGTCATACTGGATGAGGGTGGGTCCCAAATCCATGACTGGTGTCCTCAAGAGGAAGGGCAAGGGAAGACGCACAAGCAGAAGGTCATATGAAAATGGCAGCAGACATTGGAGATGTGCCACTAAAACCAAAACATGCAGGAGCCACCAAAAGCTGGAACAGCCCAGGAAAAATTCTCCTTTTGAAACTTGAGAGAAAGTGTGGCCTTTCTAATGCCTGAATTTCAGTCTTTTAGCCTCTAGAAATGTGAGATAATAAATTTCTGTAGTTTTAAGTCTCCTCATTCATGGTAATTTTGTTATGGCAGCCCTAGAAAAAGTAGGGTTTGTACATGGTTGGTAACCATTTACCAATCAAACTCATATTGATAGAGTGTATCTTTTAATAGTCCAAATGGAGTCAATGAAAGTGAGCTGAAAGATTGGTTTCGGCTAGGATGTGACCTGGAAAGTCTTCCTTTATTTATGTCTATTTTCCCAGCATAAATTATTAATCGTGTACTGTTTTACTCTCAAAAGTTTCCTACTTTGAATGATGAATTGTATGATCACCTTAGCTTAAGCTTAAGTTGAAGTACCCGTGATTCATTGCATTTGCATCCCCAAAATTATGTTTTTAAGAGCTGATGTGTAGCTAAGATTCATTTTTTTTTCTTCCCAGTTTTGAACAACTGACTTGCTTCTGGCACTTCCTTAATTTCTAGTCAGTGATAACTGGAGTGCAAAAAACTACTTTAGAAACAGTTAAGGATCCAATGTGAGTCTAAACAGTTTACTTCTACATGGACATCATTTAGGGCTGGAGATTAGTTATTAACTAAATGGTACCTTGTGATCTTATAGTGTTAGTTTACCTTTTAACAGGTTTAACACCCTCCAGGTATATAATTACACTCCTTTCTAAGTACATGGTTAACCACTCAAGAAATCAATAGGGGTTATAAAACATGTACAAATTTGAATTTGGAGAGAGTCAAACTTCTATCTTGTTCCTAGAAGTAAAATGGCTAACATTTAGAATTGGGCTTATAGGGAGCCATTTATTTTGAAATAGAAAAAGCACAAAATAGGTATGTTCAGAGTTGGGAGCGAAATATGACATTGATAAATCAAACAGAGCCCCTCACTTTTGCTTTGATTGATGTTGTCAATAGCAACCCACAACTTTTGTTTCTTGATGTGTGACTATATAGCCCCCTGGATCCAGAGAAGGTAACAAACATGTTTTCTCTCATGAGGTTTCTAAATTTACTAGAGCTTGATCCTACTCACACCTAATTAATTCATCAATAATATTCATTCATTTAAAATATTGATGGTTTCCTTCTATGTGTTAAATACTACAGGTATAGTATGTACAGTGGTGAGTTAAATAGACAGTTTCTCTCTGGAAGAGCATGCATATTAGAGAGTGAGATAGGCAATAGATAAAAACAAAAATCAACATCTAAATTAGAAATGTCACAGGAAAAAATAGGGTGCTCAGATACAGAATAGTAGCGTGGGATACTAGAGAGGTGATAAAAGTCATATTGAGGAAAGGAAGGATGAGAAAGAGCTGGTCAGAGATAGCCCCGGAAGAGCTTCTGACTGAGTGAACACAGAGAGAAAGACAAATGCAGGAAAGAGGTGTTCCAGGAAACAGCCTTGTGGCTAGAATGGAGAATGTGCCAGCTATGGTGGAGAGAGGGATAAAATGAAGTTGGAGAGGTCAGTAAGATCCTTACTATACACCAAGCTAAGAAGTATTGCGTTAGTGTTTTTTTGTTTTTTTTTTTTTTTAGACCGAGTCTCACTCTGTTGCCCAGGCTGGAGTGCAGTGGTGCAATCTTGGCTCACTGCAACCTCCGCCTCCCGGATTCAAGTGATTCTCCTGCCTCAGCCTCCCGAATAGCTGGGATTACAGGCACCCACCATCATGCCCAGCTTTTTTTTTTTTTTTTTTTTTTTTTTTGTATTTTTGTAGAGATGGAGTTTCACCATGTTGTCCATGCTGGTCTTGAACTCCTGACCTCAGGTGATCTGCCCACCTCGGCCTCCCAAAGGGTTGGGATTACAGGCATGAACCACTGTGCCTGACCTAGTTTAAAGATCAATGGGAAAGCATTTGGGTAGTTTCCAGCACATCTGTCTGTTACTAAAAATTGATCATTAAGGGGACACAGAGGAAGCAGGGAGAGCAAACAGGAGACCAGTACAGTGGTGTGGGAGAAAGACAATGTCCCAGTCTTCAACTTGGGTAGTAGCAATGGAAGAAGGGAAAAAATTACTTTTATTTCCCTTGTACCTTACAGGTGGATTGAATATGACCTGTTTATGTATTGCAAAATGGTAGGAACTATTCCAAGATGATGCAGTTTTTGGCTAAAACATCTTGGTAGTGCTATTTTGTACAATGGGAAAAATTAGAAGAAACATTTAAGCTCCAATGTATAAACATGACAGATATCCCTTATTAGGATTTTTGAGATTACATTGAAAATTCTATGTTTATATTTGGGTATGTCTACAGTAGAATTGATGTTAACTGGAAAGAATCCGTAGTTCAGTGGAAAATTATTAAGGGGTGAACTAGCTACTAAATAATAGTAAGATAATGTATGATTAAGAAATGAAAACTTACAGCTACGTGATATCTAAAGTAGGAGGAAGGACATTTGTAATTGTCTACGAAGAATTTGGGGATGTAAATTTAAAGGCAAGATAAGTAAATCATGAAGTGAAAGGAAAAAATTAGACTATGCAGAAACATCAGTGAGAAATGCTTTTAAGCAAAACTTTGCTTTCTTTTTGAAAAATTTATCACAAGAAAATAAGAGTTCTTTTAAGATAAAAAGTTCATAGATTTGGTCTCTTCAATGTCCATTATATAACGTAGGTTTTCTACTTGCCAAAAGATTATTAAATAATATTATTATTTTATAATCATATAGTGACTTAAAATTTTGTTTTTGTAGCTCTTATTTTGTTTGAGACTGCAACACTCCTAACAGGTATGTAAGTTTAAGAACATGAATACATATTTATATATATGTGTGTGTATATACACATACACGCACATGCATATATACACATATGCATATATATACCTATACATGCATACATATATATTTATGTGTTTGTGTATAGATACGGTTTTTTCTTTGATAAAGTAGGAGCTTGAGGTCAGAAATATTCAGTGAATCTCTAATGTCATGAGAGGGCTAAAGGCAGAGAACTCCAGAAGCCATGTGTGTCTCCTAAAAATCTACTTTAAAATAGATTTAGGTTTAGAGAAAAGTTAACAAAGATAGTGACATGGTTTGGCAGTGTCCCCACTCAAATCTCATTTTGAACTGTAGTTCCCATAATCCCCACATGTCACAGGAGGGATCCGGTGGGAGGTAATTGAATCATGGGGGCAGTTACCTCTATGCTGTTCTCATGATAGTTAGTGAGTTTTCAAAAGATCTGATGGTTTTATAAGGTGTTTTTCCCCACCTTCACTCTGCACTTCTCCTTGCTGTCACCATGTGAAGAAGGATGTGTCTACTTTCCCTTCCACCATGATTGTAAGTTTCCTGAGGCCTCCCCAGCGCTCAGATCTGTGAGTCAATTAAACCCCTTTCCTTTATAAATTATCCAATCTTGGATATGTCTTATTAGCAGAATGAGAATGGACTAATACCCAGAAAGTACGGAGAATTATTACATACTCATGCCCAATTTTTCTGTGTGTTCTCATTTTTAATCTGGTGTTTTCTTCACAATTTTTCAGTGGTAAATAATTGTCTTAGAGTTTTACATGTAGAGTTAGAAGAAAAATGAAAGAGTCAGTCATCTGGATAATTCCAGATCAGAAAACAATTTTGTGTGAAAGCTATAGATAATTGAGACAGAATTTTTTTTGTGTGTGTGTGTGGCCTGGAGAGATTCCTATGATTGCCTTCTTCTTTCAGTTGAGTCTGTAGGTACAGTCATAACTATAGGTGTTTCGCATACTACTGTAATAGGATACTGTATATCATTCAATATGAAGAATGTGGTTTTTTTTTGGAGGACTAAATTGCTTGGTTCTATATATCTTTTTCTTAAAAATAAAGTATATTGGCTTTTTTGCTATAAAAGCAATTCACATTGATTTGAGAATAGTAGAAAATATAGATAGGAAAAGAACAAAAGTACTGAAAGTTCACAACCTAAAGAAGGCCAAAATCAAAATTTTATTTATTTACATCTGGTCTTTTTACTATGTATATATTTTGGATCTGTTTGCTTAGTTTATGCAAATGGCATTCTTTTTTATGTTTCTTTATTTTTTTTAATTGTAAGCTTAATTTCCAGCCATGTCTATAAAAGCTGCTCTAAAATATCAGGGAAGTTAATGTTCAGTGTGGGTCATTGTAAGTAGACCATTTAGTCTATCTGGAGAAGAATTGTAGTTTTTGGAAGTCCACTTATTATGTTAGTTGGCCAGTGGTTAATGGTGCAGAGAAAATTTAAGATACCATCAATTGGAAAGAATATGGTAGAGACTTTCAAAGAGGAATGTAGTAGCTCATATATCAAGAGCCTCAAGCACAAAGACTCAGGTTACAAAGAGATTAATTAATTATAACATCATCCAAAATGGTAAAAAATGGGAAATTACCTAAATTTTCCACAACAGTGTAATGGTTAAATAATGTTACAACAAAATGATAAAATGTTATTTAAATAGAAAAAAATCATGAAGAATTTTGATGACATAGAAAATGAGAAGGATGCTAATTAAAAAAATATATAGGAAATATAAAAAACTAGAAGGAAATTCACCAAAATTTGACAGTGATTATTTCTAGGTAGTAGAGATAACTCTAATAATTGAAAAATGAAGGTCATCAGGTGATTTTTTTCTTTTTCTTCTTTTTTTTTTTTTTTTGCCTAAAAAGGGATGGTCAAGTTTTTGAATTTAAGATTTTATTCTCACTTCGTCTGTTTAGATTTGTTATATCAGAGCCTTTCTTTACTTATTAACAATCTCTTGTAGTAAACATGTGTAATCTGATTTCCCTCAACTTTCTCCAAACTCAAATATCTACAAATCACCTTCATGTCTTCATACTATTTTGGAAAATAGTTTCTCCAGTTCTCAAATGTTACTGAGTGTATTTCCATGTCCCAGGAGCTTGGCAATTTTTTTCTATCATAATTGGCAATACCAGGAATGGGCTAATTGCCTTTGGAGGTCAGAACTTCTTTAGTAGTTTTATTTTTTTATTGGTCTTGGGTCACTAGAAGGAACTGTTACTGTGTCCTGGCTGTGGCTAGCAGTGACAAGACTGTCTTTTGAGGGCGCTGCCAGGCTTAATTGCATCCAATATAGGGATCTTCATCTGAGATTTGGAACAATGAATCTTCCATGCCAATTAAAGATGAGTTTAATATAGAGAATATGAAGTATGCCTAGCAGAGGAACAGTTTTACAGAGCCTCAGGATCCCATCTGCCTTTCTACAACACAGAATTGGACCCATACAAGCCCTTTATCATCTCTTCAAGCTAGGACATTCCAAAGAAACCAGGAGCAAAATATGAGCATGGAGAGCTTTAGGCATATTCATTTCTCTCTTATTCTCTAAATATTTCTCAGTGTTTTCTAAAGGATTCTGAACATAAGGTATGTTTGCTGTTTGTCTCACAACACATAATTGATATGTTATCTAAGTCAAATAGTTTGGTAATTGACAGTGAATTTTTGCAATACTGAAAATAATCTCACTTCTTATACAAATAAAGAGTAATTGTGTCAAATTGAGTTTAAAAGCCAGTGCCTCTGCCTATTAGTTATGGGGCCCAAATCAAGTCAAATACTCCTCTGTAGATATTTCCTTATCTGTGAAATGGGGATAATCATAGTATTTGCCTTACAGGTTTATTATGAGGAATACATGAGAGGATCCATATAAAACCCTCAGCAAAAGAGCTGGCAAATAATCAGCACTTAATAAATGTTTTAGTTGTTATTAGTCATTAGAATCACATCTTCACACTCTTATTTTCAAACGAATAAAAAGGAACCATTGAGAAGGAAGAAATGGACATAGACATACATTTTCTCTGTGCTTTTCAGGTCACTTTGGCTTTGTTTTTATGGGATATCCATCTGTGGAGAAATGCCCTGGCTTACAATTACAAGGGTCATTCCGCAGAAAGAAAAGTGCAGACTGTGGAACAGAGGGCTTAGTCATTTATTATTGTTAATGGTCTTTTGGCAATTTCCTTCATTCCTCAAGGCTTTTGTTTCCTTATCTAGAAAGAAAGAGTCTGAAAAGCAAACAGGCAAATACAATGCAATGTGATGACTGGGAAGAGATAGGAGGCCCATGTTGGACACAACAGGACTTAGGCCCAGACTCCGGGTGGAAGGTGGGGAGTGAAGACCTCCATTTAAAACGGGTGAAATAACAGATACCTATACACACTTATGAAGTAATAAGATCACAGGCTTGGGAGTTTGAATGTCTTGGTTCAAATCCTATTTTCGTTTGTTTTCCTTTTTTCCTATCTGTGACCACGGGCAACTTATTAACCTTTATGCCTGTCTGGCACACAGTAAGTACTCAATAAACTATAGCTATTTTAAACTAATGTGTGTCATGAGTAAAAGAGTTTTAAATGTGAAGTCTTTGTTTAGCCAAGTTCCTGGCACATAGTAAGTGCTCAATAAATGAAAGTGGCTGTTATATTATTTTCATTCTCAGAGGAAGGCTATCTGAAGCCGATACATGAAATATGAACATGAATTAGCCAAAGACAAAAGCAGAAGAGTATTCCATGCTGGACCAATAGACACAAAAAACTTAGACGGGAGAGAGAGCATGGCTTGTGGGGGAACTAGTTGTGCCTGGAGCAGGCTAGAGGGCATGGATTGAGGAGTGTGGTCCATGCCATAGGAGCTATTGTACAGTCCCGCTGCAAAGGCGGCACCCACTAACCATCACCTGCTATGCTCTCACCTATGGGCAGTCCCACTGCCAGGCTTGTTTTAGCCTCTGAGCGTGTGTCATTGCTGGCATTTTGTGGAAGACAGTCAATTGTATTCAGTAATGAATTTTTTTTAAAGGCTTGCATAGTTGAAGGAGCTCTAGACAGAAGCCAGGGAGAAGATTACAGGGTCAGTAAAGATACACTTCATTTTGACAATTTACAAAGGAAACAAAAGCCATGGTGTGTCTGTTGCTAATAAAATAATCTCTCCTTCCATGAAATCTTAGAAATGGATTTTTTGTCTTGACAAAATAAATATATATTAGGTTTAGGTCATTTCTCAAACTAAAGGCAATATTAAAATTGTAATTTGAATTACTTATTAATAACAACAAATCTTATGACTTGAAGTGTATCTCATCTCTTAGAAACAGAGTTGCTGACTCAATGTGATCTATTCTGATGGAAACAAGTTTGTTATAATAAGATAATATCCATATTCCTCTTTTCAAAAATAACTATGTTTTTATGTTTGATGGAATGATGAGATTCTGTAATACACTGGAAAAAATGCATGGTATTCATTCATTGTGGCAGTATATCATAATTACTCAGCTTTTATCATTAATAACAGAAGATTGTGAATAAAAACATACTAATATCCACCAGATGTTCAGAAAAACATAAATATCCCCACATGTCAGCACTTTTAGCAGAAACTCAACAAAATTTTCTCTACTTCTTTTTTCCTTTTTTAGTTTCCTGAACATGTTCTTTTGATACGATATTTTTAATCCTCATTAGGGATTTGTTTGGGTTCCTTTAATATCTGCCACAAGAGACTGTATAGTTTCGGATGTAGCCAGTATGCATCTTGCTACCTTTTCCCTGTTACTCAATTTATCGAGAGGCAGGCCGGTATAATGGAAAGCGATCGGCCAGCTTTGTGGTCAAAGGGATCTCAGTTTATACATACTCTCAGCTTCTTAAATAGGTGGGTGGCCTTGGAAAAATTGCTTAATCTTTCTGAGCCTAAATTTCTTTATCTTTGTAATGGTGATAATAATTCTTTCATTGAAAAGTCATTTCAAAGAGAAGCACTAATAAAATTGCCAAGCATTCAGCCCTATTAAAAAAAAAAAAGCAATTATATTGATCTATCTGAAGACCACCCTGATTTCTTGCTTTCCTTTGACTATTGAATTTTCCTTTTTCTTCCCCATTGATACCTTAAGCTTACTAAAATGTCTTTTTCTCTAAAATACAAGTATTGCCCTTCAGTTATCATTCTAGAAGCTTATTTTCTCAGCCTGAGCTCCCTTATAAATATGCTATATAAGGGCCAGGGCAGGCTTTGGTATGCTTTTTAGCACCTAAAATGAAATTGTGGTGCAGGCACCCCTGGTAGATTGCAGTCAGCTCTTCCTGGTAGGGAAACATAACTCCCACATGGACTGCATGAAATGGTCAGTAAAAATTACATAAAATAATTTATTAAGATTTTTTTCTTCTTATGGTGAATTCCGTAGCCTCAACTTGGAAAGCAGCAAATGGCCTATTGTAAAAATAATACCAGGGCACCTCGTCTCCAGGAATGGGCTGCCTATTCAAGTGAGGCCAATTAACTCCTCCAGGAGCTGGGAGAACCATACAATGTAGGAAAAATATAGTTTAATTGAATGGTACTCTGGTCTTCTGGAGGAAAAATTCATTTAATACAAGGAGTTATTTATCCCTATATGGTAGTTTACATATTAGGATTTACCGGAGAAATGTTCCCAAAGTGACCGTCTTGTATATGGGCAATGAAACAAATATGAAATAGGAAAGAGGTAAAAATTAAATCTTTTCTTCTTTTGGCTTAACCTTTAGGACCCCACCTGAAAAACAATTCTGGCATAGAGGCTAAGTGTAGGAGACCTCACGAAGCCTTTGGTTTTCATGTCACTGTTTAGAAAGGAAGCAAATACTTGATAGGAAGTTCTCAGTTTTTTGATCTGTGAATCCCTTTTCTTCCAGCTGATTCATTTCTATTGCCATTCAAACACTGTGGGATTTGATTTCATTTAGGTTTGGATTTTGGCCAGGTGGTCTTTGACCTGGAGTGCCACAACTGTATTAAGAGGTAGTAAAGATGTGCTTTTCTATATCTTGAGTCACTGCTATTCTATTAGTTTACTTTACTTTGATAGAGAAATTGGCTAACGCTATACAAAACTCTCCCCTTCCCTGGAATTCAGAGAGCAGCTTATTTATATGTAGATGTAGCTATATGACATTTTCAAATGCCATACATTTGCATATGAAGGTCTCTTTTTTCCCCTCTCAGTAAACAGGCTGTGCTATTACTTCCAAAGCAATGTTTGGAATTATATTTTCTATACAAGTTCTTCCTTAAAATGTTTTTTAAATGCCCAGTAGAGATAAAAAAAAAAAATTAAACCCTCTAACTAGGATCCATTTTGTCAGGAGTGAAAATTTTTAATTTATGATTAATATATATCTATATATATCTCTATCTATCTATCGATCTATCTATCTATCTATATGTTTTAGCACCTGTATGTGGCTTTGCATTATAAGTTGGTTAAATAATATTAGTATGGTTAGAATTTCTTGAGAAGAAAGCAAAGAGATATTAATTTGGTATGGAGCTTCCTTTAAAATTTTATGTAGTTTGGTTTCTAGAGAGGTAGCTCTCAGTCTTATTCGTTTACTCAACAAATAATTACTGAGAGTCTACTATTTGTCAGGCATTCTTTTAGGCACTGCATTTACAGGGAGGAGCAAGACAAATTCCCTGCCCTCATGGAGTTTCTATTATGAGAAAAGATGACATAAAATAAAAAGGTAAAAGCATAAATACATAAATAAATCTGCTCACATTAAACACAGTGAAGGAAATAATACACTATTGGCAGAGAGAATGCATGGAGTGACATGGACAGGAAAGAGAGTGGCCCAGCAGCCCTACCCTGGAAGGTGTGAAGGGCAGGCCAGGAGACGATGAGGAAGCACATCTTTGTGAGCACAGAAAACAACCAGGGCATATTGTGTTAGGCCCCAGTGTACAGAAAAATAAGTGTTGCAACAGGAACAACATTTTAAAATACAACTCTCACAGTGAAATCATTATTCATCTGGCATTAAAGAAAAACATGAAGCAAGAAGAAAGGAAGAAAACAAAGGAGAAAGAAGCTAATGAGTGTTTTCACAATTTCCATCTGCTTCCAGGGCTTCTTGTTATTTGCCCCATGGTTACCCAGGTATTTATTTGGTCATCTTTGCTTTTTCCTCCACTTGAATTCACTGCCACCCCCAGCGTCTGCCTCTACTTGAGGGTTACCACATAATCATTTCCATGCCCTCTTCTCTCCAGACCTCCAGTCATCTATGTTGATGAAGACATCAACATAGAAATGAACATATTCATTATTTGGCCCCGAGTCCTACTCTTCCTGATACTTTTTTCCCTATCTATCTTAGGGAATGGAACTGTCATTCATCTAGGCAGCCAGATGAACCAGGAACCTTCGTATTTTTCCTGACTTTCCACTTCTCTTTGCCTGGTCAGTTAGCAAATCTGGTAACCTTTTATCTCCTAAATCCAACTAAAATCTATGTATTTCTCTCTGTTGCTACCATCATCCACAACACTCATTCTTCATTGTTATGACCGTAGTCTTCTAATTAATCTTGCCTAATGCCCTCCCTCTCTAGCCTGTTCTTCACTCTGCTGCCAGGTTTTTTTTTTTTATTTAATAAAAAATACGACATGATTTAAAATACCTTAGTGACTCCCCTATTGAGCAGAAGATAAATTTTAACTTCTATTGCAAATGAGGAAAGAGACTTAATTGAAGCAACAAACTACTACTCTCACTTAGCTCCAGTTGCTCCACTTTTTCATTCCATGCTTTAGCCATGAAACTATTTGTCATTCCCTGGGCATTCCCACTCACTGAAGCCTCTTTGCCTTTTAAATGTTGTTCCCTATGTCTATAACATTTTTTCTCTTCTCTGCCAGGCACACTCAATGCAAACACTACCATTTTCTGAAACACTCTTGACTTCCCTTGTTGCCAGTTATAGTTACACACATCAGCTGGAATCCCTGTTCTATTGCATCAACATTTCTGAGCTATGCTTTCCTCATTATACCTGATCCCCAGGCAGGTTGTGAAGAGATGAGATAGCGTGTTGTATATATAATGCATGACACAAAGTAAATGCAAAATTAAATGTGTTTCTATTATTTCTACTTTAGCATTCTTAATGCTTTATTTTCTATTTGCCATAAAAGTTATTTGAATAATTATAATTTGGCATATGTGTATTTGTTTGAGTAACATGGGTTTCTGAATATAAAGTTAGAGAAGCTTGGGTGCAGTTTGCCCCTGAATTTCCTTATTTCCAAAAAGTCATAACAAATATTACCAGCATCGGTAATACATTTATCAATCCTCATAAGGAAATTACTAATTAAAATTCTGATCCCAACTAGCTAATTAAATCATAAGCTCCCTAAGCCCCTTCATCTTCCACATGAATAGATTTCGTAGGTCTTAGGTTGCTTTGTTATATCTGCCGCTTTGAAGTCCTGGATACCAGCAAGCCTAAGAACCAGGACACGTGACTTTATGAATGTCACAGTTAAACTCAAGTCACTTGATACTGTCTGAAAATCACTGGTACTTTTCTAGGCTTACAATTTATCATTTTGATGGTTTGGGCCAGCAACGTTGACTACAGCAACAACAATTCTGAAGAGACACTCTGAATTTGCTACCCATTTTCAGGATTCTACCATATCCATATTTATGCAAATTCTGGGAAAAGTCATTATTTACCAAGGACTGAGCACTTCAGTCCATGGCTTTATGTGTCATTATTGTACAAATTAATAGAAAGGTAGGCTATTATATGAAACAGACATTAGAGATTATCTATCTAAGATCTGTAATTTACAGATAAGAAAACAAAGACTCACGGAGGTTATGGTCAAATGTAATACCTAATACAGGTCTTCCTCCTGAGGATTAGTGTATAGCAACAACTAGAACCAAGGGTGCATTAAATCTCAGTTCTGAGATTTTCCCATCTACATGGAAATGCCTCACTTCTAAGATATTATAACCTGTTTCACAGGTGTTAGCACAAGACAATGAAAACAGGCAAAAAAAAAAAAAAAGTCAAAGAGCATGGAGAAAGTTACACTAGTTTCAAAATTACATTAGATGTAAAATACAAATGTTAAAAAGTGACTTGACACCAGTGAACAATTTGACTGACTAGCTAGTTTTAGAAGTTATGAGTTTTATACTAAGAATAATAGATGAGACATACCAAGATATTGCTTGAGTTTCTCATGCTACATCATATTTTTCTATCAAAATTTCCATTTCATTTTAAATTTTGAATGTAATATAATATTACTAGGCATTTGAGTATGTACAGTTTTATCAGAACAGCTCTTCTTTGACTCCTTAATTTTAAAAGTTTTGTTTATTTGTAAGGTGTGTTTTAACCTCTTAGAACAATTTCCCAAGATAGAAATATGGTGGATTTTATAATAAAAGTCATTAGAAACAATAATTCATTTACCAGAAATAAGATTGAGGTGGAGCTTGCAGTAGAAATGGGAGTCCGAAATGTCTGCATATTCTATGAAGCATGAGGGGACACCGAGTGTAGCAATTTATTGGTGGGAACTCTGGCCTCCAGTAGGATTCTACTGTCTCCTATTTGACAGTTTCAAAAACATCCTACACTCTAATGCTTTAAAAACACAATGCAAAAGAGGAATGACCAATAATAGACAATGGTAGATCAGGATAATATTACAAATTGGATGAACTGACAGGCAGGTGGTGAATAATTTTAACATGACCCTAAAAATAGTGGAAGGATGTTTGCACATTGACACTTCTCTAAAGGCAGATGGATATGCATGACCTGAGTTTTTAGACAGGTGTCAGGAATATTGATGGGTAGTACAAGGATGATCATTTTCTTGGCACTGTTGCAGTAGACAGTTTCCATGATTAATGATGCATCTTAGCCTTTTTTTTTTTTTCTCCTGGGGCAAAAAGGGATATGAACCTTTGTTACTCCAAGGAATGTAAGAATTTTGCCTGAAGGCTAAGGCAGGAGAACTTTAGTCACCTAAAAGCACCATATGCTTTCTACAGGTGAAGAAATAGTGGTAAAATATGCAAGTGCTCTTGATATATAAGATGACAGTGCCTGGTAGAATGATTATAACATGCCTCTTATTAAGAGGGGTCTACCCCAGGGCATAGGAGCCTTGCACAGCTCTGAAGTACAGAGCCCAGTAAACCTGGGCTCTGACAAAAGTGACAGCAAACTGTGGCTCTGGGATACATCTGAACACATACAATGTTTGAATGAATATTAAGAACCACTCAAAGGAAACAGAACAGGACTAAAGCAGGAAATAAGAGGTGAGATCATCTGCCTAATGTTTATATTCATTTCAAGTTTTTAGAGACAATTTTCTGATTCAAATCAATTCAATATCGTTTCTAAATGGTGAATCCAGTGAGAAAGAACTTTTCTTTTCCAAGAATAATATTGTTTGTTCAGCTTTTTAAAATGTCACATACAGCAATGAATGAACTATGCTATTTCAAGGCTCAAAATGTAATCCAAAGTCGAATAATAGTTTGTATGTATTCTGCTAAACCCTAGTAGTCCATCTGCTGAAAATATTATGTTAATTAAAGGTAATATAAGCTATGGAGGTAAACTTCGTAAGTTCTTTTTTTCTTTTATTTTTCTTTTTAAAGTAATAAAGGGCACTGTTGGAAATCAAGTCCAGTGAAAAAATTTTGTTAATTAAAAAAATGAATTTCCTTTTTATACAAGGGATATTAGCTATTGGATTAGGTGATCAAGAAAACTTAGAAAATCTGTTTTTCCAAAGTTAATCTAAGTTTCTCCAAATAAATTTAAAAACAGGATAAAGTCTCATATATATGATGGGAGGGGTTAGAATTTAATCTTCCTGAACCCCAGTAACTACATTGGTGACTTCCTTACTTTCTGTTTATCCAGAGAGAGAACAAGAGCTACAACGTAAAATCCTTCCTTTGATGATACTAGAAAAGTTTATGTTTCTATTCATTGAGAAAAAAATCTCAATGAAATCCCTGAAATGAGGGAATGAAATGTAGGAACGATGGGGTAACATGCTCTTAACATTTTAAACTCATAAATTTAATGGGCATTACTATTACATTCAAATTATATAATAGATTTCTTTTCTAAGGCTAAATAATATCATCTTAGACTAACATAGTATACTTTGTGCACACATTCTGAAACATTCTAAACATGTTGAGCCCAATAAACTCGTCCATTAGTTAGAAACCCATTAGGGGAGGGGAAAAAAACTCATTGTAATAATATGAACAGTTGCTCCAAAGAGCCCTTATCCTTTTGGGAAATGGAGTTTGAATGAGATTTAAGCCAATCAGTGGGGAACAGAACTACGTGGAGCATAAATTTGAAGCTTTATATATATATTAACATATATCAAAAAAGAGTCCATCATCCTTATCATCTAATTTTTAAAAATATTACCCAGTTAATATACTGATACACAAAAATGGGAAAATAAAAATGTAGAATTTAAAAATCTTCAGTCTGAATTTTGTTAAGATTAGATCAAATTATGCTATCCAAATGAAACAATTACTTCTATCTAGAAAATATGAATTTGATGACAATATGAAAAACACTTAGAATGAGGCATATCCATATCCTAAATCTTTGTCAATAATAATCTCTTACAATTCCATAGTGAGTTATATCTCACAAAGGGCTTTAATATCTGAAACATAGGAAAAAGGAAAAAAAAGAGATGTAGATACAATATTTTACAGATTCTCAGAGAAGTTATATAACATTTATAAATTTAGGAGCTAGGTATAGAATTTAGTTTTTTTGATAATTTGTCCCAAGTATTTTTCACAAAACCAAAACATTTCAGTAGGAACTAACAAATCACATATGGAATAACATTCACAAAATAGGTTATAAATAATTGTATATTATTTCACCAGTCTGTATCAGAGGGATTTACCTCAGTTTTTCTTTTAATGACTTTTAGCATAAAACTAGTGAAGATAAAAAACAAAACAACTGTTCCATCTTTCAGAGATAGTCTGTTTTCACAAGACATTGTAAGTTTTCTGAAACATTAACACAAATTTATCAGACAACTTATTAACCAACTCCTCCTTCTTAGATATTTTTCCCAGTAAAAGAGCAATGGTGCACATACTGTATGAATAGGTAGTAGTGTAATCTAAGACAGAAAATAACATTGCTGTGAAAGTTATTCATTTGTTTCAATACTACAGTAATTATTGTGGCAAAGTCTTGCTCGTTTATCATTTCCTGTTGTCTTTGCTATTTTTTCAAGCTGTCTTTTTAAACAAATATCCTCACTGTCCTTGTTGCAAGACCAATAACTTTATTTCAGTAGGTAAGACAGCACACCAATACAATCAGGTCTATTCCTGTTCCAAGGAGGGTCTGTTACTTGGAGCCACCTAACAGTATTGCACATTCCTGTCCTTCCCAGAAGAATGTGACACAGTGTATCTGGGTACTAAGTTGCCATTTAAGAACCTCTTCAGGTTCCCCGTCTCCTTGAGCTATGAAAGTTTTCATGAACACTTCAGTTTTAATGGCATGCCAAACATTTTGTTCCATGAGCAACACAACAGTTTTAAAAATTGCCATTGAGTGTTTTAATAGAATTTAGCCAGTTGTTTTTAAATATATTTCTATGAGCCAAGGCTTACAAAAATGTATAAAGAGGAAGTGCCCAGATATAAAGAAGCTTTGAAATGGTTGCTGTTGCCTCCTTAAAAATCATCATTAAACAATCTTTCAAACAGTCAGTGTTTGGCTCAGTAATTTAATCAAAATTTGTAAGAAGTAGCTAGAATGAACAAAAGGATGACATGGCTTTGAACAGAAGAAAAGCAGGGACCCAAGTTATGCAAATACTAGTTAGGAATACTGAATAAGATAAGCGATCCAATTATGTCTGTGAGACTTTCCTCAATAACCTATAACTAAAAGAAAAACAACTTCTTTAGCCAGATGAATTTTCATCATTCTAATGAGCCTTTGTAGAGACAGATATTGCCTCTTATTTGTGAAACCTCACATTTCTATTTTGGGACAACTATCTTTTTTTTTTTTTTTAAGTGGGGCCGAGTGTGGTAGCTCACGCCTGTAATCCCAGCACTTTGGGAGGCCAACGTGGGCAGATCACAAGGTCAGGAGTTTGAGACCAGCCTGACCAACATGGTAAAACCATGTATCTACTAAAAATACAAAAATTAGCCAGGCATGGTGGCGCATGCCTGTAATCCCAGCTACTCAGGAGGCTGAGGCAGGAGAATCACTAGAACCAGGGAAGCAGAGGTTGCCGTGAGCTGACATGGTGTCACTGCACTCCAGGCTGGGCGACAGAGTGAGACTCCGTCTCAGAAAAAAAAAAAAAAAAAAAAGTGTGTTTGAAGCAGCAAGATGAAATGACTGAGCTGGTGATCTTCATTCTGGGATTTTGTCTCCTTTTGGGGAACGGGAGAATTCAAGAATGATTAGGCAGGCCAACTCTGGACTCCACAATACCTCCTAACTTCTAGACCTCATCTAATATGTACTTTCCCCTAATCCCTAGCACCAAAAAGCAGGATTTTAAACACAACACGATTGACATTCTGGCTGGATAATGTTGTCCTGTGCATTGTAGGATGTATAGCCGTATATCTGGCCTCCACCCACTAGATGCCAGCAGTACTTACCCCTGCCCCTTCCCCAGACAATCAAAAATGTCTCCAGATAATGCCAATGTCCCCTGAATGGGAGGTGGGAGGGAAATGAGGAGGAGGAAGGTTGGTAGAGGCAAAATTGAGAACTGCTGCCATAAGGTGATGGTCAACAATTTTCCCTCAATCATGATTTCTGAACTAAAGCTATATACTTTGTTATAGACATCGAAAGTTGGAAAGACAACATCATAATCTTACTTTCTTTTTACTTTTTTTTTTTTGAGACAGAGTCTCACTCTGTTATCCAGGCTGGAGTGCAGTGGCATGATCTTGGCTCACTGCAACCTTGGACTCTGGGGCTCAAGCTATCCTATCACTTTAGCCTCCTGAATAGCTGGGACTACAGGCGCATGCCACCACACCCAGCTAATTTTCGTGCTTTTTGTAGAGACAGGATTTCACCATGTTGCCCAGGCTGGTTAATCTTACTTTCAAATGTTACTGATGAGAAAACAGGTTCTGAGAAGCTAAGTAACTAAATTTAGATGAATTAGAACAGAGATGAGACTAAGTCAAAAGTTCTGCATCCTACTCCAAGCTCTTCTGCAAAATGCTATTTGTAAGTCATTGGCTCTAAAATCCAAGTGAAATTAAAAATATGATTATCCATGTCATTGGAGAATAGCCTTGTAGAGAATCCAAAACAACAGATAACACACATATAATTTCTAGGTGATTTTGGAATGAACTAAAATGAGCCTATTCCAGTGGTATTATTTTCCTGATGATTATAATCATGATGATAATCATGAGTATAATGAAGATGATAATGGTTTTCTTAGGATAACATTACAATTAGCTATGTTTCCTGAGTACGTATCAATTCATGGCTAAGATGAACAGCTCGGAAGTATGTTAAGCTGCAGAAAACAACCAGCTTCAATATTAGAATATAGCACTGACAATCTACTTAGACACATAAGCATTAATAGTTGCCTATCACTGTTGATGGAATGTTAGGCTTACTCTTAATTTTTCTACATATAGAAGACAATGTGGACACTTTATTAAAACCATCTTACAGATAAGTTTCCCTGGTCTGCCTGTTGGTTGTTTCTCATGCTTCTATAGCTATATTTCATTAAAAATCAAAAATCAATAACAAAGGCCTATGTGCCAGCTGTAGGGAATGAGTGAGTGGCTAGGGGTGTGAGGATAGCTCAGAGATTATTTCAAACAACAGGAAACCTTCAACTTCCCTGGTGCTCTTTAAATAATAGAAAAGTAAATAGGAAAAAATCCAGTGGTGCAAGATTTGTAGAATAATTTTGACATTACACGAACAGCCAATCTGCAGAAGTGAATTTGGATGTGTACTGCCTGACAAAGCACTGATCGCTTGTTCGTTTAAAGTCTATAGACTAATAACATGGTCTTTCTGGAATACTGACTTTCTAGAGGACAAATGGAGCTTGATTTTAGTCTCCATTTTATGAATACTTAAAAACTATTTTTTTTTTTAGCTAAACAGACATTTATTTTCATTAGTAAATGAAATTTTTAAAGACATACTTTTGGGAGGGAGTTTTCTAATCTATGACACACACAGCTTTCAACCTCAGAAGATGTGAAAGAAAGATTAAGGCAGAGGTTTTTTTTTTTTGTTTTTTTGAAAATCATGTGAAATATATTTTACAGGAACATTACGTAACGCTATCAAACATTGATAATGCATCAATAACTCTGCAGAAATGCAGGATAATTAGTACATTCACTCTGTGTTTTATTAAGTTAAACATTAACAACGTCACCATAAAAAGCATTTGCTAGCATAAATGCTGATCTACCATAGGAAAAAATATTCACTTTTCTTTGTTATTGGCCAAACCACTTTAAACTATATGTTAAAAAATGCCTTTCAAAGTTAACTTTGTGAAAAAACATTTGCAGGTTTCCCATTGCAGAAGGACATAGCAATCCAATAAGGACTGAGATATATACTAAAATGGTCATTTCTTGGGGGCTACTGAGCTACAGATCCCAGAGGAGCTCAGGCTTAAAGTCATGAAATGGCTTCCGTGAAACCAGGCCTCAATTTTATCCTGATTAAATTTACTATATCTGAGAACACAGGTGGACTGAGTGGGAGGCCACCCAGAAATGGAAACTCAGACCAAGGATGGTCAGGTCAAGAATGTTAGAGCAAGTTATGACAGTTGGGGAGGAGGTCCTAGCCAAGGACACTTATTTATCCTAATTTGAGGGCAGTGGAATCCCTATTGTGTTGACATTTGCATCAGGCTGTTTTAGCTCGATGCCTTGATGCCCTAAACATCTAAAGAATATATGCTCTAGTTAGGCTTACCAAGTAACCTCAGTATAACTGGGCTTCTCAGGCAA
Source organism: Homo sapiens (assembly GCF_000001405.40). Taxonomy (NCBI): domain Eukaryota; kingdom Metazoa; phylum Chordata; class Mammalia; order Primates; family Hominidae; genus Homo; species Homo sapiens. The sequence continues at coordinate 191,989,544 of NC_000002.12, forward strand.
TTCAACTCTAGGAAGAGAAAACACTGGTCAGAGGATGTAAATTGTCTGTGAACATTAACATTTCTGAGTGAAAATTTAGATATCTGAGTCCACAAGTCTGAGAGCCATACCTGCCCTGATCATGAATTTAGTCACTATCCAAAGTATAATTCTGGCATATCCTGTCCAGTTATCCATCTTGCACCAAATCATCAGACCCACAATGTGCTGCCCTTGTTGGTTCTTGGCCCTTGATTAAGCCCATTTCTCTGCCCCCCAACTTCCAAAAACTTCCCAAAGCTCACCCAAAACTATGCTCCAGAACTGGCAAATTCCCTTCTAGCCTCAGATGCTTCAATGAAATTCTCACCTTTCTTCTTGCATACTGAAACACTAGATTTTTCTGAGAATACCAAACCCCTTCCACCCTCTCACAAAGTGGCTGTATATTCTACCCTCCTCCCCTGCACTTCAGGACTCAGAGGTGGAGTACTGTCCTCCTTAATCCTCATTACTATTCCTAGATTACTAGGCCACCACTTCCCTCAAGCCTTAGCACTGATTACTACATTCTTGTTATGCCTGGAGTTTGGTCCACAAGTTTGGTTCCTTTTGATTACATCCAAGTTCAAAAGTAAAAGTGTGTTTTCTGAATGAACAACTGGAGGAAACAAACTACAACCATGAAACAAATAGCTGTTTAGAAATGTAATTTCTTTGAGACATTTTGTTGTATAGATATTTTAAGACTTTTTTAGTTGATAATGTTTATATATAGTTTCAAATCATTAAGATGTGAGAACTGCATTTTTAAAGCTCTTGATAATGTTGGCTTATATATTTGGGGCATGTCAGACTCTTTAACAAAAGCAGCAAATCAAAGTGCTCAGAATAGTGTGTGTGTGTGTGTGTGTTGTTTTTGTTCGAAATGGCTTAAATTCTATTTACTAGGTTTATGGAAAACATTGTGCCTTGAAATTATACAGAGCATTGGGATATATCCTACTCTTCTTTAAGCTTCATACATTCTACCTGCACTTACATTACTCTTCCTAGGAATTGAAATAACATATACTTGAGGTAAAAAGATAAATTAAGGTGGAGAATTATGGCATTCCACTAGCAATTGTCTAGATGTTTGAACTCACATAGCTTTTTTCTCTTCGTCTTCCATGCTAAATAGACCTGTCTTTTCTTTACTATGAGTTCATTAAAAACATTTGTTTTGATCTCTTTGCGGGGTGTGTGTGTGTGTGTGTGTGTGTGTGAATTATTGACATGTGAACATTAACATTTCTGAGTGAAAAATAATGTTTTATGTAAACAGAAATACATTTCCATATACTACATTCCTTTTTTTAAATAATGAATATTTAGGTCCTCTAAACATATGGACTAGAGTATAAGTGATTGACTTTGAAGGTTACATTGAGGAAAGCATATGATATCATCATTCTGCAGTTGTGTCATAAGCTATGTCTTCCTACTGAATTTCTATTTGAATTTCATGTTGTAATAATCTCATGATCATATTATATTTTATGTGATCTAAATATACCATACATAAATTATGTTGACTAGAGGAAAACCAGAAAATTTGCTTTGTGAATATTTAGACGTGTTAATGTGCTGAAAACTTATAAATAAGTATTCAATAAATATTTCTTTATAGATGAATTAAAAAGTCAGCCAAGGTCTCTTGCAACAAGCTGTTAGATGACTTGGGTAGGAAAAATAATCCAGAAACTTCTTGTAATTGTACGAGTCCATAAAGGATAATATATGTATAACAACTCTGAACACATATCATACAGATAGACTATATTCCATAAAATGTGCTCTATTTCCCATAAAAATCAATTCTCTTCAATTTTCAGACCAAAAGGAAAGTAACAATAGCTAGCTTGCTAATTTGCTTGTTAATGCCTTACATGATGTCTTTTAATTTAAACTTCAATCCTTTGGAAGTAGACTTATTATCTCCATTAAACAGATCAAGAAACTGAGGCTTCAACTAATCAAGAAACCGAGCCTTCAACTAATTTAACAAGGTTAAATTACCACGATAGCATGGCCAATGTTTAAACTCAGTTCCCTCTAATCTTGTGGTTACAACCGCTAAACCAGCTGCTGCACACTTATGGCAGAGAAGAGTAGATAAGTAACACTGCAAGGTGAACGATTTGTATCAGAAAGGAGCATTTCAAATAGGAAAAAGTGCACATAAATGATGCAGGATGCGTTTATGAACTGGTGCATAAATACAAAGTTTTCCAGAGTGTCTACCAGGGCCCAAGGCAACTCTTCAGTGGAAAATCTTCATCTGTATTGGAAATACCATTTCTATGTTTATCTATAACCATGAACATAACATAATATTACAGATGACTGGCTACATGATTTTATGGGGAAAACAATGAAAGCACAGAAGTTCAAGAGAGCAGGAAAAATTGTGAGTTAGAGTTCATAGAAAGCTTTATGAATTTTGCAGCACTCTAATGTAAATCCCAGAGGGGAAAATACTTGCAATGAGACACTTTCCCTCAGAAATCTTGAAAAAATCTTGACATCTTAATTCATTTCCTAGGCTTAAATATTCTAGGCTAGTCTGGTGGCACTGTAATAGCCTGGGCAAACATTTTTATTTATTTCACTGTTGATACCAATATTTGTGCTACAAGCTGCTGCCTGCATTTGCTGCTATTTATTTATTTCCTACAGATCAAATTATTGGCCCAGACAAAACGTGGTTTCTGGTGAAGTGCTCCTTGTGTTCACGAGCAAATGGAAAAAGCTTCCATTTTAAATGTAGGTTTTTGCCACATGACTGAATTAATTCATTTTATAAATATGATATGAAATCATTTGATATCCATGCCTAAATATGTACAGTTGAGGCATAATCAAGGCAAATATTAGGTAAATCAAGCAAGCACCCTATTTACACAGGTAGGCAGTCAAAATGTCAAAATACTGTGTCCGGTTCCGGCTCAGCCACTTAGCTTCTTTGAGACTCAATTTTATTTCCTCTAGTATTTGTACCCTTAGTGCTTTATTGGGTTGACATAGAAGAAATGAAGCAATGTGAGTGAATCTTAGTAAAGCTATGACATATCACAATATGGCTAAAAATTTTTACTTTCTGTTTATTTTTATTTTTTTATTAATGCAGGATTACTCAGTAGCAAACACTTTCCTCTTGCTTTCTCTTCTCTATGTGGAAAAATAGGAAACAGAAGAAGGAAAAATTTAAAAGCAAACATTATATCACTTATAGGATGCTTAGAATATATAGATTTGAGTAACTCTTTTGAGCATCTCACAAAACGTAACATCATGATGAAATATTTTTGGGTCTGGAACTGCCAAATGGTTAACGCTTAGGGTGCAGAGTCAGTCCCAAAGCTGGGACTTGTTAGATAGTGACACTTCTTCCCTGGTCCTCACACTTGCTGGATTCTGGAATTAGCAATGATGGTTTTAACCTTAGTTCTATCACATTCTCTTTTTATTTAATCTCCCTGAACCTCATATCTCACCTGTCAAAAGCATATAGTATCTCTTTCACATGTTTGTTGTGAAGACTGAAGGAGACAGTATATATGAAAAGGCTTTGTAAATTGCAATGGCTTCTACAGAGAACAAGTTATTAGGACAACTCACTTAAACTATCTAGATACCCTTTCCAGATGTCAGCTTCCTTTAATGTGGAAAAACGGGATGTTACTAATAGGATGGACAGAATGTCGTTTAACTATTTCTGATTTCTTTCTTCCACATTTCAGACCTGAGATTAATGTATAAATTATTGTTTGAAGATGAGGAATGGAAATTTTCCTAAAAATAAATATTACAAGAAATAATGAATTGCCACAGTATAATGTTCAACAAGTAAACACAGGAACTCGACGCAGGCCTGTAGCTAGACTCAGAGATAGGGAGGCCCTGTCTCCCCTCCGAGGACATGAAATCCAGGACTTACATTTTTCACGAACAGCCAGGGGAAATATCTTCTCCCCACATACATACTATAATCCAGCATAGTCTTTATCTTAACTTTACTCCTGTTCCTGTTCAACCTATGTATCCATGAGGAAAATAAGCTCAACATGCTCCTCCTCATAGCTATTTCCTCTGTATTTTTTCCAATTTGGAAAATTGGAAATACCCATAAATGAAAGTCATTACTTTAGTCTGTCATAGAAACACTGTCCTTGAGTTATACATATTTTAATTCTATGCTCTAGGATGTTGTCAAAAATTGATTTTAAAAATTCCCAGCCATACGGAGAGCCTCTTGGCGTATTTTGTAAAAATCATTGTTGAAGATTTTATTCATTTTATGTTTTTCACTGATGCCTTGTAGAAAGATCTATGCTAAATAGTTCCTTTATAATTTAGCATAGAGAAACTTTGTCTTTTGTCTCTGAACTTATTTTTTATTTTTTATCAGACAATAAAAATCTAAGTTTCATTTAGCAGATACCTATGTTGACTTGTTCACCTTTGTAAAACCCCAGGACAGGGGCTTGCATATTGCGGTGACTGCAAATATTTGTTGAATGAATTGATTCAACCATAATTTCTTCTTTTGTATTGGTTGCAAAGAAACTTAGGGCTAAATACAGTAACTGTAATAGTCTGTGTTGCTGGTATATGTATTTTCTTTAACAATTCTGATTTTATGTTTTCAATTTCTATTTAAACAATTTCAATTTAAAAAATATGGAAGAAAAATACAAATGTATTTTAATTATAAAACACTCCAAACTCTGAAAACTGGTGTAGGATGTCATAAAATAAAAAACATTTTATTTTCTAGATAATTAAAACCAATATCATCTGACTTCATTTTATAAAATATCTAACAACTTATAAAATTAAGTACATTTTTACTGGAAAAAATATAGCCTTTTTTTTTTTGAAGCATGACCAAACTTTTAGACAGAAAAACAACACAATCAGAAAATATACATATATATACTGGATAAAGAAAAACAAATAGTTGAACTTCATTTTTCTTTTCCATTAGAAGACATGAGGGACACACACACACACATATATACACATATATATGAAAGAAAATGTTGCAAATTTCAAGAGGTGTAAAACATTTGCTATTTAAAAACTTCCCAAAGGACAGTTTAATTTTAGCAATTTAAGACAATGAAAAGCCTGGAAAGCCCTAGCTTTGTGTGTTTGTAAAATTTGTGTTCCCGAATCTTTCTGTGGGTGTAGAGACAGACCTAACTCTAAGCCCAAGTCTTATATTGATGAAGGGAGAATAACATTAAATGGCCTGGTTAGCTCATCTGACAAGTATCCTGTCACTGGGCTTTGAAATGAAGAGATCCAAAGCCCTTTATTCAAAGCTCTGTAATGCCTTGGGTCTCATTAAAGGAGAGAGGGCAGAATAGAGATCCAAATCAAATGCAACCAGAAAGTAATACTGGCAGGGATGATTGAGCAAATTCTTTGGTTTCCTAGTGTTGACTACATTTATGTGCCTTTGAGGATCATGGAATTCACATCTCTGAGCAAGTATGCCACACTCTAGTATACTGCACATATTAGTTTTGTTGAAGGCATTGCTCCCTTCGTTTGCATTTATTGCACGTTTTGGTAATTCACCTCCTGCTGATCCTTGCTGGGATCTCTTTTAACTGATATTAAAAATGAGATACAATTAATTTATTTTAAGATTTAGACTTTCTTTCAAGAAGATCTCCATTTTTATAATCAGAAACATGTGTTCCTGTATTAATAGCTCTTAAAGTAGGCTCAAAGAAAAAACTGAGAGGGATAAATAAGGGTTTTTAATCTATAGTGTTAACTAGATATAAGGCAAAAATGATAGTATGTTAGATCCTTACTTCCCTCAGGTGGGAGAGTCCGTGAATGTGTGTCTAACAAGGGAAGTGGCTGTGACATTAAATGAGCTGTGAGCACACAGCAAAGTTTGAGGGATACGAGTCACACAGTTCCTGTTTTCCCTCCTTGGACAGATTTTAGCATATGAAATAGTAATTAAGAGGACAATGACACATAGACTCTCTATTTGGTTCCTTTTAATTTTTTCCACAGTTTGTGTTCCCAAATTCAGGAAACTGTAAATACTATTGGAAGCTTGGAAATGTTGAGGAACATGACTATTACTTAAATGATTTCTAAAGAGGGTGTATATTGTATTCTAATGAAACCATTAATGAAGACAAATATATCTAAAATTTCTTGAGAATCTTGACGTATGCAATCTATGTTTAACTAGGAATTACAAGCTTCAATTGACATTATCTTTGTTCCTGTCTTATACTTGGATTTCAACAAACATGTATTTTTAAAATTTACTTTTATCTTAAAAGTTTTTCTTTAGAGTTTGCAGGATAAATCTGACACCAAACTAGAAGATCCTGGACTACAATGAGTGACAGAAGAGTTTTCATTTGCATGTATTAAAAATGTATTTTTTTCTTCCTATGCCTAATAAAGCAGTAAGATAGGAAAAAAAAATGCCAATTAAGAACAGTGACACTCAACATTAGAGATAATCTGTTTAAAAAACCAAACCCATATATAAATACTTTTTGGAATAAAAATTCAATTATCAAATCTCTTTGAAATGGGCAAAATGTTAACATGCAATATGAATGACTTTGAGAGATCAGTAGAATCTCTCATGATATTTATTGGAATAACTTTATAAATGCATATATATTTGTATATTGACACTGATCAACTTGAAGAGTTCTTTGTTTCAGGAACAAAATTCTCAGGGAGAGGCTTGATTTTTCAATGAGTACAAAGACGGATGGTTCACTAAAGAAGATATGCATAAATTCTACATTTTTGAAGATTTTTCCAAATGAATTAGTTTGCAAAATAGGAGTAAAGGTATTTTAATTGCAGTTAGTAGCAGTGGCTTATAATACCATCAAAATATAATAATTGTTTATAAAATATATACAATTTAAATTTGTTTTCATTTAAAATTTAAAATATATACAATTAGCCTCAGACTTTTATTTTTCATTATTATCTTTTATTATTTTTGATAATATTTCTGTGGATCAGCATATCACAATGTACATTCTTGGAAACAATACTGCAAAACATGCCACAAAAATGTGTTATCAAACAATTTTGTTAAAAGCTGTGTACTATAAGGAACTATTCATAATTTTATTAGGTATGATTACAGTATTGTAACTTTGTTAAAAAATTGTTGATTTTTTTTCAAGATGCATGCTAAAGTATTTGTGAATGAAATGATAAAATTTTCAGGATTTGCTTCCACATATTATGAAAGTATGGAAAAAGGATAGGGGTGAGGACAGGGCTGGGTTAGCCACGGGTTGGTGTTACTGGGCTTGAATGATGAGTACTTGTGGGTTCAGTAAGCTATAGAACCTACATTTGTGTATTTTACCTTTATTTGAAATTCTCCACAACAAAAAGTAAAATAAATAAATAAAAGATGTATGTCTCTTAAATATTTTATAATGAACATAAGAGCTGTGAGAAGTTCTGGGTAGAAGACCCATTTGTCTGTATGAGCTCTTCCAAACTTACAGATCACTGAACTATTCTTTTCAAGGAACATCTGTAAATTTCTCTCCTGGACGCTTTGGGAATGGCTATACATTGGTAGAACCAATGTTTTTCCATGTATAATTGTCCATGATAATTTCTGTCTTATAGCACATAAAAAATCCATCTACATATTGAAAAACATTAAGATAAAATGTGGAAAATGTTTAAAATATAAATGTTTAAAATATCTTTTTTATTTCCAAATTCTAAGAGATTTCAGATCTCTATATTAACTAATTTTTTAAATTTCATACACATTTATCCTGATGTTAAAGAAAATGAAATTTCAGAAAGAAAGAATAGATGGTAGTATATATTTTAAAAGACAAGAAACAACTCTTTTTGATTGAATATTTACCATAAATCTAGTTATGATTGCTTAATATCTAAATGAAAAGCTCTGCCTAAAAAACTTCACATATCATTATCAACCTATATACTATTTATATATTTTATCCCAAATTTCTATAAAATTTAAGTATCTGTTAAAATTTCAGTTGTATACCCATGAATTATTTCTCACTCTAGAAAAGTTAGATTAGCTAGAGACATTCTTCAAAGTGAAATAATTGTTAAATATGATTTATATTTATATAAAATGCTTTATAATTTTGCATGTCTGAGAAACTACATTTTAGTTTCAAAATAAGTTAAAGAAATTTACTATTAAAAAAACCTATACATACATTTTTAACTTTGCATCTAAATAAAGACAACCTGCATTATTATTTGTAGCTGTCCTTTCTAGCTTTTTAGAGACTAGCAAACTTTTCATTGTTGACTTTTATGAAAATTTAAACAAGAACATTTGCATTTATTATAATATATTGCCAGAAATTGCATTCATTTCCATTGATGCTATTAATTTGATAAATGTTTTGTTATTTGTACTATTTGCACTGTAAAGACAAGCTAATTATATCTTAGTGACATTTTTGACAATTGCTTTAACTCTGGCAAAAACCGTATGTCTTCTTTGCTTCAACAAAAAATTACTCTTGCCTAATGAAAGCTTGAACTAAGCAAGAGAAGGCTAGCACATGTTAGAAGTCTTGCAAGCTTCACTTTGGAATAAGTAGTAAACAACCATTTCCCAGGACTCTCTTTTAATAGAAGAGCTCACATTTTGTAGAAGAAAATATTATGTACCTGCATAATCTGTTCTTGCATAATGCCCATCTTCAGACTTAGTAGTTGTAGTTGTGTTATCTGTGTTAAAAAATTAACAATAAAAATTGATTAACTGCTTCCTAAATATCTAATATCAAACTTATATATTTCCTCCAACAATATCTTCATTGCAATTAAGGAATTTTTACAACTGTAGTTCTAAGCAACCTGCATCATACTAAGACAGATTTACAATGTCAATTTCTGTCTGAGAGCAAATAATAAAATGAAGAGAGCTTTCTAAAGTTTGGGAGAAGAAGAAGATTCACAATTATAACTGAGAAAAATTGGTCAAAGGAGTAACAAAACCTAAGAAAATGCTTGTTTCTGAACAAGAAAGAAAATAGAACATTCTAGTACCTCTTGCTTTTAAAAATGCATTTTAAATATTTGTACTGAATCAATACATAAAAATGAAGTGATTTGCTTTTAGTTTCAAGGATGTCTAATAAATTCTTAGATTCGTTTTAAAAATGTTTTTGAGTTTCTTTTTTCCCTTTGCAAGAAAATTGTCTGCTATCTTGTGAATATTGGCTTCTGTGTTTATGGCATTGTGACAATACAGTTCCATTGTATAGAGACAGATCTGGACGGTTGCTGAGAGCCCCTCAAAATCCTATAATCGACACAAATGCTACAGTAGACTCTACTATCCATTGTAAATAAGCACTGCATTTTGGAAATGGAATAGCTGCCTAATAAGGAGTTTTCTTCACTTTTCATTTTTGCACAAAGACTAAAATCATTCTTTGAAATGAATTTTGGTATGAACATTACCTTGACATCGACCCAAAGACATGACTTCAATTTTCTCCTGTTTCTGACACGATGCTTCTTTGATTTGGCATGCATTATCATAAGATTTCCCATCAGAAGCGCAGAGGGGATTGAAGTTGGTTTGAGAACAGTCAATATTACACACACACCTAAAAAAAGAGAGAAATAAAAACATGTAACATCAATAGTGTTGTTACCACATTATAAATAAAACACAAATGAAAGAATTGCTAAGTTGACAAAATGCAAGTTGGCAAAATTGAATTGTATCCTTCCAGGGAAGTTCCTTCACTTTTCTAACTGAGAAGAAAAGAAACACAGAACTAATGGAAAATAATTCAAACAACTGAGCAATGGATAAAAAATAAAAGGAAAAACTCAAAAATGATCATCAGTTAATTTCTGCCCTGGAACTTTTAAAACATGTACATAAATTTCCATGCTGATATCTGCAGAATATGAATAGGCTGAGGTCATGAAACTCTGCTTTAGAGTTTTCTTAAATTGAATCTTACTCTTCCTTCTTTTCTTGGGATATTTGAATGGTTAAAGCTTGTGGAAAACTGACTCAGAGGACAGTTCAGAGAAAGCAAACAAGTAAATTATTTGGCATGCAATCAGGAGTCGTATTTCTTTGGCATAAATAAGGACGCACATAAAATGTACTAAAAGGACCAATCTTCAATGGTCCTTAACATTTTGGGGGGGCCACAAAACCCTTTGGAAAAATGAAAGCTATAGATCTCTCCCCAGAAATATCCATATTCATATAAACAACCCTTCTGTATAAAATTTCAGGGTTGTCTTGGGCCCCTTTAAGCATATCCTATGAAACCCCTTCCGAGATATACACTACTATTTTTCTACCTCTCATTTTAAATAATAAAATAATAAATACAAGTTGATTGCCACTCATGATGTTAATATTTTTCTATAATCTAAATAAAAATTCAGTGATTTAATGAGAATTAGGTTACCTAAAGAAGAATTAAACATTTTCAAGAAAATTTTATATGATTGTTCCTATATCTTTACACTTCTCTATTTTATTATTCTGAATATTGTGTCTTGTGTGTTTTCTGGTGTATGTGTACAACCATGTTACAGCTTTAGAATATAAACTCATATTTTAAATTTTTATTAATATTTATGTTGTTTTTGTAAATAGATTATATGTTTCTCAAAGTCATGAAGCATACATTTTTACTTCTGTATATTTTACTGAGAGCTAGGCATACAATGGCAAGCAGGTTACTACATGCTAGACTCTCAACATGTATTGCTTTATTTAATCCTCACAACAGCTGTTTTACAGACCAAAGACATTACATAAGGTTAGACACTAGTAAATTGTGGAATAAGGTCCCACTCATAGATTTGTTAAGCTAAAACCCAACCCCCTCTCTCTAATACCACAGACTGTGTTATTAGAATCTCCTGGAGAACTTTTAAGTATACAGATTCATAAGCAGATTTCTGGGCTCCAGTAAATCTAGGGTAGCTTCTAACATTCTATATTCTTAAGTAGTCATCCTGGCACCAGACTCAATTCCTGGGAATCACTGCTTGATCAGTCTGTTGATTGAGAGAGGCTTTGTATACACACCAGTGCATCTCAGAGTGTAGTCCTTAGACCATCTGTGTCAGAATTACCTAGATTGCTGTTTAAAAATGCTGGCAGAAAATGTGCTAATGAACTTACTTATTTATTTATTTATTTTGTAAGAGAATTGCTGTAGGAATGCCTGGTTATTTTTACATTTACCTATTTAGGAACAAATAGCTACAACAGATGGCAACCATCTCTAAACACTTAACTCATTGAGGAGCGGTGTTCCTACCTTAGCTTTGATGTTGCCATGTGATCACAAGCTACTGGAACATGACATTGCTACCTCAGCTGATTCTTGGCATCTGAAAACCTGAGATCAGGAGCTGCCTACATGTTCAAAGAGCTTCTGGTTCTTATAGAGCGGATGTGGATAAGTGACTCTGTAGGCCAAGCCTTAATCATTGTATTAAATAAAAAAGGAGTGAGGAGGTTGACATTTGCATTTTTAAAAAGGTAGTTTCTTTTGCCTTCAAACCAGTTTAGATTCTGACTGTTGTTGTGTTAGACTCTAGGAATTATCTCCTTCAAGGTCTTCTATAAAGTTGTTTGTTAGCAACTGAAAAACAGAAAGGTATGTTCTGTCACTTGTCTACCTAAATGGTAAATTAGATAAGATATTAGGGCTTTGACGGTATATCCAAATTAAGTCCAAAGAAATTTAGAAATGTACACTATATATATATTTTACATTTTTATTAATATTTATGTTTTTGTAAATGTTTTGTAAATAGATTATATATATATACAGTGTACATTTCTAAATGTTTCAGTGAAAAAGTCACATATATATATAGACAGAAAGTAATTGGCAGTTCAGAAACCCATTTGATAGCATGACAAAATGGTGCAAAGGGAATAGAGATGGTGATATAGTTTGTCTGTGTCCCCACCTAAATTTCATCTTGAATTGTAGCTCCCATAATTCCTATGTGTTGTGGGAGCGACCTGGTGGGAGATAATTGAATCATGGGGGCAGGTATTTCCCTTGCTGTTCTCATGATAGTGAATAAGTCTCATGAGATCTGATGGTTTTATAAAGGGAAGTTTCCCTGCACAAGCTCTCTTCTCTTGTCTGCTGCCACACCTTTCACCTTCTGCCATGATTGTGAGGCCTCCCTACCCACGTGGAACTGTGAGTCCATTAAACCTCTTTCTTTTGTAAATTGCCCAGTCTTGGGTATGTCTTTATCAGTAGGGTGAAAACAGACTAATACAGACAGAAAGATAAAATTTGATTGAATTGGACTGGTTAGAATCAGTGTTTCACTGAAAAATTCACTTAAGCTTTAACACCAAATTGAACAATTGTGTGGGATATTTTACAAGATTCTCCAATTGGTGTATTTATTTATTTATTTATTTATTATTTTTCAGTTTGACTAATCTGATTTTGGTCCCACAGCTTTTCTGCTGCTGACATCCTTCCCCCTTTCCTTTCCTAGCATCGCTTGCTCAAGGCCTCCTTTTAAGATTTGTTTCCTCTCAAAATTCCTGGCTCTTGTTGCCTCAAATAAAGCCTTTCATGGAATGGCTAAGAAACAGGTATAGATGGTTGATGTTTTTATTCTCAGCCCAAGAGGAGGACATAGATTCATTCCTTGAGGTGAAAGTTTCCCTGGGATATAAGCTTCAGGAATGCATGGATTATATTGGTCTTTTTCTCAATTGCATATCCTCATCATTAACTTCCATCTTTGCTCCCTACTCTATATACTTGCATATATTAAATAAATGCAAGAGTACATTTTAAAAATACTTCCTGTGACTCTCAGCAATCACTGGAAATTGGAAATCTATGGAGAATATTTTTTTTTTTTTTGTGAATAAGTGGAAGAAACTTCAAAGATTTGCTAAAATGGCTTGAAAACAATAAGCTGGCCGGGCGTGGTGTCTCATGCCTGTAATCCCAGCACCCTGGGAGGCCAAGGTGGGCGGATCACCTGAGTTCAGCAGTTGGAGACCAGCCTGGCCGACACGGTGAAAGGCTGACTCTACTAAAAATACAAAAAGTAGTCAGATGTGCTGTTGGGCACCTGTAATCCCAGCTACTCAGGAGGCTGAGGCAGGAGAATCACTTGAACGGGGGAGGCGGAGGTTGCGGTGAGCTGAGATCCCACCACTACACTCCAGCCTGGGCAACAGAGTGGGACTCTGTTTCAAAAACAAAACAAAACAAAACACAAAAACGATGAAGCTTGGGGAAAAGGAAATGTTGTGACTGGATTACCAAGGACCTACCATTTCTATGTTTCCAAAAGACCAATAAACTCTGATTACATAATCATTATTTACTATATTCCATGTATATATGTCTATTAAGCTTATTCAGTCAGAAAAACATGCAGGATTCCAAGACCATGGTCTGAAACTCTAAGTCCATCTTGATCTCTATTTGCAGTGATTGAATTATCTTTGCAATCCCCAACCCGCCCAATATCTTGCACACATGAAACTTTCAATAACTACATGTTGGATAGCTAAATGAAATGAATGAATACACTAACAATTTTACATTCTTAAAGAAAGGTTGCTATTCTAAAAGTTACTATTACTATGCCCATCTTACAGATAAGAAAATTGAGACTTGGAGAAGTCTCACAGCTTGAAAATCGAAGAGCCTAAATTCAAATTTAGGCAGTCTGATGTCAGAGCCTGCCCTGTTCTACATACTGAAAGTACAAAGAAAGACAGACCCAAACTCCTATCACAGACCCAAATTCCTATCACTCTCTGATTAAAGGAATCCTTTGAGTAAATAGGATTTGAAAACCAAGGCTATGTCTACTCTTGGAATATGTCATGATTTTATGAATTTAAATCATATTGACTCTTGGTCCTTGTCTTCTCAAACAAGCAATCCAGACTTTTTGTGCATCACTGGGATATATCAGTGAATGTTAGTTTTAAGACATTGCAAATTAAAACCTGGTTTTAGAATTAGTAACTAATTTTATGGGCATTAGATTAACCTGACTATCTAAAGCATCAGTTGCTCAAAATATTTTATCCTTAAATAAAATGCTATATAAAGATCCACATGAAAACTAATATTTACACGCAAATACACATACACACAAACACACAAATGTATAGCTCAATGAACTCTACTGAAATTACAAAATTAGAGAGTTTTAGCATTAATTTTTTTCCAGGTGTCTGCTTCAAAACTTTCAAAGAGGAATTTGGGGAAGTTTACATTCATGGGGTAGAGGTGGTTTTGTGTGTTTATATGAGTGAAAAAATTTGTGTGTGTGTGTGGGGGGGGGGCTCACACTCACCTCCATGGTGCATTTACTGCATTGGTAATGCACCTGTTTACTTGTTTATACCTCTACTTTTCTGCAACCTTCTCAAGGGCAAGGTGTTTTACTTACCTTTGACATCCTGGTACCTAGTACAGTGCATTACAAACATCTTCAATAAATGGTTGTTGAATAAATTACTGAGAATGGCAGATGGTGTTGAAAGAGTTGAAAATATTCATTGTGCTATATATTAACACCTAGGAGAGATAACTTTGTGCTACTTGGCAGATGTGGGGTCTCCAAAGGAGAGGGGGTTCCTGAAGAACTAAGGCTCACTGTCCTCCTTTTATTTGTGTTTCCACAGACAAAGGAAACAGGAAACAAACAGTTAGTAATCTTGATGGCATCAAAGTCCAACTGGGGCAAGAAAATGTTTTCACCAGGCAGGCTACTACTTCTCATTTGTGGTATTTGGGTACAGTTTCAGGCACCAATATAATTTGAACATGATAGCAACTTGTCAGTTTATTGCTACATTAAACCACTGAAAAACATAAGGCTCTGATAAAAAGGTGACAGAAGAGCCAGGTTCAGTGGTGTATGCCTGTAGTCCCAGCCACTCAGGAGGCTGAGGCAGAAAGATCACTTGAGGTCAGGAATTTGAGAGCAACCTGGGCAAAATAGTGAGACCCCGTCTCTAAATAAATAATTAAAAATACGTTTTGAAGATTAAAAAAGAAAAAGAAAAAAGGTAGCAATTATCATATAATGTAATGGTGAAACTGCAGGTCACTTTACCAACTTATGTAAATTAATCAAGGGTTTTTCTTTCTGCAGAAATGAAAAGCACACGTTTTTGAAAACAGAAACTATCCCTTCACTGCTTTTGGCAAATAATTGCATTATTATTCATTCTGAGAGGAGTAACTAGTTAATTATAGCATGTCACAAGTATTTTATGTGAGCCAAAGATTTGTAAGGCTGAGGACTGCACGAATGCCTTTAAGGTTTTTTGTGTTTTCTTTTCTTTTCTTCTTCGTTTTTTCAACCTATCTCAGTCTTTTGACATTTTGACACTGCGATTACATAGATCTCTTTTCTTCTAGGCTACAAAGAAAAAGAATCAGCCTTACTCGAAAATAATAATTTCAGGGGTCTGTATGTGGTAATACTACCCTCTGAAAATCCTTCAAAGAAAATTAACATTGACTGAAAACCTTAGCTCTCTGAATTATAAGATAGAAGAGAAATAGGAAATAATTTTTAAAGACCACTTGATGGAGTAAGGAACTTAAATTATAGCAGTAAAAGGTAGCATTTGAGACAACTCACATACATTTGTAACTATCTCATCAATATTTTCGGGGGGTTTGACATTAATTTAATTCCCTGCCTCACTTGAAATGGCTCTTCCAAGGATGATCTGCAATGAGTTAAATAAGCTTCTCTGTGTATTTAGAAGTGCCTTGTCATCTGCCAGAGTGTGAGAATGCAGAACCTGGCAGCTAGCAAATTACATATTCATGTGTCTGGTTTGTGGCTGCCCTCTAATTTCACTAGATTTTGTTTCATCTATTAAACATGGCTGTCACTTATTCCTCTCCCAAGGTCTTTGACTTGGTGTCCATTCCGTATTTTGACCATACAATATTCCTAGTTAGTTTCAAAGCACCCAACTATACCGCAGTGAGGCTGGCTTTCTGGTTGTTTCGGACCTTAACTGTGGTTTTTTTGTTTCTCTTGAGGGTGTCTGTCTCTGGGGCCATTACGCAGACCCTCTCTGGCCTGGCCAGTAAATAAGGTCAGAGCTGCTGTCTGTGATCCCTGTCAGATCTGTAATGGATGAACTGCATTATATTAATAACAGTAAAAACAGTGTGTACCTTTCATTCAAGATGCTTATGATACTTTAAGCCCATTTACTCATTAACTCTCACATCACTCCTTTTGATGGAACTTGATTATAAGTATTTTATCTGTAAGGAAACTGCAGTGCAGGAATGACTGTGAGTTGTGAGAGAAAATGAGGTAAGAGATGTGAAAATGCATTGAAAAATTAAACCCTGTATTCAAAGGGTAGAAAAGCATTAACTGACTGGTAAGGCTAATAAGTCTCCCATGTCATTACTCAGGTCTCAGGTGACTTTTTTTTTTTTTTTTAACTTATAGTGGGCAATCCTTTTAGTTTTGAAATCTAGGAGGAATGAATAATGCCCTTCTCCAGAAACATTACCCAGGACTGCACTCAGGTTTTCCAGGGTGGCCAGGCTCATCTTGCACGTGGAAAAAGCTTAGTTGCCATTAGTATCGATCTCTTTATAAGGATGCAAAACATAGAAGTTGGCCCATTACATGGGGAAGGTCTTGGGAATACTGGTCCTCACTGATCAGAAATAGACTAGGACAACAAATAGCCAATCAGAGGAAAACTGAGCTGCGAAACTCTTGCCCTGGGTGGTCCCAGGACTTCCAAAAAACGGAATCACATTTTGAAGAGAGGGAACTATTGCTGGGAAAGAGACTGATGGCCACATATTGAAATAATGTCTAATTATAATAAAGACAGATGGAGAATGTGACTACAGGTTGGAACTTGGTATTAGACCTCTATTTAATGAGGCTTATTTACTAGCTGGATGGCACTGGGCTACTTCACTTTCCCAAGCTTTAGAATCCTCACCTGTGAAAATGGAGATAATGACTCAAGACTGTAGTCACTAAATGCATATCAACTGCTTAACAAAGTTTCTGAGAAGTTGTAATCAAATACATACTGTCCATCATTAACTTCTGGCTTTCAAATCCTGGATTTCAAATTCTGGATGCAGATCAAAATCTTCTGTGGCATACTTAAAAAAACCAGATGACTGGGTTGCAACTCAGAGATTCTCATTTAGGAGGTCTGGTGTGAGGCCTAGGTAGTCGCTGTTGTCAAAAATGCTACGGGTGATTCTGATGTGCAGACATGGTGAGTTGGAGTTATATTAGATACTCTTTCTCACCCTCTAAGACTAAGAGATTTTCCAGATTTACTGTATATAAGATTTATTGTGACAAATTTTGGTGCAATAATATCTGGAGGGGCATTCAGAAATCAGTATCTTAAAGCAAGTTAGCTCTTTCTGTGGGAGAAGGTTTGCATCCCCTATTGAGAAATCTCAGCTACTCTGACTCCAGCCACATCTTTTTTCCCTTTCCTATTCATTCCATTTTAAGAAATTTAATATTCTTGTTTAATGTACACTATTCAGTGACATGCTTTAAAAGGCTTTATTCATATGGCACATACTCCATGCAATGTGTTTGGTGTCAGATGAGAGGGACAGGTGATTAAACACACTGATCTAAAAAACATCAGTGGCAAAGCTGTCAGCAGAATTAATTTGCCAAGTAAAACCAAGACCAAGTGGCAGAAAAGGGGGTGAAATTATCATGAGGTTCCCCTGTGTCTGGCGCCTTGCTCCTACTTCCTTAAGACTCTTTTGTTTAATGCTCATAAGATAGGGAGGAGGAGGTGGAAAGTGAACTGTCTGGAAAGAAGAGTAGGATTTAGATGAAGAAGAGTGGTGGAGAGAATGCCTGGGGAAATGTATGGAGGAAGACAGTATACAGTGTGCTGGGAGGATCACAGATCAGTCTGATTAGAATGAACTCTTCCCATCCAATGTGGCTGAACACAACGCTCTAGACAGATTGCAAAGGGCCTCAATTCCAGTCCAAGGAGTGACCTTTATCTTCTGGGGAATGAGGAGGCCTGAAAGGTTTTTGAGCACAGTGTGATGAGAAGGTCAACATGATGAAAGCGGTGCTTTAGAAAGATGGCGCTAGCAGTAGAGTGCAGGCAGAGGGACTAGTTCCCAGGCTACTGCTGTTAGGTATAGAGACAAGGAAGGAAAGCCCCAGAGTGAGGCATTCACTATATGGAAGAAAAGGAAGAATCATTAGGGTTTGGTGGCTCGCTACTTAAGGCATATTGTAGTGAAGCACTAAGGCAAAAATGTCACCCCATGTCCTTCCTGCTCTACTCTTTCCTGCTTTTTTCCTGATCTGTACTACGTTCCAAACTAGAAACTTATTATAGGAGCTGCCAAGCTCAGGGAGGGAGGCAGCTGTGTGTGTGACTCAGGAAAGCTTTCTTTCCTCATAGGGAGAGTTTTCTGCCCTCACTATTGGGACAGAAGCAAACAGGCTTCTATCACAACAGTGACAGCATGCAAGCACCCTTAACTACAGCTGAAGGAGAATAATGCCTTGTATTAATGTATACTCTGCCTGGTTCCAGGGTTGATTTAAAATGACTGAAACAAAACCACAGGGGCAGCAGAGACTTATTAACGCCCACTGTGTTAGTGAGCAAACAAGGCTCCTTTCGAGGCAGAAGTTGCTCCCACGTCCCTCTTCAGTGCATATGATAGATGGAAGCAGGATTTAATTCTCCATCCATTGTCATAGGTCACGATTGCCTTTTCCTCAGGATTATTCTTTCTTTTTAGAAGTAGCTGCATTTACATCTTAAAATACTCAAAGCAAACAATTCTTCCTCATGTACGTTTTTAAAAGTATCTTGAAGCAAAATTCCTCATTAGCATCATGTGTATGTGCTTGCTCATTAAGCTGGAAAACATATTCAATAACCAAGGGTAACTTCATGATCACAGAGAAGTGCGGTCGCTCCGACTGGATGGGTCTTTATACACACCTGAGTCAGGAAGCATGAAAACCCCAGAATAAAAAGTTGGAAGGAAAAACAATACAATAAAGTTACTTAAAAAAATCACTTTTGAATCATGTGGTAGACTAGATTCCCACTTGCTGCATTCTGTCATTATCATATTGAACGTTTAAGCACATTCCCAAGCGCCAGGATTCCCACACCCACTTTAGTGATCGGGGTGGCTTCATGTTTGTGTTTTACCAACTGGCCCTCTGTTATGCTTTCACTTGACAAAAGGCTTTTAGGAGTAAATGTGTATGAACATCATTACAGTTTAGATTTCCCACGAAACTGCAATTTCACATCATGCCCTTGGATTTTATCCATGAAAGATAAGAAACAACAGACAAATTACAGCTTTGCATTCTGGTAAAGTTGCTAGTTTGAAAATAATTGGCCACTACATTGTTCAGGTGGCTTTTATTTGTTTGGCTTATGTTTGTTTATCTTATTGTAAGAACACTCATGATAATTATTTTCAGAGAACACAAGGTAGTCCTACCTGGTGATATGGCACATCTCCTTTTATTAGATAATCGAGTCAGTTATAAGATCTTTTGTATTTTCCTTTGGTCTTGGCTCTCAGGGAGCTCAGAGATAAGCAGTGAGTAAGTGTGTGTGATTGTGCGTGTGTGTATATAAAATGAAGGACAGGTGGTATATGAAAACAACAAATCCTCAATTTCACAAGTTTCAATAGATTTTTTCATCTTATGATATAAAGGTAGGAAAATAAGGTGACATTTGTGCACTTGCAACAAATCATCATGGAATTAATTCTTAGTGTTTTTGTAACATGTTATTTCCCAATTGATGTTTGCTAAAGATTATACTGCTATAATTGAGTATAAAAATAAAGTACTAATGAAATCATGCTGGTATTAACTCTTCATAATTAGAACTGATACCAAATGTTTATCCTTCATGATTATATCAATCTTTTACTTACTGATTTTGGGGTCAATTTACTTTAAATTTACTTTAAAAAATAATATTTAATACATATTATACCATGCTATAATAAATATCATATTTGAATGAAGACAAATATAATAGAAATATTTATAGGAGTACTGTACTTGAAACCTGGAAAGAGAAGACGGGAAATATGATTAAGGTAGGAGAACACCTTAATTTTATCTGTAATATTATGGTTCTTAAGATCAAAAGCAAATATGCTAAATGTTTGCATCTGTTCAAATTAGGTGGTAGAGCACAAGTATTATATTACTTTTAATATTTTCAAAACACTGTACTTTATCATTTAAAATAAAAATATTAGTTTTGACATTTTGCTTAAAAATGTTTAAATTATCAACCTTGGTAAATAGTTTTTGCATGATTTTGATCAGGAAAGTTTATTTCTAAGTTGTTTAAACAAACTTTGAAAAAGAAATATGTGCATGGAGACATTCCACTGGACCAAGATAATGTTTCTTTGTAAACAACTATTTGAGTTTGTGTCTGTATAAAAGCGACTTTCAAGCAGAGTTTATCATATGAAGGGAATCATCTCTCTCTTTGTCCTCATCTTATGTGTTTGTCCACTAAAATGTTAAACTCAAAAACACATGGTGGCATTTTAGTTTACAGGCTCAAACCAGCCGTTCCTCACTGACTTCCTGCAGTATTGCCGGTGAGTTCTGATTGCTCCGAGAGAGGACTGTGTGGTCAGAAATAGTTGTGAGCTATTCTGAAACTCTTGCGATGAAGGACTTTAAGTAGAAATATTTCAACATTTTGCCTTGAAATAAAAATGCTTCTGAGTTTCTCAAAAATATTAAGCTTTAAAAAGTAAGAAAGGAAAGGATCTGTGAGTACCCTCCTAGAGTGAACCCCAGGTAAGGTCCTCTGGTCAAAGGTGTTTGGAGGTCTGCAGCTATTACTGCCACTTTTTTTTCCCCCCACTGAGGCATATACCTTTTAGTTTACCATAGATCTCATTTAATTCAATTGAATCACATAAGTGTAGCTGAGCACCTACTTGGTACCAGGTACTAGGCTGAACATCAGAGACAAAGATGATGCTTGTGATTACGGTTGGCAACAGAGATCACAACAGAAGGAGGAAAACAAATATTCATAAAACAGAGTCATCAGAGCTTGGGCTTGTTAGCATGAAAATGTATTTTGCTATCACTGAGCAGTAATAACTACTTACACCTGGCGGGTACAAAAAAGCTTTCACGGAGGATGTGATGCTTAAGCTGGAACTTGGAAAAGGAGTAGAATTTCAGCAGGTGGTCTCCCTGGTGCCTTCTAACAAGAGGACATGTAAATCCTTTCTCCACTGAGGATTTCCCCCTAACAGTGTCATTCTCATCCCAGATAAGTCAAGTAACTCAGAATTGTATTTTAACCTAAATCTATCATTCACTCAAAAGCATTTTTTAGGTACTGATAATGGGCTGAATTCCTCATTGCAAGATTCATGGGTCTATGTATTTTTCACTAAACTGTGTGAAGAAAACGGGTTGGAGATTAAGTGACTATAGCTACAGATAAAGAAGGAACAAAGAACCTAGGAGCATCCACCCCAGGAAGGAAGCATTCCCCAATGATAAAGAGCATAGTTGGAACCCTGGACACTTACAAATCACTGAATAATTTACTGATTGGAAGGACATTAAAGAAATGCTGAAAAATCAAACAGGAATCCTCATTAATCCATTCATTCACTCAACCATTCTATGTGGAGTGGCTACTCTGTGCAAAACACTGTGCTAGGGGTCAGGGAAGGCAGAGGAACTTGCTAAATTCACGTAGCAAAGGATCCAGCAGAGAAGAATCAGCAAAGACTGCAAGGGTGGTAGGAAGACAAGAATGAGCTGGATAAACAATTGATATTATTCTTAAGCCTGAGTGTACAAAATGGTTTTGCTCTTGGCTTCATCTCAGAAGACTTTTTAAGCTGCATAAACAAATGTAGACTTTTCTTTCAATAATAGTAAGTGGATGCTACAGGAATATAATATGTTTTTTTAAATGGGTGTTTTGAATTACTTCTAAGAGGAAATATCATTTTTATGAAACCAACAAGCTATTGACAAACATTAGACTTATCAGTTATTACCTGAAATTTGGCAGTATTTTAATTACTGTAATTTGTTTGGTCAATGTATATATTATATATAGTGTGTAAGAGAGATCTGATTCATCTTTACCCAGTCTAGTCATCCATTTTATACATTGTCAGTCTTCTATTTTAAGCAAGCTCAGTTATAAACTCTAAATTCAAAATATTTTTTATTTTTACATATTATCTTTTTTTTTTGAGACAGCGTCTCGCTCTGTCATCCAGGCTGGAGTGCAGTGGCGCAGTCTCCGCTTACTGCAAGCTCTGCCTCCCAAGTTCTCGCCATTCTCCTGCCTCAGCCTCTCGAGTAGCTGGGACTATAGGCGCCCACGACCTCGCCCGGCCCACCACCAGGCCCGGCTAATTTTTTGTATTTTTAGTAGAGACCAGGGTTCACTGTGTTAGCCAGGATGGTCTCAATCTCCTGACCTCGTGATCCACCCGCCTCGGCCTCCCAAAGTGCTGGGATTACAGGCGTGAGCCACTGCGCCTGGCCTACATATTATCTTTTATCTTGTTTTCAAAATAAATATCTTTAAGTGTCACACTATATATGGACATAGCATAAAACATAAATTCTGTTTAAATAAGTTAGCTTATAGTTGATTACAATTTAAAATCACTGGGTGATAACTTTTGTTGTGTCTCTGAATAGTATGTGTTCTATACCTTTGTCACTGACATAAGGTCTACTGAGACTTGACAGTTATCAGGCAGGCAGATTTGGAGCATGCTTAGATAGATTATCATCACACACATATCAAGGTACAATGGGACCTGGGCCAACAAACCATGCAGGATACTTTCATTATTCATCCAAATGTTGTATTAGCTAGGGGCCCCTTCACAGGAGTTGAAGTTTAAGCTTATGTTTTCCTTGATAAAATGCTAGCCCCTAAATAAATGAACTAGTTTGTTCTCTAATTTAGGATTTTTTTTCCTAATCGGCAAAAGTACTTTTAAAATGTAAAGTTCTAATCAAAAGTAACAGAATATAATTAAAAATATGTAAAATATTTAGAAAGAAATGTGATGACTTTAACTTTGTATCATACTCATAGATTACAGAGTCACTTGGATCACAAAATACTCATTATAATGTTAGGAAAAATTACCAGTATATAAATTGGAATACAAAGGTATAGAAAAATTAGTAAAAATGTATACAAATTAAAAATACTCCTCCTTGATTATAGAAAAACCTAGAGGCTAGTCCACAATTAGGATACTAAGATGCTCAGGATATAAAAAACAGCAAAAGATAAGTCCATATGTATAAATTACCAGGGAAATAAGAGAGTTTCTGAATTGCTCTCCCATTTCTACTTGCCTTTCCTCAAGTCAGTTCATGCTGCAGCTAGGGCAATGCCTTTAAAATGTAAATGAGAATCAGTCCCTTGCTCAAAATCTAGCAAAGGCTTCCTTCCCCTGGACCTTAGAATAAAACTTGTAGTCCTTACCGTGGTTCATGAGGCCCTGTGTGATCCGGCTCTTGACTACCTATGCCATTTTATTTCTGATCAATCTTATACACTCTTTCCGTGCTCCAACCACACTAGACTTTTACTGCTCCTCCAACATGCCACATGCTTCTGCCACCAGCACTTTTCACTTGCTGTTCCCTCTGCCTGGAATGTCCTAATCTCAGATACTTGCATGGCTCAAATATTACTTTTCTAACAAACCTACCCTGAGTGCCCTATCTAACACAGCACCTATTTCCTCTCTGAATCATGGTATATTACATACTTTTTTTTTTTTTTTGAGACAGTCTCGCTCTATCCCCCAGGCTGTAGCGCAGTGGCACAATCTCACTGCACTGTAACCTCCGCCTCCTGGGTTCAAGCGATTCTCATGCCTCAGCCTCCAAGTAGCTGGAATTACAGGCGCCCACCACCATGCCCAGCTAATTTTTCTATTTTTAGTAGAGACAGGGTTTCGCTATGTTGACCAGGCTAGTCTCAAACTCCTGACCTCAGGCGATCCGCCCGCCTTGGCCTCCCAAAGTGCTGGGATTTACAGGCATGAACCACTGCACCTGGCCCATACTTGATTTTTTTAATTGTCTGTTTTCTTCACTAGAATGTACACTTACACATAGAAAGTGACCTTGTCTGCTTTGTTCAGTGTTGTACTCTTCACAACTAGAACAATGGTTGATGCAAAATAGGCACTCAATAAATATTTGTTGAAAAAATGAATAAGTAAATGAATACATTCTGAATTTAAAATATGCTTATATTTCAGTGATCTAGACATAAAGTTTAGATTCAAATTACATGTTAATTAGATCAATGCATATTGTTTTGCTCCAATTATCAAAAAGTATTAGTTCATTTATACATATGATAAATATTTGTTAATTTTTGTTAAATGACTAGCTCATAGTGGATGTGCAATAGATATTTGTTGAATAAATGGAGTACCTACCATGTACAGGTTATTAGACATTTTGGTATTTAATTACCAAACAATGGTCCAAATAGTCCTATTAGGTAGAACAGGTTATTTTAAACATGATGATGAATTTTGTGCCCTAATGATCAGTCTTCAGTAATCAATGTGAACGGTAAAGGTCCCCAGAGTTTGAGAGCCCTAGGCTACATGCAGTGCATACAATTAGCCTTTTCACTATCTATATACATTCTTAGTATTAAAATCCATATTATATAATTTTCATATTTTTTCATTGTCATGCCCAAAATGCTTTAGATTCTCTGTCTGAATCTCCTTATTCTGAACAAAAACTCAATCAGCCTTTTCTTTCAATGGTTAGTTAATCTGTACCAATCTTTGTTGTTAGTATCCTTAAGATCACCTATCCTTCAAAATATGACTCAATATTTATTCCAGAGGTGGAAAATGATTGAAGGTTACTGTCTGCTGTAAGCCTTTCCCAACTGAGCAGTTTCTTCTTTAGGCAATTCAGTATGTGTCTAATTTAAGTAATTTGATCATTTGATTATTCTGATCTGACTTCCGATTATACTTGCATCAAGACATCTATTTCATTTCAAAGATGCAGGGACAGCTACTGAGAAAGCAAATAAACTTGGGCCTGTTTTGGTTGAAACTACTTTCTGTGGGTTCAAAAGTTTAGGTAGAACAAGAGGAAAAATGAGTATCAATGTATTACTTATGCAACTATTATTAAATCATGAACTACAACAGAAGGATGTTAAATATTACATAAATACTTTGAAGTGAAAGATGTTGCCTTTTCACAGGCAATGTTTTTATTTTGACTATGATTTCCAGAGCCTAGTACTCATAAGGCATCTTTGCAGTAAATGTAGTTAATAAGGCAAGCAACTGCAAAGCGGATAATACCTCCCTTTGCATACTTAAAGAGACTTCTTAGGCAGCAATGTTCTTCTGCCTTTCTGATACACATGTTCTGCCTGGGGAGACAGCATGCTGTTAGGTTTGTGCCTAGTTAACATTAGGGATTGGGCTGTATCTTGATATATAAGGTTTAGGCTAAACAAAGATTTATAAAAATTGAATCTAAAGATGATAACTGTGACTTGTCATTGGAATATTTTTATTGACAGAGGGACATTAAAATGGTTCAATGGCATTCTAGAGGCTATCACTGAAGCTTTTTTTTTTTTTTTTTTTTTTTTGCCAGTCTGGTAATGACTAAAATGTATACAGGGTTTTAGATGCTCATTCCAAACTTGGTCCATTCAGCTACATAATCTGCGATATGTGTGCCCCTTTAAAATAATTTATGATTAAAGTCTGCAACTGTGGCTAAATTGCACACATTAGGGTCTACTGTTTTTTAAAGGCTAAAGAATGATTATCATATTCACGATGTTTTTAAACAGCAGAAAGCACAAGCCTTTAAAATATAATACACTTTGAAGTAATTGTATTTAAGCAGTCCACACTAAATAAAAGGGCAACTATATTTTTAAAAGATAATACATATGCAGGAAACAATGGTGACCACTTAATAAGTAGCTGAAAACATTTGAAATGTGACATTTAGGGGAAGGCTCGTTTCTATGAGAAAATACATGTGATTTTACTTGGTATCATATTGTGGAAAGTGGAACCAGAGCTGTCAGGTTACTTAAGAGACTAGGGTCCATTCTCTTTTCTTTGAAGCATAATGCCAGTGTCACAAATGTTGGTGTTGTCTCACTGTATCATAATACAGTGTCATAGTTCAAGCAATCACTGTCAGCCTAAACTAACTAAAAGTATAGGCTTATAGTCTTAGAAAATGATAGAAGTTTTCACAGGACAAGACACTTAAAATGAATGTTGATTAAACATAAGGTCTGTACAGAGATGTATCAATATATCTATTCAATGCCTTGGGTCACACAGAAAGGTACTCACTTTTTGGCCTATAAATTCTAAAGACTACTTTAAACAGAGAACAATGATGGTACCAATATTTGGGGTTGTGGCCATATCATAAGACAGAACTTGCACATGGACCAAAGCTGACAGCATCCCCTGAATTGAGAGATACAATTAACTCTTAAGAAAATCATTAGAAATCAGGGTATAGGGAGCTGAATGGGATGATTTTCATTTTCATTCAACATTGTCTAATTAATTGGTGAATACATGTCTACCTTTCTTTATTAACAAGTCAAAATTAGGTTAGATTGATCAAGGGTCATTTATTTTATAATCTTTTTGGACACTACAGTTTGATCATGGCAACCTAAAACTCTGCAGTAACTATCTGCATAAGGCACTCAATCAAATGACTAATATCATTTTGATCCCATGCCTCATCAACCGAAACATGAGCTGTGAGACACTAATACTGACTCCTGGCTTAAGAAGACCCTGCTCTCAGTAGATGAAATATGCCAAGGATCCTGTGAGTCCATCTTACAGCCTTTCACACTTTCATTCATGTTCTTTTAGCAGCTAGTTATTAGAAGTCCAGTAAAACTGGATGTTTCTCTTTTGCAGCCAAAGAATGAAAATCAGAGTCCAAAAGGTGCTATCCTCAAATGAAATGAGGAAAAAGAAGCTAAGTTGTGTTTTCTTGAGCATTACCAAATATTACATCTTCCAATTGAGTAATAAAGAAGTATGGCAGAAAGCTGTAGAAGAAAAATTGCAAAGCAGAATTTTAGTGTTTTCATTCATTTAGTCATTTACTCAACAGATCTGTGCTGAATATCTAACATGTCGCATCACTGTTTTTTTGGATACAAAGATGGGCAAGACAATACCCTACAATTAAGAGGAAAAGACAAAAAAATTAATTACAGAGTGTTGTTTTAGAGGCAAATGCAAGGCTGCATGATTAACTGAGCTTGGGGTGTGGTGGAGTGTCAAGGTTTCCTAGAGAAGGAATGTAAGTCGAGTAGGACTTGGTCGGGCACAGAAGTGGGAGACAAATCTCCAATATAGAGGAAAGAGTTTATGCCCAAACACAGAGGCATGAAGCCATTGTTTAAGGAGCTACAGGTGGCTTGGTAGAGCTGGAGGTTCCCATGCACTGGGGAGAGGAGTGCAGTGAGGCTGGAGAGGCAGGTGGGGCCAGGTCATGCAGCAGGTATATGACCTGCTAAGGACTTTGAAATTAACCATGTGGTAGGTGTATGAACTGCTAAGGACCTTGAAGACACAGGGAGCTTTGAAGAATGGGAGCAGAAGAATGACAGAGAGAGTTGCCTATTTTAGAAGTACCCTCTGTCAGGAGGAATAGGAATCGATTGGAGAGATTGAGACAGGAAGCAGGGAGACCAATTCAAAAGCCATATATCAATATAGTGGAGAAATGTGGAGGCCTGGATTAACTATCTCATTATGCCTTTTGGCAGCACTCACCATAGATGAACATTCTATTCTTTTTCTCACTTGTTGTGTTACCACTCTCGCTGGTTTTCCTTGTACCTCTCTTTCCCCCTTCTCAGCCTGTTTAATATCTCTTTTTATCTTTCATGCTTTATAGGTTGGTGTTCTTTAAAGCTCAGTCCTAATTCCCCTTTTTCTCTCTTTGCAGTTTCTCTATAGGCAGTCTCTTCAATTCAGTCTGATACGTTCAAATTTATTTCTCCAGGCCAGAATCCATTAGAACCCAACCACTAGAATTCAACTGCCTGCTTCATATATCCACTTGGGTGTCTCATAGGCACCATAAACTAACATTAAAAATTAAACACTTGTTCTTTTCTCAGAAATTTGCTTCTACTTGAGTTGACCCTCCTCAGTAATTGGCATCTACATCCACCTAGGCAAGTTAGAAGCCTATGAGCCAGAGTTGATATATCCTTTCTTACCTCTCACTGTAATCTTTCACCTCTTTACCCTCACTTTCTCCACTGTTACCTCAGGTGACAAGCTTATCAAAGATAACAAGCCTTTGGCTTGTTGATGGAGTCACAGCAAGAGATTGGAGGGGAGGGGGAGAATTTGTACCATTTGATTCTATGAGGATGATAAATTCTACTGGAGTCTGTAAGAATGCAAGCCTTGTTAGAGGCAGTTTTTGTTTATCTGAGTCTCAGATTTCTATTCTCTCTCAATAAACAAATATTCTTTCTAATTGGCAAACTCACTTGAGATAGCCAGGAGGAAAAACTATCTAGCTGTGTTAGAATTTCTATACATCACAGAGTGAGAGGTAAAGGGCTTCAACGTTTCCTCTTTGCTTTTAGCTTATCCTTATTATATTAAATTTCTTTTTTTACCCTTACATATTGAGACACCATAAATAACCACTTCCCGATTCTCCTTCCTTCTCAATTTTGCAAACATTTTTCACTTATTCATACGCTTTAATCATTTAGAGTACTTGATTTTCTTCCCCTCATTTTATTTTATTCAACCATTACTTAAAAGAGGATTTGACTGACTTCATCCTATTGAATTGGTGTCCTGTAGCTTGGCAATGCTGGGTGGGGATCAGCTGGAAATAGTGCTAGACTAAATCTCCTCTCCTCCTTCTTCCCCTCTTGCTCTTCCCCATCCAAATCCCCTGATGATATTCACTTGAAATTTTGATCCAATATATTTTCAGGCAGCAAAAGTATAATTATTTAAACATTTTAAATTCGTGAATTTGAGAATCTCATGTATTAACTGGCAAAATTATAGTTTTTCCATGAAATTAGGCAATTTTTTGTCCACTTGTATTTTTTTCAAGGTAGCAAAATAACTTTGCTACATTTATGTAGTAGCCAGGATATGCTGAGATCTTATTCTTAATTTGCTGTACTTATGTGATCAAATAAATTCCTTCTAGCCACAATCATATTAATATTATTATACAATATTATTATTCTCAATTACACACATTCAGACAACATCTACTGTAATGCTTGGTGTTTAAAGAAAAATCTTCTTAGAAATAATTTTACATTTTGTACATATCTATTATAAATAAAACGAATAAATAAAAGTAAATAAATAGTTGCTATTTTTCTATTAGACTGCCACTATCGCAATATATTATGTTGAATGTGTTCTTTTTTATGTTAATCATCACATGCCATCTATTTGATTTCAGTAAAAGAGTAGAAGTAGGCTATTTTTTTTTAACTTGTACTATCAGAACTCTTAAAACATAAAAGATGGTAATAAATTACTCAATACATCTTCATTAGAATCATTATTGAGAAGTATTATAAATATTTTTAGTTAGATAAGTTATACAAAATTTGTTATTTCAGCTCACAGTGCCCTCAAACATATAAATAAGTAGTTGCTGATCTCACTTTGGCTAAACAATTTAAATAACAAAAAAAATAAAGCCACATTGCATACCAGGAAATTGACTTAATTCTGAGCTTAAGGAAGGAAAAGATAACTCTACTATAATGGATGCACATTTAGAAAAAATAATGTTAATGTAAAAATAGCTTTGAAAATTTGTTTTTAGAATTGCTTCCTTCCTCTGAAATGATGATTATAACATGCACAAAATATTACATTTTTAAATGTTGTCTTTTTTTTTTCTTTTTCAGGGTCCTTGTATTTTGCATTGGCTTTTCCTGATGATATATTAAAGTTTGCACATTTTTCTTTACTAAGAATAAAGGGCATTGAAAAGGTGCTGGATGGTGATTCAATAGGACAGGCGCGGTTAATCAAATAATTAGAATAATATGTAAACTATGTTCAAAATGATTAGAACACTACATGGAGAATTGGTTTTGGATGATGAGAATTATTTTAAAGGCCTTGAGGTTTCATAATGTGAAAATTTTACTGCAGTTATACTATTTTTCTTTGCTCACATAGATAAAGTGTTCTCTTTCAGAAATGTGTCTGAGCAGATACACACACTAAAATAGTAGGTTTCATACTATGCTTCTAGGAAACCATTCTGTTGGGAGCACAACCAAGATGTTCTGCCACTAAAATAAAATAATAACAGCTTTTTTCCAGGCTCTGAGGAAAACAAGCTAAAAAAGAAATTGTTCTGAATTGTAAGTTTTTCTTCCCTACCCTCTTTTCCCTAGTATTGTTGGTTCTTCAATTTGCCTAGTGGCATGTGCTGCTAAATTTGACAAAATGAATGAACCAAGAATATGTAAGAAGCAAGGCAAATCTTACATATGTTAATTCTCAAATATATGTTATGAATCATTACTTTTTATGTGTAGAGACTTGCATACATATAAAAAGTCATATTTCTGCAGGTGAATTTCCTTCTAATTCAGTTCAATTAAAATGTCGTTATTTCATGAACATTTTCACCAAATATCAAGATTTTCAGGTGCTCAAGCACTTAAACATGACTGCAAACCACTGAATTATAATGCTAAATTTACTCATTTTATATATATGTATATACTTAGTATAAATTGCAATCCAGATATTTTCAACTATATTTGAGAATCAGGAGTAAGTATGATGATTATATCTTATATCATTTGAGCTCATGAATTTCTCTGAAATAGCAAAGAAAATACAAATAAGTTAGAAAATGGATTAGCCCATCTCTGTGTTGGGAAAGTTATTTTCAAAAAGTGTTATGGTAAGGGATACTATTAATGGCTGCATATCTAATTTAACTTGAGACCTTGAAGATGGTCTCTAGTTTGCATTCCATTAAAAGTTTTTAATAAGATTTCAACAAAAATAATAGTAAAAGCATTCCATTTCACCTTTGCTTCTCCTTAACAATTCAAAGTATCAATTATAATATAACCTTCATTTGACTTGCAACCATCTCTGTGTCTGTGCTTTCAACAGCATATTGAATTGTATGCTAATACTTTAAGGGCAAAATACATTTCTTGTTTTACTTTTGAACTTTTGTTCCATTTTAAAGTGACCTCTCAAATGTGTAATACTCAACAACACTTTATCTATTTAATAGTTTTTCTTAAGCATTGATCATTCAGAGTAGTTTGAAAAGCATATTAAAAAGTTTAAGAATACCTAGTCCTCCCTTACATCTTAAAGAGAGACTGTATCTTTGCAAGCACAGGTGTTGTCTTTCTTTTTAAATTCTCACACCAATACTACTCTGGGGTTGAGGACACTTACTTACTCAATTTTCTTTGATTTTACCAGTCACTTTCCTAGGAGAACTGATCACAGGGCTCTTAGAAGAACTAGGCTGAAGCAGAACATCAAAGAAAGAAAATAGAATTTTGATTATTGAAGGTTCCAGAGTACTTTCTCCCTTTAGATAAGTATAGAAATTAAGAAAGGGAATAGAATAAAATTTGAAAAAGTAAGAAAAATGAGAAGATATAGAAAATGAGAAGATATAGAAAAAGACAAAGGGTGAAACAGACACAAGAGAATTATCTTTCAAAGCAGACTCTACCATTCCTCCTAGGTACTGATTTTGTGGTATGTGTGGGCCCCAAACTGAAAGAACAGAGACCATAGTAAACCTGAGAGCAATTTAAAGAATAACGTGGCTAGAACCAAAGTGGAAAGAAGAGATAGAAAGGTAGTGTGATAGAATAACATGCAGGACTCCATGTGCCATAACTAAGTGACAAGACGCAAGCAAAAGTGTGAATTTGAGAACTGCCCCCAAGAGCATCATAGTACATGGTAACATTGGGCTGTGGAGAAGAACTTCAAACTGAAAAGGAGCAGGGGCAGATGGAGGTGTGGGAAATCTAAGGAATTTTGAAAATCTGTGTGAGCTGAAGTAAGGAGGATAGATGTCTTCGGATACGAAAAAAGCAAATACAGGAACTAAGTCCTTAGCTCATAGCTTAGTTCTTTCATAATTCAGTTGCCATTGTTCCATTGTTGCCTGGAATTAAGATTTGTAGAAGAGAAGCCTGAGGTCATTCTCATTTTTGTTCCTTTGTAGGTATCTAAGTTGCAACTGCATTTCACAGAAATCCTCTTGTGCACGGTTTTGGGTTAGTGTTGGCCATAAGAGAATTGTCTGGAAGTGAAGCTATACCCATTAGTCTCTGCACATCTATGGAGGGTGCCAGGTGCACCTGCTGATCACACTGATCACTGCTGATCTGTTGCTGCCTCAAGTTGTTGGTGTGGGGCAGCAGGGAGGCCTGCAGCATCTCAAGCTCCCACTAGATCTCCTCCATAAGCCTCTCTGAGTCCAAACCCAGGTGGGTGTGCAGCTTCATAGTAAAGGTTTCATCTTCTACAGGTCATCCTCATCATTGAAGTTGAAGGCTAGGAGAGAGAGATATGTGGTCCAGTTTGTCCTTGCATGTTCTGGTTTGTCCTTGACTCACATTCAACTTTTCTTCCTGATTAATAACCCTGTTAGTCTATAGTGACTTTGGGACCAACTCAACATGCAGAGGCAACCCCCTACCATGTTCTACTTTATTACTTTAGCAGCTCTCACAAATGTGTAGGGGCTTATTCTCATGAAACATCCCTAATTTTGTAACATTAGTAGTGGCTTTGTTTCTTTGGTAGAACCCTTCTGATAGAGGAAGCAAAGTGTTTCTTTGTACCTGGATATTTGTCAGTTTTTCTTCTCTGTCTTTATAATTAAAATCTTATTTTATGATATATCTTGGAGTGGGCATCTATTCACTAATTCACTGATTTTGCCTGAGATTTTTTCTTTTAATCTGCACTGAGTTTTTGTTTTTTGGATTTACTTGGACTCAGGAAAGCAGTTTTTGAGTCATCTCTTTAGTTTCAATTGTTTATCAATAATAATAATACTTACTCTTTATTGGATGTTTAC
Organism: Homo sapiens; assembly: GCF_000001405.40. NCBI lineage: Eukaryota > Metazoa > Chordata > Mammalia > Primates > Hominidae > Homo > Homo sapiens. The sequence continues at coordinate 192,022,838 of NC_000002.12, forward strand.
TACTTGCCAGGAGCTGTGCTAAGTGCTTTCTAGATAAATTACATTCTTTATCTTATTACAATAAGCTTATGAAGTAAGTATCTCCCAATCAGTCACACTAAGTATTATGTTTGATTTCCTTTTGTTATGAAGTATGGAAGATAGAAAAGACATTGAAGATTTTTTTATCTTTTTTTTTACTTGCTTATTCATCTTTGAATAAGTCCTGATTTACCTAAACCTAGTTTGCCAATATGCAAGTTGTACGGATTGTGATTTATGCTATTTTCTGTTTTCTTGCACACTGGCCATATTCCCTTATTTGTCTATGTTGGCAGGTTGATGGACAAAGTTCTTAGTTCAAAGCCGAGTGCCTAGGCTTTTATCTAAAATGGCTGACCTTTGCCCTCTAAGACATGAATAGATTGAGTACACACAAATCTATAATCATGGATATTTTCAACATCCATGACTCTGCCTATATTCTCTACCTCTTCTGCCTGTAGCATTTTTTTCTTGTGGGAACTACATCAACACCAGGTACTTCCTATTTCTATGTCATGCCTAATTATACGCTAGGAACTGTAATTTCTGCCTGAGTTTTGAGAGAGAGGTGACAACTCATGGGAAACAGAAAGGTGATGACAGTATTATTTTTTTCTCCAAAAGCAACATCAATCTATAAAGGAAAGGCTGCACAGTTTTTGATTGGTTTGTCCTTATGTTCTTCAAAATAGGCTGGAGGTAGGGGTGGGCACTCTTTGTTTCTGCAGACAAAGAAATGGAGGGTGTTGATTAAATTTTTAAGTCCAGTTTTATTGGCTTTGCACTTATGCTAATTTGACTTTTTCATATCTCTGTCTGTCTGTTTGTTTATCTTCTATCTATGTTTCTATTTATTAGTTGGGAAAATTTCATTAGGTCTGCTAGTCAGACACAGAATTAAACTGGGAGAGCTTTCCTCTCATCACCTCTATAGCTCCTTTTTAGTGATATGTCTATTATCCTTAGATCACCTGACTTGGGGGCAGACTATACTCATTGGATGAAGGTTTAGCAACTTTCATTGAGTAAAGATAATCACAAGCTTCAAAGTGATTAAAAGGCATGCTAAAGAAAGATTAACACTAAATAGAGTGTTTCTTCTGGAATTCTGTGAAAGAACACTGCCAAGGGGACAGTTTGGGGATGAATGTGTGACAAATTCACAGATATTCCTTGTGACAGTCACAAATCTCCTATGCATATCTTTATGATTGCTAAGGCACAATATTCCCATATTTCTCTATTCATGTGATAATTTTGAATGTATTTCCCATAGATGAGGGTTTTCCATAGTTGATTTATCATAAATACTAAAATAGAATTATATTTTATGGATACTTCCCACTCTTCATTCTACTATAAGCTGCATTAAGTCAACACAAGCTGTATTAGGCCAACACATTATTTCAATTTATATATAGCATAAAATTGTATATTGTAAAAAATTCAGGAGTGCCCTTCAGTATTTTGTTCTTTTTGTTTTGCTTTTAAAAATATGATGGATTCTTGTTCTTTCATAAGCAGAAAGAGAGAAGCTTTACAATTTATCAAAGTAAGTGAAATGCTTCCTTATGTTAGCATGGTATAGAATAGAGCTGTGTCAGGCATGTGGAGAACACTGGTAGTTCCTGAATGAATTTAAAAACAATTATTCTACAGTAAAATTTTAAAATTTGAGTTAGAATTCACCTATTTTAAGTGTGCATAGCAGGCACATTTTCTAATAATGGAGACACGTTTTAAAATATATACTCGCGGAGTACATATATGGTTGGTGTTTCATGAGAGTTTTTCCCCATTAAGGGATAAGGAAGATGAATGCCAGAATTTTACTTTTTTAAGCACTTTATTTGGAGTCTAGCCTCGGCTTTATTTATCAATCGTCCAATGACTTTTGCAAAAACATTTTAAATTAAGCATCTATTTCTATGTCAATGACTGTTGAAATGCTGTAGCATGAAAGTCAACATAGACTGGACTATGAGAAGAATAATTCTGCCACCTCTTTATGCAGCAGAGTTTTCTAAATTAAGTTCATTGCATGGATAATTTCCTATAACCACAGGGAGCCAGAGTTGGCTGGTTGGCCAGGAGAAAATTAACGAAAAGCAGAGAGGCCCGAACAAAGAGGGAATGAATGAGGTATACTGTTGCCTATTATAAAGGAAATAGACTAATGCCAAGATGAAGGGAGGTGATCAGAAGTTTACTCACTCAGGACTAAGTAATGATCCGAGGGAAATGCATGGTAGTTAGTGAGGAATCCAGACTTCAAGCTATATCAAGCATTGTGTTGGTGATGGACAGAGTGCCTATGGTTGTTTTGTTTGAATGATGCCCACTTTTCTAGGACTGTTAATGGTGTGTTCAATTTCAATTTAAAGCATTTCTATTGAGCTTTTGAATTATTGATCGGGGATGATGAAGGATGAGCCTACAACCAAGTGTGAAGTTACTGGTTAAGCTGATGCTGGGTAAGGTCTTATCTGAGGCAAAAATTCAGCTAACAGAAGGGTTTTTTTTTTTTTTAATTTAATGATATAGCGTTCTTGTTAAAAACCAAAAACCCAAACTTGCTTCATAAGAAGACATGGAAAACAGCACAGTTCAAATCTAAGAAGTTGGTGCAACTCTCACTTAGGCATCACTTATAAAGTGTAGAAATTGTTTTCTGTGTAGCAAAAAGCAAAATTTCTGCTTCAGCATATTATCGTGGGGTATAAAATTCAGTACTTGCATTTTCTATGGGAAGAGATCTGTAGATGTGCCATAATAATAAAAAACTCTGTCTGGAAGCAATATGTTGATTTTTCGGCATATGTCTTTTTAAATTGGAAGATTTAGAATTGCATAAACAGATTCCTGGTGCTTCCTTCCTATTTAGGTGTGGTACTATTCTAAAATGAAGCAGGATATGGGATGGGTGCTAGCTCGAGGGGGCCTGATCCACAAGGGGGAGATACAATGTCTGAATGCAGGGCACAGATACAGCACAGCTGCTTTTGCCGCTTAATACAAAGAGAAAAATACATCCCTGACTGAACTATTTAACCAACACATTTATTTCTAAACTGCGGAGTTGACTTGTTGCTTGGTTATTCATACATTCTTACATAAAACATGATAAAAAGACAATGCATTTATTGCTAACATGCTGGGAAGAAAATGGTAAAGAAAAAAAATACAATTCATTGCTTGTGAACTCCTGCCCCTGTGCGCCCCTCCCCACCCTAAGCCCCCAAGTGGCTTTCACTTTTGCTCAGTTCACAGTATCATAAACCTGAAACAATAAATGTCAATCCTCTCTTGATCACACATTAGCCCAATAGGCGTTTTATTTTAACTAAACAGGCCACCAGTCACTTGGCTGCCAGACCTTCCTGGAGTTGCTCCTTAGGGTACAGAGTGCTTTGTTTTACTTAGGCATGGGAAGTGGAGGGAAAGCTCAAGTGTAAAGACAAAGGTGAAGGGAGGCATAACCCTATAGCAGCTCACTGTGGGTACTTTCCTGCTGTAATAGACGACTGTGTGTCAATGCACATTAATATTTGATGCGCATCATCGTTATCATCCTTTATGTGCCCTTTCACAATATTGTGAAGCAGCAAGGTTGCTTCAGACAAGGATTTATGTGGCCAAGTGCAGTGGCTTTTACTTGTTGAAATTAGCACACATCCTGTCCTTACAACGTCAAAAGGGATGCTTCTGTTTATATTGAATAAACAGGCAGAGGTTGAGTCCAGCCTTTTTTTAAAACACTGTATTATCTTGAGTGCATAAACAAGACTGACAAAACAGTTTTTCTTAAATGGCACACTGATGCATTCTGTATTCTGCTACTTGGAAACAAAGACTTAGCTTCTGTCATTATAAAAGACCCTTGAAACAGATCTAGAAGTGAAAGCTTATGCATTGTGGGATAGACCGAAGAAGAAAACTGAAGAAAATGCTTAGATCTACAAAGACTTCTGTTCATTTTTATTTTCTTTTTCTGAAAATTGAATACAAGCACTGGGAAGCATTATTTGCTCACACAATGCCTGACCACATGTGCAAGCCATTAAAAGGGCGTAGCTCCCCTGCCATTTTGATGCAGTCCAAAATAAAAATATAAATGCCAATGGAACAGTTTCTCCAGATATTCTCCAGCTGTCCCTTGTATCATTAATTTTCTTTTCAAGTACAATAATTCACCCCTAACAATAACTTAAATAAGATTTTTTAAGAGGTCAGAAAAAATCCATGTTTAGAGGGGGGACAGTTCATGACAAGGGGGAATAAAGAGAAATCAGTATATGTGGCTTGTGCAAAAATAAGGATCTGAAATAATAACGACAGTCTTAATCTTGCAATATTTGAGGAAAATATTAAGGTCAACTTCTCATTATGGTAATTTTTCACGAAGACTGATTACCAGAATTTAAATCAAAGTTCCACTGCATCATTAATTCACTTATTCATTCATTCCAAAAGCATGTATTCAGTCCTTGCTTTGTGTTGTATATTACATATGATAAAGGCATGTCAGGATATATATCAGAGAGGAGCGCTATCCTTAAGGAGATTATCACATAGAACAGTATACAAAATAATATGTACATGAGTAACTATATAGAGAGTATACGAAAGAAAAGAACAAGTCAAAACAGAAAGATGATGTTGGATGTGGCAGCAACATCTAAAATGGTCCTCAAGGGTCTTGCCTCCTGGTATTCATGCCCTTGTGTAATGCCCTACCCTTGAGTGTGGGCTGTAACTAGTAACTATTCTTGTAAAACAGGAGAAGTGATGGGCAGGGCTGGCTTTACAGGCATGTGGCCAGTGCACACAGGGCACACAGAGTCCTGAACTTGGTTTAATGTTCTGTTGTCATCAACTTGATATTCTTAATCATTTTAGCTTTGAATTTTGTAAATGAAGTCAAGTGAGACAATGGATCAGAGCATGAGCTCCATGAGCTGTGTTCAATATGTGTGTCTGCCTCCTCCCCTTGCCACCTTGTTCACATAGATGGTTCTCAGTGCCTCATGAGCGCAGGATTCTGGTGACCCCATGAGTCATGGGAACTCGTGAGACTCAAAGCAAGTACAAGGTAAGTGCTGTTATGGTTTGGCTGTGTCCCCACCCAAATCTCATCTTGAATTTAACTCCCGTAATTCTCCTGTGGGAGGAACCTAGTGGGAGTGATTGAATTATGGGGGGGGGGGGGGTCTTTCTTGCACTGTTCTTGTGATAGTGAATGAGTCTCATGAGATCTGATGGTTTTAAAAATGGAAGTTTCCCTGCACAAGCTCTCTTTTTGCCTGCTACCATGCATGTAAGAGGTGACTTGCTCCTCCTTGCCTTCTGCCATGATTGTGAGGCTTCCCCAGCCATGTGGGACTGTAAGTCCATTAAACCTCTTTCTTTTGTAAATTGCCCAGTCTTGGGTATGTCTTTATCAGCAGTGTGAAAACAGACTAATACAAGTGCATTACTTCTATGAGTAAGTAAGGAGGAAGCAGATTGCCCCAACAAGATGCCTCTTTTGTTCAAACCAGAGCTTGTTTATCACAGAGAAAGATGGCAATAATGTCCTGAGAAATACGAATGACCAAGGAACGCTATCATACTGTTTTGTGTGTGTGTGTGTGTGTGTGTGTGTGACTTCCCTGGATGTGTGGAAGTTGACTTCCCTGGATTAGCCAACCATTTATACTGAAAATTATGACACTGGTGGAAAAAGACAGGGCAGACTGTATTTTCTTTTCCTTTCAGTCATTTCTTATCAGCAAGCAAAGGTAGGCAGAGTTGGTAGAATGCGTGAGCATCATGATGTGCAATAAAAACAGTTAAATTCGTTTTGTGTAAGTTTCCACTATTCTTGTAAGAATGAAATACACATGAATGTATAAGCTATGAGATACAAATTGTGTAATTTTGGTGATTCTATATAAAAATTAGATGCTCTTATATTTGCATCTAAACCTGGCATAGTACAATATAAAAATGAATGGTAAAATTATGCTAATTATTTAAAATTTTAACCTTTCTCTACTCAGAATGACAAAGCAAGTAAAAATCACCATAGGAAGTCAAGAAAAAGACACCAACAGAAGAAAGAAAAAACCCTTTAAGGGAACTTCTTCCTGCTTTTTGAACTAGGGACTTCACATATTTCTTTTGCATTGGGCCCCACAAATAACAGGCCACAATGATGCTATGTTGCTTCCAAGACTAGATTATAAAAATAATACTCTGGCATCCACCTCTTCTCCCCCTCCCCCCACGTCCATTCTCTACCTACCATCTCTTTCTTAGGGGTTGGGGGAAGGGAGGGAATTTCAGCCATTTTGTCAAGACACCTTGGCCAACAACCACCAAGAGCCTGAGTATTGCCAGCAGACGCATGAGTGAGCTTGCAAGTGGATCTTCCCCCTGCTGAGCCTTGAGAGAACTGCAGCCCTGGCTGACATCTTGATTGCAGTTGTAGGAGGAACCCTAAGTCAGAAGCACAGCTAAGCCACACCCAGATTCCCAACCCACATAAACTCTGAGGTATAAACATTGTTGTTTTAAGCTGCTAAATTGTAGGATGATTTGTAATGCAGCAATAGAAAAGGAATACATTGAGATTCAGTGGAATGACAGCTTCCTCCCAAGGACTGAGGAAGAGTCCTCTGACCTAAATCTTTTAGGATGAGCATTTCGTGATGGAGGAAGTGGCATCACAGGTAGAAGATGCTACGTAATCTAGGCCAGGACAACATTTCCCAAACCACTTTCTCACAGAACCCCATCATAATCTTAAAAATTATTGGAAGACCCCAAAGAGCTTTTATTTATGCATTCTATACATATTGATATTTATCATATTAGAAAATGCAATTGAGGCATTTAAAATTTGTATTTATCGATGGATTTAGAAACAATAACATACCCATTGCATGTTGAGATAGATAACATTTTTAAAAAAATGAATATGCTTTCTAAAAATAAATTCAGTGAGAAGAATGGCACTGTGTACATTTTTGAAAACCCCTTTAATCCTTGGCTTAATACAACAAAGCTGGATTCTATACCTGCTTCTTCATTGAATCTGTTGAAGAGCACATATCAAGTAGCCTCTGGAAAACTCCACTGTGCATTTGTGTAAGAATGAGAATAAAAAAGGCAAATAATATCTTAGTCGCTGGACCACACATTGAGACAAACCGATCTAGGGCATGGAGATGAGAGAGTCCAGAGCACATACTGACTAAACCATGTTGAAGAAGGAAAAATAAGGTTATTCTCAGAAGGCTTGCATATCATAGTCAATAGTTTATTCAGTAGAGGATTTGGCAGACATTATTTGCTGCCCATCCAAAAGCCATTTCTGCTCCCTTTCTTCCTTGCTAAAGAATCCTTGAATCTGTTCAGATATTAGAAGGTCATGAGTTGAGGGAAAGCATGTTGATTGGTGTTCCCTTTCCCATGATTGCTATAAGCACACATATGTGACACAACCATGGTGATGAAAAGAAATCAGCTGTGGTTGGTGGTGATAGCAAAGTGTAAGCTTTCATTGATACAGAGGCTTACTCATTTCTGCCTTTGGTTATTGTGCTGCTTCTGCTTGCTGTAGCCTTCCTGTTTCAATGATGAGAAGGCCAAAGGAATCTGTGAGCTGACCCAGAGCCCGCATGTTGTTGACAAGCCACAGAGTTGCCCAACCTCTTTTATTGTTATTTTGATTCAGGGAATTCCTGAAGATTCTGAAATTGTGAACTGACAAGCCCATGGATGTCTACAAAGAGTGAACTGATCACTGTGGGCTGGCCTTTGAGGCATCAGTGAGGTGATTATTAAGATAGTCAAGTTAAAGGTACTATGGGTCTGAACTACACTGGTGTCAACAGAAACAAAAAGAATACAGTAAATGTGAAAGAACTGTGGAGATAAATTTTTAGGACTTAGCAGCTGAGTAGATGGACATTGGCATGCACGGACAGGGGAACAGAAGGCAAGCATCAGCAATGGCATGGTTAATTCTTCGCCTGCATGATTAGAAGAATAGAACAGAAATACTGCAGGTTGGGCGGGGCGGGGAGTTGATGGGTTAAATTGGGACATACAGAGTCAAGAAACAGATACCTAAAATAGAGTGCATGTGGTTGGTGCTTACATAAATGTTTGCTGTGATCTGGGACAGAAATGATCTGATAGTCATAGGGTTTGTTTCCTCATCTCCTTCACATTTTTACTAAAATATTGCTGCCTTAGGAAAGCCTTCCTTGGTCATCCTATCTGAAATTGCAATATTCATGACCTACTTCCTTAACACTCTTGTCCAATATATCCTAATAAGTCCTGTGTCACTTCTACACTATTTTTTTACCTGAGCATTTATTTATATTAAACTACATATATGCTTACTTATTTATCATGTTTTCCTAATAGAAGGTAAGCTCAATAATGGAACTTTTTATCTGTTTTGCTCACTTTGTAGCTCCAGTGCCTGGGACAATGCCTGACACTTAGCAGACAGTCAGTGAATGTGTTATATAAATGAATGAATACTTGGAGCGTGAGAATCAGAGCGGCAAAAATATTTGTCCATAATATGCCTAAAGATAAAAACGGAAGCCTCAGAACTAGATAAGTGCATTGTAATTGAATGCTGAATTCACAGAGATAACATCTGAGATTTATTAAGCATCAAGTCATGTCTTAAAAATTTTATATACATTTTAGGATTTAACTCTTATAAAAATCCTGTGGGTAAGTACTGTTGTCTCTCCCACTTTACAGGTAGAGAGGCTGAGGTTCAGAGAGATTAGGTAACTCAACTAAGGTCAAAAAGTTGGTCAGGGAGCTGGGCCTTTATATAAAACACCAAAATGAGCCCTTGTGTAGAACCCTTGAGAGAGATTTTAATCTAATGGCTGCAATTTTAAATTGTGTTCAGTTGTGGTATGTAGTTTTTCAAGGAAGATGACCCACAGCCTTTCTTGCTTTCTGGCTTTGGAAAAGGTAGAGATGACCACTTAAACATTCAAGGAAAATAATCCCTGACTTTGAAATCAGAAGATCATTCAGATAATATACTTACTTATAATCATCCTCTCTAATGTCTGACTAAAGCAAGAGTAAAAGATTGACTGAACAGCAACAAATACTTTAACAGTTAAAAATAAAATTGATTGGTCTGTTGGAAACACAAAGCACTTTTAGCCCCATTGGTTTTCTACCTGAAACCAGAGTGAAGTGACCTGAAGGATCTCATAAGATATATAAGACCAGCAACTATAGGAAAGATGATACTTTTCTTGAAGTCATATATTGTCTAAGTTGAAGTTACATGACTTAGAAGGTCAGATGTGCCATCTTTTCCCTTAATGCCCCAGAGATTCTCTTCACCAAGAAAATGACTACATACTTATTTCATTTAAAACAGACTCAGCCTAGTGATGGTTTTCCTTCTTCTATAAAAAAGCAGGCTATTCATGAAGATAAGGACCCTTTTGGCTTTGCAACACGTTTTCAACATTTTACTCATGGACATGAGATGGTAAAACAAGATGAAAATGATTCTTTTATTGGGCATTCAATTAAAAAATGTCATGACTTTGCCATTAGTTTGTATAAATCCTAGAAATGAGTTTCAACGAGAGTGTGTTATTATGTTGGGAAAGAGACGGAAGTGTATAACCTTGGGCAGATCGTTTAACTTCTCTCTGCTTTACAGTTACAAGCGGTAATACAAAGAGACAGGATTATATGATCTCCAAGGTCCCATCCAGCCCATTTAACACGGTATGATTATTTGAGAGGCAATTTAATGAGGTAGTGAGAAGCCTGGGCTCTGGAGCCAGAATGCCTATGTTCAGATCTTGGCCCCCTTCACTTATCAGCCATAGGACATAGTGTAAGGAATGTACCTCCTAACAGTTTCTCCCCGTTTCCTCATCAGCAAAATCAGGATAGGAACACTCACAGGGTCCTTTTGAGTAGCAAACAAAGTCGTCTTTGTGAACAATTGCTGTTAATTTTATATTATAAATAAACCTGTTGTTTTTTTCTCTAACAACAACAAAGTAACTTTCCTAAGATTCAGGATGGTATGGTTTTTCTTGGTTTAAGCTCTTTATTTAATACCTACACTAGTATTCAAAGTATAAAAATAGATTAAAGCACTAATTTTGTTTTTACAAACCCAAACAATTGGTTTGATTGTGTTAATACCCACTCACCTCAAGCCCCCAGTAGAATAAGTGCTAACATGCATGGCCTATTTAAGTGTCTGCTTTGGAGTCAGATAAAGAATTTCTGTGATGAACTAAGACACTATCATACAGGTAATCAATAATGACAGAACAAATACGTTCCTCCAAATCAGTATAAATAATAAATGTTTAAGACATAGGCAAAGATACTTTTGAGATAAACTTCTTTAGATAAGCAATTCAAAGAAAACTGAGATTGATGATAGTTATTACGTATATTCCTAATAACTTCATATAATAGATGTTCAAATTCTCTTTATATGAATGAGAACCTGGTGACTCAGGAAGGTTAAGAAATTTGCATAAGGCCACACAGCAGTAAGTGGACACACCAAAATTTAAGCCAAGCAAACTGATTTTAGCAGCTCAGCTCTTAATTAGACTGCTTTTAGCACAAAAAAACCAGTTTGGATTTTTTTTTTTTTTTTTTTTACACAAAACCTGTGCTCTCTCAAAATACCAAGCTGCCTCATTAGATAAGTCTCTCCATACATCCATCTGTTTGGCCCTCCATCCATCAATCCATCCAAACATATTTTTCCCTATTAAATATGACCAGGAGGACTGGAGCTCTTGGTTCATGGTCAATGAATAAAGATAGGCAGATTTTTACATTTAAATTTTGATATAGTGTGATTATCCCACACCTATGATTTGGCTACAACTCAGTCACAAATTGACCATCTATCCTGGTAACAAGGCCTTTTGTTAGTGAGAATTCTCTAGTTAGTTTTTACTAACTAAAGAGGTTTGCACCTCTTTCTCCTTTAAAAAATCCTTTTTTTGGCCAGGCATGGTGGCTCACGCCCGTAATCCCAGCACTCTGGGAGGCCTAGGTGGGCAGATCACGAGGTCAGGAGATTGAGACCATCCTGGCTAACATGGTGAAACCCCATCTCTACTAAAAATACAAAAAATTAGCCGGGCGTGGTGGCAAGCGCCTGTAGTCCCAGCTACTCAGGAGGCTGAGGAAGGAGAATGGCGTGAACCCGGGAGGCGGAGCTTGCAGTGAGCCGAGATCGTGCCACTGCACTCCAGCCTGGGTGACAGAGCAGGACTCCATTTCAAAAAAAAAAAAAAAAAAATCCTTTTTTTATAAATATGATTTTGAGTATCAAGAAAAAATAAAATTTAATGAGTATGTTTTTCATTTACAGTTCACAAATCTTAGAATTCCAGTTAAAATAACAATCTCAATATAGTGTTAAGTACAAATCCTAAAATTTAAAGTTAGGTTATGAGAAGTAGTCAAAGATTGAGCTGAAAAATATATTCATTCCCTTCCCTTCCACTCTCCCATCACTCCTCCATGGGGAAAAAAAATCACGAATATGTTGCACGTTGTAGGAACAAAAATGGATTTACCTTTTTTGTCTTCTTTTCCTTTTACTAATCTCTACATTGGTAGGTCCTATATGGAAAATCAATTTCTGCTTTATTCTTGTAAGCTTGGTTTTATCTTTCTAAATATATTCTTCTTGTCAGAACCCAATCAAGCATTTTACTCTCTCCTGTTTATAAATTGTTGTCCTACTTTATAATTTTGGTTATGATTGTCTCTGGTTCATTTTATCCTTTGTCATAGGCATTGTGGCTCTGGAGACCTGGAAGCACTGCTAACTGTTCTCTCGATTTTCTGACGCTCGGCCACATCAACCTGTCATACTAGTTGTGAGGAGAAGTCAAGGACAGTGACACAGCCAGCCAGTCTGAGGCATTTTCCATCATCCTGAAGGAGTTGCCCTATCCTGCTTTTCACTGGAGGGGGCATGGATGGGTAGGTAAACACACCTGCCGTGAAGTTTCCAGTTCTATCCTCCTGCAAGGCCTTCGGGGATAAGTGTGTTAGAAGATTGGTCAGTATCATTTGCCAACTTGATGTCTCTTCCTTTTTTAATGATCCTTAGTTTCCCCACTGTTTCCTGTCACAGGATTCAATTTCACTCCACATTCATCCTTTCTTA